>NC_000018.10:79057862-79359218 GCF_000001405.40 Homo sapiens
TGAAATTCACTGGTTTAGCCATTTGTAAGTGGACAGTTCCATGGCATTAAGCATACAATGTTGTGCAGCCATCACCACCATCATCTCCAGAACCCTTCCATCTGCCCAAACTGAAGCTCTGTCCTCATTCAGCACTGACTCCCCAACCCCCACCCCCACCCCCTGGCCCCAACCATTTCACTTTCTGTTTCTAGGAATTGGACTCCTCTACGGACCACCTACAATAGAATACTGCAATATTTGCCCTTCTGTGTCTAGCTTATTGCACAGCATAATGTTTCCAAAATGTATTGATTTCAGGGTGTAAAGACTATGGCCCCAGTTTCACTTCGGCTTTTGAGAGTTCATGCAAAATGTCTTTGTGGCCTGTGCTGACCCAGAGCCATAAGGGGAAGGATTTGCCAAGCAGCTGAAGCTTAGCTATGTTAATACATACAAATCCATCACCAAAGGAAGGAAACTATTAGAGCAATAACTTTAAAAAATGTCCCAGGACTGAAGGACACTAGTGTCTTATCAGAAGGGGCCCACCAAATGCCAAGTAAAATGGATAAAATTATACCCTCAAGAAAAATTGGCCGGATGCGGTGGCTCATGCTTGTAATCCCAGCACTTTGGGAGTCTGAGGCAGGAGATTCTTTTAGCTCAGGAGTCGGAGACCAGCCTGACCAACATGATCAAACTCCGTCTCTACTAAAAATACAGAAAATTAGCCAGGCGAGGCATGGTGGCACATACCTGTAATCCCAGCTACTTGGGAGGCTGAGGCAGGAGAATTGTTTGAAACCGGGAGGCAGAAGTTGCAGTGAGCCAAGATCGGACTCCGTCTCCAAAAAAAAAAAAAAAAAAAAAAAAGCCCAGTGGCACACACTTGTCATCCCAACTATTTGGGGTGGGGGGAAGATTGCTAATCATGCCACTGCACCCTGGCTTGGGTGAGAGAGTGAGACCCTGTCTCAAAATAAATAAATAATGAAAATTACAAACAGAAAAATAATGATGAAATTTCAGGACAAAGGCAAGTCCATAAAAGCTTCCAGAGAAAGAGCAATTTTCATACAAGGCTAAGGATTTCATGTAAGGGACTTCATTCCATATAAAGACTCAACTGCAAAGCTAGGCTCTAGAAAAACATGGAGCAGGGTCTTCAAAATCCTGAAGACAAGTATTTCCAACCTGGAATTTCATACCAGTTAAGGTGAAGGTGTAGAGACGCTTTCAGAGGTGTGAGGTCTAGAAACCTTTTCCTGTCATGAGCCCTTCTCAGGAAACTGCTAGGGGAGAAAACAAGGGAGTAGACTGCCAAGAGGGAAAAGGTTTCAGGACCAGGAAGAAGGTCAGCAGGAGAGCAGCCACTGCATCTCCATATGGCGGTTGGGCCGGGGTCCCCAGGACCACCTCAGGCTTGATGGTTCACGAGAAGGACTCCCAGGACTCAGCACATGATCTAACTCCCGCCCACCCACTAGAGCGACCGAGTGTCCGGCACAGCCGGTCAAGGGAAAAGGTGTGTGAGGTGAGGTCAGAAGAAGGCAGGCACCGTCTCCAGCACCCTCTCCCACTGGACCCACTGGACTCACTGGACCTGCGAATTCTCTCAGCAAAGAGCGGCAACACGTGTGAAGTGTTGTCCACCAGGGCAGCTCCTTAGACCCCCCAGGGCTTCTGCTGGGGGTCTCACACAGGCACCCTCTTCTTGGCGTGCACCAAGATTCCAGAATTCGAGAAGGAATGCAGGTGTTCAGGAAAAACGCCTCGGGCATGGAGAGGCACTGTCAGGTTGCTGGGAGCCCTCCTGAAATCCGAGTCCCCAGAGGCCAGCCCAGGGTCAGCCTGGTAAGCAGACCCTATAGAGGATGGCAGTCAGGCCTGCTTGTTAACTCTTTTCTGCATCATCCTTTGAAGGGAGAAGTCAAAAAGAGCAGCTGATCAAGAGTTAGCCCAACAGACCTCAGGTGCCGAGGGGAGCAGCTGCAGCCGTCCCTGCGTCCAGATGAGAGAGAGCCAGGGGTAAATTGCCGGGTAGGCAGACTATTTGGCCTCTTTTACTTCAATAGTGAGAGGCAGCCATCTCCTCCTCCAAATCACAGCAATGGAAGAACCCAGCAACACCAAAGATGGCTCCTCTGCTGTAGGCTGGAGCTGGGCCCGTTAACTATCAAGGTTTTCCTTTTGCTTTCATCTGGAAGATCTGGAAGGCACATATGTTTTTTTTTTTCCTTTCCAATTTTTATTTTAGGTTCGGGGGTACATGGGCAGGTTTGTTATGTGGGTAAATTGTGTGTTGCAGGGGCTTGGTGTACGGACTATTTCATCACCCAGGTAAGCAGCACGGTATGGGATCCTCATCTTCATCCCACCCCCACCCTCAGGTAGGCCCCAGGGTCTACTGTCTCCTCCGTGTGTCCATGTGTACTCAGTGTTTGCCTTCCAGTTATAAGTGAGAACACGCGGTGTTTCGTTTTCTCTTCTCGCATTAGTTCACTTAGAATAATGACCTCCAGCTTCACCCACGTGTCTACAAAAGACATGGCTTCATTCTTTATTATGGCTGTGTAGTATTCCATGGTGTATATGGACCACATTTTCCTTATCCAATTTACCACTGATGGGCATTTAGGTTCCTTTCATGTGTTTGCTATTGCCACATATGCTTTAATATTGACTCTCTCTTTACATATTTATGTAATGTATGTATAAAATATAGTAAAATCTCATTTTATATAACTCTCTTAATGGAAATGCAATTTTTACAAAATAAATTCTTATTTCCATTTTTCCAAAATAAACTATTTTACATATCTCAACATAAAATTATCATATGGTAGTACTTGTTATTACACCTTCTCTTTGGAATTTTCAAGATAATTTTTGCATTACTATTAAAAACATCCTGCATGATATCTTCTGGGCTTCCACTAAGAATTTGGAAGTAATTATCTTCATCTACCTGAAGTGGTAGAGACATAAATGAAACTTTAACAACAGAATATACTTCCTTTAGGAGCTGTATGAAGAGATTTTCCGTTTCTGTCATTGTTGAGACTGTGGTTGTGCCAAGAAAGAAATTCTTAAGCATTAAGTTTAAGGAGGTGAGACCTTGTCAGCCACACAGTGGGCAATACAGAAGAGCCTCATCCATCCCAACCCCAACCAACCATAGCCAGACCCCAAAGAGTGAGATTTTAGTCCAGTTTATTTATTCTTTACCAACCTTTGAAACTTCCATGACAAGCTATTAATTACGTTTTTTTCTCTTGTGACAGTAATTTAAACATCTGTGGTTCATTACAAAGCAGTAATTGAGGGAATGTTTAAAGGAAACTATGAGCCACTAAATACATTCATCTAAATGCATTTCACCTGATGCCAAACAACAGCAAGCCCCTCTCAAGTTCCCAGGCTTTGTGGGGTATGACCAAAGCTCCTCGTGCAGTCTACGTGCCATGTGTGCATGCACACACACGTATTTGCCCCTGACTTAAGTTTTTCTTTCTGGAAATCAGAAGCTAGGATATATTACGAGACAAAAATATTTTGGTTTTTAATTATTAACTTGCTATAATTAATATGAAAGCATTGTGTGGTAAATTGAATAAAAATCTCAGTATTGTGGCTGCATTTTCCTCCTTTTATTACTGATCAAGGCATCATCAACCTTGAAGGGGCACTTAATCGTCCTCTTCTGAAGACACATCTATGCAGTGGGTGAAATATGATGTTGGACATCCTGTGTTTTGGTCTATGCTGGAATGTTCTGAATTCAGATATATGGTAGACAGGAGTAGGAGTAAAGTTGATTTTTGTTCACTAACTCCACATCTTCCATCCCCTGACTACTGCGAGAGAGAATGCATTTCTCTCCAGGGAGAATCCCATGAGAGCAAAGTGAGGAAAGCATCGGTAGGAAATAACGAACGCTGAAATCAGCCTTTTACAAATGTATTTAAAGACAGCTCTTACAAGGTTCCTCTTTCATGGTAGTGTTTGATTTTTAAGTGTGCATTACAAGAGCAGTCTCTCAACTTTTTTGCACATTGACCCCTAAAATAATTTTGGGAAAGTATGTATCCCTTCACACATTATATGTGGACAACTAAACATTTTCGTTATAGGTATAGTTATCAATCATGTATTTTTGGCATATCATAAAGTATTGACATTTAAAAATAAAACATCGTCTTTTCAAACATGTTAAATGACATTGAAATTCCACAATAATGTGATACTTGCTCTTATCCATAAAGAATACTTAAAAAGCTCCTCTTTAACATGTGAAAACTTATGTCTTTTTGCTAAAATATAATTTTCTTTTCTTTTTTTATTTTTTGAGACAGGATCTCCCTCTGTCACCCAGGCTGGGGTACAGAGGTGTGATCTTGCCTCAGTGTAACCTCAACCTCCTGGGCCCAGGTGATCCTCCCACCTCAGCCTCCTGAGTAGCTGGGACCACAGGCCTGTGCCACCAAGCCCAGCTAATTTTTTGTATGTTTGCAGAGACAGGGTTTCACTATGCTGCCCAGGCTGGTCTCAGATTCCTGAGCCCAAGCAACCTGCCTGTCTCGGTCTCCCAAAGTGCTGGGATTACAGGCATGAACCACTGTGCTTGGCCTAAAGTATAATTTTCAAAGAGGTAAAATTACAATGCTCATGCAAGATTTTATTCAACTTATTAATCAATGAAGGAAGATATAATGAGTAAGATGTAGAACTGGTTCAAAGAGTATTTTAGGACCTAGAGATATTGAGACAATTTTCTAAAGGAATATTAAGATAAGATTGTTTGGTTAGAAACAAAACTGGTTGATCTCCTAAAGGACAATAAGCTATATCCTTTGAAGTATATTTTCCTATTTGTTTTAAAATGTAGGTTTTATTATTGTTTAGATATAGTGAGGCCAACAGATCAGGAGATGACGGCCACAGAAAACACAGTTTGTTAGAGCTCCCACAGGAAGGGGCCACACCATGCCACGCCACACAGGGTTGGGGCACAGAGGGAAAGAGGCAAGACAAGAGCCTTTGTAGTGGCTTCCAAGGGAAGGCCGGGCAAGGCGGGGAGAACAGGCTGGGCAGGTTTGGCCTTGGCTGATGTGATCAGCAGGCCCTGGCATGAAGGACTGTCCTCCCTGTCTCTGGCCTCACTCTATGGTAAGCAGGGCAAGGGCACAGTGGCCTGGAATGCAAGAGCTTATCCAACCAATCGAGGTGGCTGGCGGGATTGGCGGCTTGCATGTGAAACGTGTGCTTGCAGGTGAGTCATCTGCTATCTCTAAGAATGGATGAGCCGTAGGCAGGACGGGCTCTCCCCTTTTAGCCAGAGCATCAAGAATATAGAAAATAAAATGTAGTTAATACGCATCAAAGCAGAAACTATTTGTACCTCTATTGGCAAACATCTTCAAGTTAACATGCAATTTTGCCAACTCAAAGACTTTCATCAACTAGTAAGCAGTGAGTTGAACAAAGTACGTTCCCCTCATCTTTGGGTGGGACTGTCCCTTTGTATGACATTAAATGACATTCATTTCTCCTTTTTGCCTTACTTTCGCATTCTAGCCATCAGTATCATCTTCCCAAAACTCAGGTGGCAACTTGAGGTTAGAGGTTAAGGGTATGGCCTTTGGCACCTGGGTTGAAGCCTGACTCTGCAGCTGTGAGCACTGTGACCTCGGGCAGATTGCCTAACTCCTCTGTGCTCCAGGCTCCTCATCTGGGGAAAGGTGAAGGATACTCACAGAGCTTACCTCACAGGGAGGCTACTATAATCAATGGTTGCATGGCGTATATTTTTCTATGCTTTTACTTTCAACTTTTCTGGGTCTTTCTATTTAATGTGAGATCTCTGAGACGTCAAGCATATAGTTGTTTTTTTTTTTCTTTTCTCTTTTTGTTTTTGTTTCAATTAGAGACGGAGTTTTGCCATGTTGCCCAGGCTGGTCTCAAACTCCCAGCCTCTAGCCATCTGCCCGCCTCAGCCTCCCCAAGTGTTGGGATTACAGGTGTAAGCCACCGCACCCAGTTGGGTTTTATTTTTAATGCAATCTGACAATCTGACTTTTTATTGAGGTATTTAGTCTGTTTACATTTAATATACATAAACTGACCTTCGGGTTTGTCTCTACCATCTTCTTTGCTTCCTGCTTATTCCATCTGTTCTTTTTTCTTTAAACTTCTTTCACAGCTTCCTTGAAGTAATAAAGTATTTTTATTATTCCTCTTCCTCCCTCCATTAACTTGTCAGTTAAACATTCTGTTGTTATTCTTTTCATGATTGCGCTAGGGTGGCATTGACCAATGGAGCCTTCTGCCGTGAGACAGCCATTCTGTGCCTGTCTTTCCCTCTTACACCACCCACTCTTTCCTGTAGAATAGGGATGTGCAAACGTTCTCTCTAAAGGACCAGATGGTAAATATTTTAGGCTTTACAGGTTATATGGTCTCGGTAGCATCTTCTTAACTCTACCATCATAGCTTGAGAGCAGCCATAGGTAATAAGTCAACAGATTAGCGTGATTGTGTTTCAAAAGCACTTAATTTACAAAGCGGGTGGCAGGTGGCTTTTGCCCGCCAGCTGGCCTGCATCTACTCCATAGCCTCATGCTCTTTGAGGTAGCCTTGCTCCCAGGGCTCCAACTCAGGATGGATTCTATTCAGGGTCAACAATTTTCCTCATCTAATCTCTTTGGTCTAGGGGTGAAACCAGTTTTCCACTATTGCTTCTCCCAGTTAATTCATCAAAAATATTTGGCTTTCTTATTTCCATCCCTACCTCTGCAAACAGCTCCTGAAACTCTCTTCAGTTGAACGCTTTAAGTATGTCATCTTTTTCCTATCAAGATACCCACTGGGGGAGGGGTGTGGTGGCTCACGCCTGTAATCCCAAAACTATGGGAGGCCGAGGCAGGTGGATCACTTGAGGTCAGGAGTTCGAGACCAGCCTGGCCGTCATGGCGAAATCCTGTCTCTACTAAAAATACAAAAATTAGCCGGGCATGGTGGCGGGCACCTGTAATCCCAGCTACTTATGAGGCTGAGGCAGGAGAATCGCTTGAACCCAGGAGGCAGAGGTTGCAGTGAGCCAAGATTGCGCCACTGCACTCCAGCCTGAATGACAGAGTGAGACTCTGTCTCAAAAAAAAAAAAAAAAAAAGACACCCACTGGTGTAACTTCATACTTATGGACTTATGGCAAGTATTTCATTGTGTCCTAAGTAAAAACAAGCTGTTTCCCTATATGTCTCCCTCTCCTACTAAACTTCCTAGAGGGCAGACACTATGCCTTAGTTATACTGATATTCTCCATAAACCCTATTGTTAACTTTTGCATGTAATTGAAACTGAATAAGCAATTCAGAAATGGAGCCAGGAGAGGTTAGAATTAGGAAAAAAGAAATAAATATTATTTACCTAAGTGGGTAGGTGATGAAAGAGGAGTTTTCAAGAGAGACGGAGTAGGTAAAGGAAGAGAGCTAGTTGATTTAGTCTGAACCTTAAGGGAGGAAAAAATTTACAAGGAGATGGTGTGAAAACTGCCTGTTGTTGAATGTTATGGTTTGGCTGTGTTCCCACCCAAATCTCATCTTGAATTGTAGCTCCCATAATTCCCATGTGTTGTGGGAGGGACCCAGTGGGAGATAACTGAATCATGGGGGCTGTTTCCCCCATACTGTCCTTATGGTAGCGAATAAGTCTCATGAAATCTCATGGTTTTATAAGGAGAAACCCCTTTTGCTTGGTTCTCATTCTCTCTCTTGCCTTCTGCCATGATTGTGAGATCTCCCCAGCCATGTGGAACCGTGAGTCCATTAAATTGAGTGAGGGTGAGGAGATGGTGTTATCAGTGTGAGTTATTAACTGTGAGGGTGAGGAGAGGATATGAACAGTGTCAGTGATTAGTGAGGGTGAGGAGATGCTGTTATCACTGTTAGTTGTTGAGTGACGGTGAGGAGACGGTGTTGTCACTGTCAATTACTGAGTGTTAGGAGATGGTGTTTTCACTGTCAGTAGTTGAGTGAGGGTGAGGAGATGGTGTTGTCACTGTCAGTAGCTGACTGAGGGTGAGGAGATGCTGTTGTCATAGTCAGGTGGTGAGTGAGAGTGAGGAGATGGTCTCACTGTCAGGTGTTGAGTGAGGGTGTAGATGATGATGTCACTGTCAGTTGTTGAGTGAGGCTGAGGAGATAGTGTTGTCACTGTCAGTTCTTGAGTGAGGGTGAGGGGATGCTGTTGTCACTGTCAGGTGTTGAGTGAGGGTGAGGAGATGCTGTTGTCACTGTCAGGTGTTGACTAAGGGTGAGGAGATGGTGTCACTGTCAGTTGTTGAGTGAGGGTGAGGAGATGGTGTTGTCACTGTCAGTAGTTGAGTGAGGGTGAGGAGATGGTGTTGTCACTGTCAGTAGTTGAGTGAGGGTGAGGAGATGCTGTTGTCACAGTCAGGTGTTGAGTGAGGGTGAGGAGATGGTATCACTGTCAGGTGTTGAGTGAGGGTGTAGATGATGTTGTCACTGTCAGTTGAGTGAGGCTGAGGAGATGGTGTTGTCACTGTCAGTTCTTGAGTGAGGGTGAGGAGATGCTGTTGTCACTGTCAGGTGTTGAGTGAGGGTGAGGAGATGCTGTTGTTACTGTCAGGTGTTGAGTGAGGGTGAGGAGATGGTGTCACTGTCAGTTGTTGAATGAGGGTGAGGAGATGGTGTTGTCACTGTCAGTAGCTGAGTGAGGGTCAGGAGATGGTGTTGTCACTGTCAGTAGTTGAGTGAGGCTGAGGAGATGGTGATGTCACTGTCAGTTCTTGAGTGAGGGTGAGGAGATGGTGGTGTCACTGTCAGGTGTTGAGTGAGGGTGAGGAGATGGTGTTGTCACTGTCAGTAGTTGAGTGAGGGTGAGGAGATGGTGTTGCCACTGTCAGTTCTTGAGAGAGGGTGAGGAGATATTGTTGTCACTGTCAGGTGTTGAGTGAGGGTATAGATGATGTTGTCACTGTCAGCTGTTGAGTGAGGCTGAGGAGATGGTGTTGTCACTGTCAGTTCTTGAATGAGGCTGAGGAGATGCTGTTGTCACTGTCAGGTGTTGAGTGAGGGTGAGGAGATGCTGTTGTCACTGTCAGGTGTTGAGTGAGGGTGAGGAGATGTTGTCACTGTCAGTTCTTGAATGAGGCTGAGATGCTGTTGTCACTTTCAGGTGTTGAGTGAGGGTAAGGAGATGCTGTTGTCACTGTCAGGTGTTGAGTGAGGGTGAGGAGATGGTGTCACTGTCAGTTGTTGAGTGAGGGTAAGGAGACAGGAGACGGTGTTGTCACTGTCAGTAGTTGAGTGAGGGTCAGGAGATGGTGTTGTCACTGTCAGTTGTTGAGTGAGGGTACACTGTCAGTTGTTGACTGAGGCTGAGGAGATGCTGTTGTCACTCTCAGGTGTTGAGTGAGGGTGAGGAGATGGTGTTGTCACTATCAGTAGTTGACTGACAGTGAGGAGATGCTGTTGTCACTGTTGGAAGTTGAGTGAGGGTGAGGAGAAGGTGTTATCACTGTCAGGTGTTGAGTGAGAGAGAGGAGATGGTCTGTCACTGTCAGATGTTGAGTGAGGGTCAGGAGATGATGGTGTTACTGTCAGTAGTTGAGTGAGGGTCAGGAGATGGTGTTGTTGCTGTCAGTTATTGAGTGAGGGTGAGAAGACGGTGTTGTCCCTGTCAGTAGTTGAGGGTCAGGAGAAGGTGTTGTCATTGTCAGTTGTTGAGTGAGGGTGAAGAAATGTTGTTGTCACTTTCAGTTGCTGAGTGAGGGTCAGAAGATGTTGTCACTGTCAGGTGTTGACTGAGGGTCAGATGGTGTTGTCACTGTCAGTAGTTGAGTGAGGGTGAGAAGATGCTGTTGTCACTGTCAGTAGTTGAGTGAGGGTGAGGAGACGGCGTTATCACTGTCAGGTACTGAGTGAGGGTGAGGAGATGGTGTTACAGTGCCAGTGCTGTGAGAATGAGATGGTGTTATCAATATCAGTTGTTGAATGTGGGTGAGAGATGGTGTGAACAGTGTCAGCGGCTGAGAGTGAGGTAGAGAAATAATGGGTGAGGCCATTGTCAATTAGGAGGCCATTGGCGTCTTTTGAAAGTAGTTAGTGTCTGTGGAGTGGCATGTATTCAGGTTACATGAAAAGCAGCTGAGAAGCAAACTGGCAATCAGAGTGGCAGCAACAAATTAAGAATATTCATATTCATAAAGACCATTTTTTATAATGAAAAAGTAATACATGCAGATGGGGGAAGATCACCTGAACCTTGAGAGGTGGAAGATGTAGTGAGCCGTGATCAAAACATTACACTCCAGCCTGGGTAACAGAGACCCCATCTCCAAAAAACAGAAAAGAAAAGCATTTATAAGTTCATGTTGAACAGTGTTTCAAACACATAGACAAAATTTATATGTCATGAAAATGGAATATCAGAAAAACATTGTTTAAAAAAACACAAAGTGAGTAAACCATTAATACGTGAGGTGAGCGGTGCATCAGCTTGCCGGCTTCCAGCTGCAGCGGGTGATGGAGGTGGAAGGGAGCTGTCCTCGGGACAGGAAATGAAACAAACCCAACCAAAGCCGTGTATTCGTTTATTCAATATCGTTTTGCTTTCTTGTGTAGACTGAGGGTGTAAACCTCGTTTCTGACAGTCGCCTATAGGACTTTTCAGCAGGCTGTGGGCCTAGAGGTGGGGGATGTGGAATCAAGCTAAAGACCCAGAACCAGAGAAAGAAGGAAGCAGCAGTGAGGAAGCAGGACAAGAACATCTCGGAAATTCAGCCCGGCGCGGTGGGCGCGCCTGCAGTCGCGGCGCTTTGGGGGCCCGGGCCACGTAGCACGACCCTGCCTGTGAACGCACAGACACCAGCGGTTCCAAGGGCGCGGGCAGGAAGCGGGCACCGAAGGCAGGCTGGAGAAGCGCGGGGCGGAAGCAAGAAGCCGCGCGGCGAGGAGGGCGCGTGGGGCCCCACACAGCCATGGGGCGCGCGTACTACTGGCAGCGCAGGCTCTGGACCGCTAAGGAGGCCGCGCGCGCCCACGCGTGTCCCCGGCAGAGCTTCCAGGAGACGGCTGCGAGGCCCTTCCACCCGCGGACCAGAGCGCGCCGGGTCGAACCACGACCCACGTGCAGGCCCTCGCGCGCTACCGGAAGGCCAGCCTGTGGCGCACGCGCGCCCCGCCCCGCCGATCGGTGACGTCATCGGGCCCGTCACGAGGCGGGGGCGGGGCCTCGGAACGCGACGCCCCCCGTCCCAGCTTTAGCCACTCGTGACGTCATTGCCCGGACTCCACTGCCTCCTGCGCCGCGCTTTTGCCACCCTGGGCACGTCATCGTGCGCCGACGCCAAACGAGGGCGGGGCCTAGGGACGCCACACCTTCCGCGCCGCCGCTCGTTACGTCATCGGACCTCGCCGCTTGGCGGAGGCGGGGAAGGCCCGCAGGCGGCGCCTCAGCCGGGGTTGGCGCTGAGGGGAGAGGGCGGGGAAAAGGTGGCGAATTGAGGGGAAAGTGGGAGGGGCGGGAAAGGGGCGGTCGGAACATGGCGGACCAGATCCCGCTTTACCCGGTGCGTAGCGCAGCGGCGGCCGCAGCCAACCGCAAACGCGCGGCCTACTACAGCGCCGCGGGGCCCAGGCCGGGAGCCGACCGGCACAGCAGGTAACCGAGGCGGCACTGGCCCCGTTCCCCGCCGACGCTCCCCGGGGCCCCCAGCCCACCGCAGGAACCCGGAGCCGGGCGGGTCTGGGGTCGCTACCGGCGCGCCCCATCTGTTCGCTGGGAGCCGGGAGTCCTTGGCGTTCTGAGCGCGCCGCAGCTGTGGCGTCCGCCGGTGGTGAGGGCCGCGGGCAGCTGCCGGGGCGAGCGGCTGCATCCCCGGGACGCCTGGGCCGAGCGTAGGAGCCAGAACGGGAGCAGAGAACCGCGGTCCAGTGTTGAGGGGTGGCTGCTCTCCTAAAGTAAACGGGGATCAAAAGTGCTAACTTCTCGGATACTTCAGAGTCTCCGAAACTTGTTCTTGTAGCCCTGTGAATTGTGAAGGTGACGGATGTAACTTTTAATTGCTTTGTTAAAAACACACTTCTTATTGAAATGACTTCTCTTCGACATTTCGATATCTTTGCTAGGCACACTTTTTGTTTAAACATATATATACAAAGTGCTTTTTGTCGACAAGTAATTTTGCTTTTACGAAAGGGAAATGGGGTATTGAGAACGGTTAACTTGTTTAGTGGGGTCACAGGTTAGCAGTAGAATTAGTGTACAGACCTTTCATACTCGAGATTGCATTTAGCTCATATTTAACATTTCTCATTCAAAGAAAAGAAAATTTTAAAAAGTGTTGCTTCTTATAGTTTTTGAAGTTTTATTCCAGAGGAATTGTCGAAAACATAATTTCACTCAATATGTAGTTGCTTCAGAATTTGAGTTTTTGAATAATTTTTGTTTTCGGCCATTTGAGAGACTAACATATAGCTCAAAGTACATACTGGAATGTTATAACGCTGATTTGAGTGTTTACCCACTAGCGATTTACTCTCGGGTAACTTATTTAAACTCAAGCCATGGTTTCCTCATCTGTAAAATGCTGGATAATATTTTTTCTTACGGGATTATTGGAGATTACAGTAGAACATGTGTAAGGTGCCCTTTTTTCAGTGCTTGGTTGGAAGTGGGTTCTGGTGTTACCTATAACAGTAATTGTGTTAGTAAATCTGTTTAATTTTAGGAGTTCTTTAGTTGGAAATGTGCCACCTGTTTCAAAATAGGTTTCCATCACAGATTGAATCCATTTTTGCCTCATGTACTTTGAAGCACTGTCATGTGGTGCACGCACATTCAAGATTTTTTGTCATCTCGGTGGATTGTTCCTTTCATTGTTAATGTTCCTCTGTCTCTGGTAATTTTCTTTGCTCTAAAATCTTTATTAGATATTGATGTCGCCATTTATGCTTTTTTTTGGATTAATGTTTGCATGGTATTAGCTTTCAACTTACCTATGTTGAATTTGAAGTGAGTTTCTTGTTGGATCTTATATTTTTTATCAACTATGCCATTCTCTTTTGATTGGCATATTTACACCATTTACATTTACGATAATTACTGATATGTTAGAATATAAGTGTGCCATTTATTATCTGTGTTCTGTTTCTTCTGATTCTCATTCTGATTCCTGTTTCTTTTTTTTTTTTTTTTTGCCACTTTTTGGGTTACTTGGACACTTTTTTGGTATCCCTATAGTGTGTTTGAGATTAGGTGTTGGTATAGTTTTTACAGTGCTTGCTCTGGGTATTACAATATACAAATGTGACTTATCACCATGGTGTATTGCTGTATTTCACCACTTCCAGTCAAGTGTGGAAACCCTTCTTTCACTTAGGTCCTCACTTTAAGTATCATGTCCTGGGTATCAGATGGTGTTACAGTTTTTGTGTCAGTCATCAAATATGGTTTATAAAACTCATGATGATAAAGATAGTGTATTGCATATACCACATACGCATATTTCCCCTTTTTCTATTGTTCTTCCTTTTTTTTTTTTTTGAGACAGGGTCTCACTCTGTTCTCCTGGCTGGAGTTAGTGATGCGATCGTAGCTCATTACAGCTTTGATCTGTTGGGCCCAGGCAATCCACCCATGTAGCTGGGACTATAGGCACATACCACCATGCCTGGCTAATTAAAAAAAATTTTTTTTGAAGAGACAGCATCTTGCTATATTGCCCAACTGGTCTCAAGTGATCCTCCTGTGTCATCCTCCCAGAGTGTTAGGATTAAGGCGTGAGCCATGGCTGCTAGCCTGCCATTCTTTTCTTAGCACTTGAAAAATCTTGTGCTGCTTCCTTCTTGTGTCCATGGTTTCTGATTAGGATGCTGCTGTCACTCAGATTGATGTTCCCCTGTAGATAATGTGTCATTTCTCTCTGGCTGCTTTCAAGTTTTTACTTTGTCTTTAGTTTTCAGAAGTTTAATTATGATGTGTCTTATCATGGATTTCTTTGGATTTCATGTTTGGTTTTGTTTTTTTTTTTTTTTTTGGTTTTCGAATAAATTTAGGGAGTTTTTAGCCATTATTTCTTCAACTACTCTTTGTTGTTGTTGAAATAATGGAGAGTTGCTCCCACTCTCTTCTCTCCATTTGGATTTCCAGTGTTAAGAAAGTTGGATCTTATGTTGGTGTTTCATAATTTCCTTAGGCTCTTTCCCTGTTTCTTTTCTCTGTGTTGTTCAGATTGTGTAAATTCTATTAATCTCTTCTCAAGTTCCCTAATTCTTTTTTTTTTTAATTTTTTTCAGTATTTATTGATCATTCTTGGGTGTTTCTCGGAGAGGGGGATTTGGCAGGGTCATAGGACAATAGTGGAGAGAAGGTCAGCAGATAAACATGTGAACAAAGGTCTCTGGTTTTCCTAGGCAGAGGACCCTGCGGCCTTCCGCAGTGTTTGTGTCCCTGGGTACTTGAGATTAGGGAGTGGTGATGACTCTTAACGAGCATGCTGCCTTCAAGCATCTGTTTAACAAAGCACATCTTGCACCGCCCTTAATCCATTTAACCTGGAGTTGACACAGCACATGTTTCAGAGAGCACGGGGTTGGGGGTAAGGTTATAGATTAACGGCATCCCAAGGCAGAAGAATTTTTCTTAGTACAGAACAAAATGGAGTCTCCTATGTCTACTTCTTTCTACACAGACACAGTAACAATCTGATCTCTCTTTCTTTTCCCGACATTTCCCCCTTTTCTGTTCGACAAAACCGCCATCGTCATCATGGCCCGTTCTCAGTGAGCTGTTGGGTACCCCTCTGAGACAAGGCGGCTGCCGGGTGGGGGCGCCCCCCCACCTCCCAGACCAGGCGGCTGCTGGGCGGGGGCGCCCCCCACCTCCCAGACGGGGCGGCTGGGCGGAGATGCTTCTCACCTCCCAGATGGGGTGGCTGCCGGGCAGAGGGGCTCCTCACCTCTCAGATGGGGCGGCCGGGCAGAGGCGCTCCTCAGTTCCCAGACAGGGTGGCGGCTGGGTAGAGATGCTCCTCACCTCCCAGACAGGGCGGCCGGGCAGAGGCGCTCGTCACATCCCAGACGATGGGCGGCCGGGCAGAGACGCTCCTCACTTCCTAGACGGGATGACGGCCAGGAAGAGGCGCTCCTCACTTCCCAGACTGGGCGGCGGGGCAGAGGAGCTCCTCCCATCCCAGATGATGGGCCGCCAGGCGGAGACGCTCCTCACTTCCTAGATGGGGTGGCGGCCGGGAAGAGGCGCTTCTCACTTCCCAGACTGGGAGGCCGGGCAGACGGGCTCCTCACATCCCAGACAATGGGTGGCCAGGCAGAGACGCTCCTCACTTCCTAGATGGGGTGGCAGCTGGGCAGAGGCTGCAATCTCAGCACTTTGGGAGGCCAAGGCAGGCGGCTGGGAAGTGGAGGTTGTAGCGAGCCGAGATCACCCCACTGCACTCCAGCCTGGGCAACATTGAGCACTGAGTGAGCGAGACTCCGTCTGCAATCCCAGCACCCCGGGAGGCCGAGGCGGGCAGACCACTCGAAGTCAGGAGCCGGAGACCAGCCTGGCCAACACGGAGAAACCCCGTCTCCACCAAAAAATACAAAAACCAGTCAGGCGTGGCGGCGCGCGCCTGCAATCCCAGGCACTCGGCAGGCTGAGGCAGGAGAATCAGGCAGGGAGGTTGCAGTGAGCCAAGATTGCGGCAGTACAGTCCAGCCTCGGCAACAGAGGGAGACCGTGGAAAGCGGGAGACGGAGACGAGGGAGGGGGGAGACCGTGGAAAGCGGGAGACGGAGACGACGGAGAGGGAGAAGGGAGAGGGTAATTCCCTAATTCTTTACTCTGTTATCTCCACTCTATTCTCAATCTCATCCAGTGAGGTTTTATTTCTGTTATTGTATTTCTCAGTTTTATAATTTATGTTTGTTTCAAGATAATATTTGATTGTGGAAGCATTTTTATGTCTGCTGCTTTAAAATGCTTGTCATATAATTAATGCCAGTATCTGAGTTAGCTCAGTGTCGGTGTCATGTGATTGCCTTTTCTAATTCAGATTGCGAATGTTCTGGCTCTTGGTTTGACAGATGGTTTTCGATTGTCTCTTGGGTATTTTGTATATTAGGAGAATTTGGGTTCTATTTATATCTTTTATTTTAGCGTGCAGCCACCCTGTTTAGATTCAGCACATAGGTCCTGGGCTACATTTGTGGGCTGTGGTTCTAAATGACATTTTAATTCTCAGAGCCTTTGTGCTGTGATCTTTGGTCTGCTTGGTTTATGTGGTATCACTGGGGCTCTTCCTGGTCTCTGTTGGTGCTGCGTGAGAGGGAAAGGTGGATTTTCCTAGGCCTGGCGTCTCTTACTAAAAGATGGAAGTGTCAGACCCATGGGGATGAAGAGGCTTCTTTGGCTGGGCCCTGGCTGTGGCTGTATCCCATCCATATGGACCCAGTGGCTGCCCTGGTGTGTCTGGGTTGGAGAAGAGGAGTCTTAGCACCACCATGGTAAAAGGGTTCCTGTGGCAGAATCCCTATTGCTGGTGCCACCTCGATGCTCTGATGTCTTGGAGCAAGGTCTTAGGTTATGGATAAAAAGGTTTTCTGGACTGGGCCCCTTATGTGGTGGGGTTGCACCTGTCGGTGCTGCCTGGCTCTCCCTAATGAGAGAGACCAGTCTCGGGCATGAGGGGCACAGAGCCTTACTGGGCCAGCAGCTTGTAGTGGCAAGTTCCCCTTACTGCTACTGCCCAGATGCCCCGGTATCCCCTGATGGGAGAGGGGAGCCTCAGGCCCCAGTATCCCTTGGTGGGAGAGGGGAGTCTCAGGAAGTCACTGCTGCCTTCTTACCTTCTTCCAGAACTCTCCTTTGATTGGCTCTTGCTTAATTACTAGGATTTATAGTTGGACTTAACTGGGGAGGAGCAGAGAAATGGGTCTGTGGCATTTTGTCTGGACCAGAAGTTGTGCTTCTACATTATTTTCTGAAGTTGGGTTTTATTTTATCGTGGTAACATACACATAGTTTATAAAGTTAAGTGGTGCTTTTACAAGGCTTGCAGTAAGATATTGTGACTCAACCTGTATGTTGGTAACTATTCTCTGGCTTTTGAAAATAACATTTATTTTGCTGTTAAATGTTGATTATTACCTTTTAGTTAATGGTGCTGTTGAGTTCATCTTCCCTTGTGACTTTGTTTATTCTTTTTAGAGTTTTTTTTTTTTTGAGACGGAGTCTCACTCTGTCCCCCAGGCTGGAGTGCATTGGTGCAGTCTTGGCTCACTGCAAGCTCTGCCTCCCAGGTTCACGCCATTCTCCTGCCTCAGCCTCTCAAGTAGCTGGGACTACAGGCGCTCACTACAGCCTCGACCTTCTGGGCTCAAGCCATCCTCCTGCTTTAGCCTCCAGAGTAGCTGGGATAGTAGGCACATGCCAACATGCCCAACTAATTTTTTAATTTTTTTTTGTAGAGATGGGGTTGCACTGGACTTGAACTCCTGGGCTCAGTGATCGCCTTCTGTCGGCCTTCCAAAGTGCTGGGATTACAAGCATGAGCCAGTGCACCCTGCCTCTTTTTAGAGTTTTATCAATTGTTGTTTCACATATTTTGCAGGTCTGTTGTTTGGTGCATACACATTTGAGATTCCTGTGTGTTCTAGATGCATTGACACTTTTATCATTATGTAGTTCACCCATGTGTCTCTGGTAATTTTTCTGCTCTGAAATCTTCATCTGACACTAATATAGCTACCTCTGCTTTCCTTCAATTAATGTTTGCATGGTATATAATTTTCCATCCTTTCTCTCTCAAGTCACTTATATTTGAAGTGATTTTCTGGTAGTTGTCATACGGTTGGTTCTTTTTTTTTACCCACCGCCATTGTCTGTCTTTGGATTGATATATTTAGAAGGTTTATGTTCAGCGTAATGTTTATGCCATTTTATTTTTTGCTTTCTGTTTTTGTTTCTCGGTTTTCTTTTTCCTGCCTTACGGATTATGCTTCAACATTTTTTAGAATTCCAGTTTGATTTATCTATAGCGTTCTTCAGTGTATTTCTTTGTGTAGATATTACTTAGTGCTAGCTCTAGGAATTACATTACATATACATAACTCATTGCAGTGTACTGTTGTTGGTATTTTAACGGTTGTTGGGTAAAGTGTAAGAGCTTTACCTCTTTAAATCCCTTTATTCTCCCATTGGTAATATAATACTCATGTAAAAGTGTATGTAGATTTTACATATGTAAAAGTATATAAATATTTCCCTTATATACAATTAGAACCCTATATCAGACAGTGTTAACAATTTTTGCTTTCTCTCAATCTAGAATATTCAAGAGGCAAAGGAAAGCCTATTATATTCATCTACCCTTTCTGCCCTTTCTGTTTTCTTATTTCCTGATAGTCCACAATTTCTTATTTTTGTTCTGTTTCAGTAATTCTCTAACTATTCTTTTAGGGTAAGTCTACTGGAAACAAATTCTCTTTGTTTTCCTTCATCTGAAGATGCCTGTATTTCTCCTTCATTCCTGAAGGATAATTTCACCAGATACGGAATTCGGAGTTGACAGTTCTTTTCTTTCAGAACTTGAAAAGTGTTATGCCACTTCTTTCTGGTCTCCGTGCTTTCTGATGAGAAATCTGATATCATTTGAGTTGTTTTTCCTTTTGAGATAGGTGTCACTTTTCTCTTACTACTTTCAAGCATTTTTTTTAAGTCTTTAGTTTTTAGTCGTTTGACTGTTCTGGGTCTTGGTATGGATTTCTTCAGGATTACCCTGTTTAGGGTTTGCTTAGTATCCTAATTCTATAAGTTTGTGTCTTTTGTCAAATCTGAGAAGTTTGCAGCCATTCTTTGAGTGCTTTTTGAGCTCTACTCTCCGTCCCTTCTTTTACCCTGGTGACACCTTGTGAAATCTTTTCTTGTACCATAGGGTCCTGAGTTTCTGCTCATTTTTTCTAAGTCCATTTCCTGTTCATATTGGGCAGTTTCTGTTATTTTCTCTTAAAGTTCACTGATTTTTTCTTCCTCGTTTTTTTAGTTTTACTGTTGAGCCCATCCATTAAGATTTTTAGTTTCAAAATTTCCAGTTGATTCTTCCTCATACTAGCAGTGTCTCTTCTGAGACTTTATATTTTTTCATTTGTTTCAA
Organism: Homo sapiens; assembly: GCF_000001405.40. Classification (NCBI taxonomy): domain Eukaryota; kingdom Metazoa; phylum Chordata; class Mammalia; order Primates; family Hominidae; genus Homo; species Homo sapiens. Next base: position 79,077,025 of record NC_000018.10, read on the forward strand.
GTCTGTTCATAATTGTCCATTGAGACATTTTTATGATGTGTGTTTAAAAATCCTCATTAGATAATTTCAGTATCTGTGTTGTTTTGATGTTGACATCTATTGATTCTCTTTTCTCATTTGAGTTGAAATTTTTCTGGTTTTGGGGATAATGAGTGATTTTCCAGTATAGCCTAGACATTTTGGGTATTATGTTATGAGATTTGGGACCTTATTTAAATCTTCTGCTTATCGGGCCTGGTGGTGGTGGGAGTGGAATGTGGGGGTTACTGCCAGAAGGGGCTGAAGAGCCAGATTCCCTTCACAGCCCCCTTTGACATCTGGGAAGGGAAGGTACCATGTGACTGCTGGCTCCCCAGTGGTCTCTGCTAACAATACCTTGGCTGGGAAGGGGAGGAGTGCCTGGTTACTGCATGCCTGTGGCCTCCACTGACATTGCATGGGTGGTGTTACCTTTTAGAAGGTGGTTAGATTTTCCACTTTTCACTAGGCCTCCTCTGACATTATAGAGATGGGCAGGAATGCTTTATTACTGCTATTTGGGGATGTTAAATACAATGTACCAGAGGCCATTATTTCAGACTAAGCTCCTGCACCAGGCAAAGCAGACCAGAACAAACCAGAATGGAGTCACTTGTGCTAGGTGCCACAATCAAACTAAATTAAAAACAGACCAGTTTCCTCAAAAACAAGAGGTTCACAGCAACCAATCATAAGGGGGCCAAACTGAGCCAGCATAAGAGAGTCCTCTCTACTTTACCCTGTAAGGAAAGTAACTTTGAAATGCCCAATCTGTATTTTGTTCCTCGTATCTGCTTTCTGCAGCCCTCTCTGGCTGTAAAGTTTACCTCTGCTGCTCAGCATATCTGAGTATCTTTCTATTTCATAGATGAAATACTGCCTGATTTGCTAATAAAAGCCGGTTCGATCTTTAAACTAAATTTTTTGAAACTTTAACAGGAACGAGCATCCGGCACCCTTGTGCATGTACCCTACAATGACTGCCAGGCTTGGATGGATGTCCCCACTCCTGACTTGGTCTGCCCTGACACCACCTGGGCAATGGGGAGAGTGTCTTCCTACGGCTGGGGCGTGTGGGAGTCCAGGCTTCACGCACTCTTTGCTGTTCAATGTAGGTGAGGCTATTTGCTTTTTCTGTCGTCTTTGGATGGGATATAGCAATTACTATCAAAAATTTTTCGTTCCACTAGGCTGCCCTTTTCCTGGTCCTTTGGCTGGAGAGACCAGACTTTTCTTGGGGACTTTTTTGGTCTGTGTCTATTACTTTTCTGGTTGCTAACTCTCTAGTACACAACATGGGCATGAGACCAAAAGGAAATACTGGAAACTCACTGTTGTCTTGTTCTCTGGGTCCAAGGACCTTACTGGTCTGCCCTCTTCTCTCCACATTTTGATGTATAATGTCCAGGGTTTTTATCTGTTTAGTGGGAAGAACAGGGAGTAGCACATCTACTCCATCTTGGTCTAGAACTGGAAGGAAGGAGCAGTTTACATTTTTTCTTTTTTCTTCTTTTTATTTACTCTTTTTTATTTTAAAATTGCTTCATTTACTCATTTTTAACAGCTTTTTTGATATAGTTTACATACATACAAGTTACCCCACTTAAAGTGTATAGTTCAGTTTTTTTTTTTTTTATGCTTTAAGTTCTGGGATACTTGTGCAGAATGTGCAGGTTTGTTGCATAGGTATACACATGCTGTGGTGGTTTGCTGCACCTATCAACCCATCATCTACATTAGGTATTTCTCCTAATGTTATCCTTCACCTAGCCCCCCACACCCCGACAGGCCCCGGTGTGTGTTGTTCCCCTCCCTGTGTCCATGTGTTCTCATTGTTCAACTCCCATTTATGAGTGAGAACATGCAGTGTTTGGTTTTCTGTTCTTGTGTTAGTTTGCTGAGAATGACGGTTTCCAGCTTCGTCCATGTCCACGCAAAGGACATGAACTCATCCTTTTTTATGGCTGCATAGTATTCCATGGTGTATTTGTGCCACATTTTCTTTATCCAGTCTGTCATTGATGGGCATTTGGGTTGGTTCCAAGTCTTTGCTATTGTGAGTAGTGCTGCAGTAAACATACATGTGCATGTGTCTTTATAGTAGAATGATTTATAATCCTTTGGGTATATACCCAGTAATGGGATTGCTGGGTCAGAGGGTATTTCTGGTTCTAGATCCTTGAGGAATTGCTACACTGTCTTCCACAATGGTTGAACTAACTTACACTCCCACCAACAGTATAAAAGTGTTCCTGTTTCTCCATGTCCTCTCCAGCATCTGTTGTTTCCTGACTTTTTAGTGATTACCATTCTAACTGGCGTGAGATGGTATCTCATTGTGGTTTTGATTTGCATTTCTCTGATGAGCTTTTCTTCATATGTTTGTCGGCCGCATAAATGTCTTCATTTGAAAAGTGTCTGTTCATATCCTTTGCTTGCTTTTTGATGGGATTCGTTTGTTTTTTTCTTGTAAATTTAAGTTCCTCGTAGATTCTGCATATTAGCCCTTTGTCAGATGGATAGATTGCAAAAATTTTCTCCCATTCTATAGGTTGCCTGTTCACTCTGATGGTAGTTTCTTTTGCTGAGCAGAAGCTCTTTAGTTTAATTAGATCCCATTTGTCAATTTTGGCTTTTGTTGTCATGGCTTTTGGTGTTTTAATCATGAAGTCTTTGCCCATGCCTGTGTCCTGAATGGTATTGCCTAGGTTTTCTTCTAGGGTTTTTATAGTTTTAGGTCTTACGTTTACGTCTTTAAGCCACCTTGAGTTAATTTTCGTATAAGTTGTAAGGAAGGGGTCCAGTTTCAGTTTTCTGCATATGGCTAGCCAGTTTTCCCAACACCATTTATTAAATAGGGAATCCTTTCCCCATTGCTTGTTTTTGTCAGGTTTGTTAAAGATCAGATGGTTTTCGATGTGTGGCGTTATTTCTGAGGCCTCTTTTCTGTTACATTGGTCTATAACTCTGTTTTGGTACCAGTACTATACTGTTACTGTAGCCTTGTAGTATAGTTTGAAGTCAGATAGCATGACGCCTCCAGGTTTGTTCTTTTTGCTTAGGATTGTCTTGGCTATGTGGGCTCTTTTTTGGTTCCATATGAAATTTAAAGTAGTTTTTTTCTAATTCTTTGAAGAAAGTCAGTGGTAGCTTGATGGGCATAGCATTGAATCTGTAAATTACTTTGGGCAGTATGGTCATTTTCACAATATTGATTCTTCCTATCCATGAGCATGGAATGTTTTTCCATTTGTTTGTGTCCTCTCTTATTTCCTTGAGCAGTGGTTTGTAGTTCTCCTTGAAGAAGTCCTTCACATCCCTTATAAGTTGTATTCCTAGTTATTTTATTCTCTTTGTAGCAGTTGTGAATGGAAATTCACTCATGATTTGGCTCTTTGTCTATTGGTGTATAGGAATGCCTGTGATTTTTGCACATTGATTTTGTATCCTGAGACTTTGCTAAGTTGCTTATCAGCTTAAGGAGATTTTGGGTTTTGTAAGTATACAATCATGTCATCCACAAACAGAGACAATTTGACTTCCTCTTTCCCTATTTGAATACCCTTTATTTCTTTCTTTTGCCTGATTGCCCTGTCCAGGACTTCCAATACTATGTTGAATAGGAGTGGTGAGAGAGGGCATCCTTGTCTTGTGCTGGTTTTCAAAGGGAATGCTTCCAGCTTTTGCCCACTCAGTATGATATTGGCTGTGGGTTTGTCATAAATAGCTCTTATTATTTTGAGATACATTCCATCAATACCTACTTTATTGAGAGTTTTCAGCATGAAGGGGTTTTGAATTTTATCAAAGGCCTTTTCTGCATCTATTGAGATAATCGTGGTTTTTGTCATTGGTTCTGTTTATGTGATGGATTACGTTTATTGATTTGCATATGTTGAACTAGCCTTGCATCCCAGGGATGAAGCTGACTTGATCATGGTGGATAAGCTTTTTGATGTGCTGCTGGATTCGGTTTGCCAGTATTTTATTGAGGATTTTCACATTGATGTTCATCAGGGATATTGGCCTGAAATTTTCTTTTTTTGTTGTGTCTCTGCCAGGTTTTGTTATCAGGATGATGCTGGCCTCATAAAATGAGTTAGGGAGGAGTCCCTCTTTTTCTGTTGTTTGGAATAGTTTCAGAAGGAATGATACCAGCTCCTCTTTGTACTTCTGGTAGAATTTGGCTGTGAATCCATCTGGTCGTGGGCTTTTTTTGGTTGGTAGGCTATTAATTACCGTCTCAGTTTCAGAACTTGTTATTGGTCTATTCAGGGATTCAACTTCTTCCTGGTTTAGTCTTGGGAGGGTATATGTGTCCAGGAATTTCTTCTAGGTTTTCTAGTTTATTTGCATAGAGGTGTTTATAGTATTCTCTGATGGTAGTTTGTATTTCTGTGGGATCAGTGGTGATATCACCTTTATCATTTTTTATTGTGTCTATTTGATTCTTCTCTCTTTACTTCTTTATTAGTCTGGCTAGTGGTCTATCTATTCAGCTAATCTTTTCAAAAAACCAGCTCCTGGGTATTCATTATATCCAGCCAAACTAAACTGAAGGAGATAGAGACACGAAAAACCCTTCAAACCCTTTTCTTCGAAGGGTTTTTCGTGTCTCTATCTCCTTCAGTTTAGTTTGGCTGGATATACAATTCTGGGTTGAAAATTCTTTAAGAATGTTGAATATTGGACCTCACTCTCTTCTGGCTTGTAGGGTTTCTGCAGAGAGATCTGCTGTTAGTCTGATGGGCTTCTCTTTGTGGGTAACCCGACCTTTCTCTCTGGCTGCCCTAAACATTTTTTCCTTCATTTCAACCTTAGTGAATCTGACGATTATGTGTCTTGGGGTTGCTGTTCTCAAGGAGTATCTTTGTGGTGTTCTCTGTATTTCCTAAATTTGAATGTTGGCCTGTCTTGCTAGGTTGGGGAAGTTCTCCCGGATAATATCCTGCAGAGTGTTTTCCAACTTGGTTCCATTCTCCCCGTCACATTCATTCACACAATGAAACATAGGTTTGGTCTTTTCACATAGTCCCATGTTTCTTGGAGGCTTTGTTCATTCCTTTTCATTCATTTTTCTCTAATCTTGTCTTCACGCTTTATTTCATTAAATTGATCTTCAATCTCTGATATAATTTCTTCCACTTGATTTGGCTATTGATACTTGTGTATGCTTCATGAAGTTCTTGTGCTGTGTTTTTCGGCTCCATCAGGTAATTTATGTTCTTCTCTAAACTGGTTATTCTAGTTAACAATTCCTCTAACCTTTTTTCAAGGTTCTTAGCTTCCTTGCATTGGGTTAGAACATGCTTCTTTAGCTCGGAGGAGTTTGTTATTACCCACCTTCTGAAGTCTACTTTTGTCAATTTGTCAAACTCCTTCTCTGTCCAGTTTTGTTCTCTTGCAGGTGAGGAGTTGTGATCCTTTGGAGGAGAAGAGGCGTTCTGGTTTTAGGAATTATCAGCCTTTTTGTGCTGGTTTTTCCTTATCTTCGTGGATTTATCTGCCTTTGGTCTTTGATGCTGGTGACCTTCAGATGGAGTTTTTGTGTGGATGTCCTTTTTGTTGATGTTGATGCAGTTCCTTTGTTTGTTAGTTTTACTTCTAACAGTCAGGCACGTCTGTTGCAGGTCTGCTGGAGTTTGCTGGAGATCCACTCCAGATCCTGTTTACCTGGGTTTCACCAGCGGAGGTTGCAGAACAGCAAAGATTGCTGCCTGTTTCTTCCTCTGGAAGCTTCGTCCCAAAGGGGCACCTGCCAGATGCCAGCCGGAGCTCTCCGGTATGAGGTGTCTGTTGACCCCTGCTAGGAGGTGTCTCCAGTCAGGATACATGGCGGTCAGGGATCCACTTGAGGAGGCAGTCTGTCCCTTAGCAGAGCTCAAGCGCTGTGCTGGGAGATACACAGCTCTCTTCAGAGGTGGCAGGCAGGAACATTTAAGTCTGCTGAGGCTGTGCCCACAACCTACCCTTCCCCCAGGTGCTCTGTCACAGGAAGATGGGAGTTTTATCTATAAGCCCCTGACTGGGGCAGCTGCCTTTCTTTCAGAGATGCCCTTCCCAGAGAGGAGGAATCTAGAGAGGCAGTCTGGCTACAGTGGCTTTGCCAAGGTGTGGTGGGCTCTGCCTAGGTCAGACTTCCCAGCGGCTTTGTTTACACTGTGAGGGGAAAACCACCTACTCAAGCCACAGTAATGGCAGACGCCCCTTGCCCCACCAAGCTTGGGCATCCCAGGTTGACTTCAGACTGCTGTGCTGGCAGCGAGCATTTCAAGCCAGTGAATCTTAGCTTGCTGGGCTCCGTGGGGGTGGGATTCGCTGAGGTAGATCACTTGGCTCCCTGGCTTCAGCCCCCTTTCCAGAAGAGTGAACGGTTCTGTCTTGTTGGCATTCCAGGCGCCACTGGGGTATGAAAAAAGACTCCTGCAGCTAGCTCGGTGTCTGCCCAAACGGCCACCTAGCTTTGTGCTTGAAATGCAGGGCCCTGGTGGTGTAGGCATCGAAAGGAATCTCCTGGTCTGCGGATTGCGAAGACCATGGGAAGTGCGTAGTATCTGGGCCAAAATGCTCTGTTCCTCACAGCACAGTCCCTCAGTGCTTCCCTTGGCTAGGGGTGGGGAAGTTTGCCTGACCCCTTGTGCTTCCCGGGTGAGGCGACACCCCACTTTGCTTCAGCTTGCCCTCCTTGGGCTGCACCCACTGTCTAACCAGTCCCAGTGAGATGAGCTGGGTACCTCAGTTAGAAATGCAGAAATAACTCGCCTTTTGCCTTGATCTCATTGGGAGCTGCAGACCAGAGCTGTTCCTATTGACCATCTTCTTCTTTTTTTTTTTTTTTTGAGAGGGAGTCTTTCTCTGTTGCTAGGCTGGAGTGCAGTGGCGCCATCTTGGCTCACTGCAGCCTCTCCTGGCTTCAAGCGACTCCCCTACCTTAGCCTCCCAAGTAGCTGGCACTACAGGCACGTGCCACCATGCCCGGCTAATTTTTTTTGTTTTAGTAGAGACAGGGTTTCACCATGTTGGCCAGGATGGTCTTGATCTCCGGACTTCATGATCCACCCGCCTCGGCCTCCCAAATTGCTGGGATTACAGGCGTGAGCCACTGCGCCTGGCTCAGTTTTTTTTTTTGGAATATTCATAGATAAATGTAACTCACCAAAGTCAGTGTTTGAACATGTTCATCATGTCCAAAAGAAAGTTTGTACCCCGTTGGGTACCCCGGGTATGAGTACCCCTATCATTTTCCTACCAACCCTATCCCATCATTTTCCATTCCACCTATCCCCCAACCACCATATCTATAGAGTTTTTTCACTGTGGTAAAATATAGGTAACTTAAAATTTACCATTTTAACTATTTATAACAAGTCACTAATTTCAGAATGGCACACATTTCCCAAAATAGAAATATTAGAACATGACAATTTTGCTATAAACTTAATTCACTTCCCAATTTAAACTTTGGGAAGTGTGTGCTATATAATAGAGTAAAAGTAAAAAAAAAAAAAATGTAAGCGTATTGTCTTAATTTACGAGAAACAGAATTTTACATTATGCAGCCTAGATATCCACATTGGCGGTTGAAAACTAAATAGTTATTAGAAAAACAGCTTTCATATGAGCTTTACATCGCTTTGTGAGCATTGAAAGCTTCCTTCCTTGACCATTTGAAAATGACATTTTGCTCTTATGTATAAATAATTGTACTTATTGTATTTTAAAAGTTCTCAGGTTTTCCTTGAAGTGGAATTATTTTTATTTCATTATAATCATACTACTTTAGGACACAGTGTATTTAAAAGATAACGTTGGTTAGTTGTTAAAACTTGTATAAAAATTTTCATGACTGGGCTTATATTTTATAAAAATTTCCAAGGGAAGAATTAGATGTGATTTGAGTATGATGTTAGTCCATTCTTGCATTACTATAAAGAAATATAATACTTGAGGCTGGGTAATTTACAAAAAAAAAAAAAAGGTTTAATTGGCTCGTGCTTCTGTAAGCTTTTAAGGAAGCATGGTGCTGGCATCTGCTTCTGGTGAGGCCTCAGGAAGTACACAATCATGGTGGAAGGTATTGGAGAGCCAGCATGTCACATGACGAAAGGGAGCAAGAGAGAGAATGGGAGGTCCCAGACTTTTATAAACAACCAGATCTCACGTGAACTGAGTGAGAACACACTTATCAATCACCATGGGGACTCATGAGAGGACCACCCCCTACCCCATGATTCAGTATCTCCCACTAGGCCCCACCTCTGACATTGGGGATCACATTTCAACATGAAATTTGCAGGGGACACACATCCAAACCATAGCATATGGTTAAGGAAGATTAAGAAATTCAATAGCACATTGCCTTTATTATCATCGAGGATGAAGATGTTACGGTTTTCATATGTCATTAAGTAAACAAAATGACGTGTGCCACACATAGTAGCTCATAGTTCACTGGGAACGCAGTTACTTGTTCAGTCTGTTTTCTACAAAGTCATGTGAGATACTGATTTTTCCTTCGCATTGTTGATATCTGGGTGAAAATAAGGTATTTGTTAAATTGGTATTTCCCTTTTTTGTGTTTTAAGTGATAGTGGTGTCATTCAACTTATCTTTGCAGTTGAATGAAGAATGAATGACATTGAGCATTATTGTTTTGTTTATCCATGTCCATTATTAGTTTTTCTTTGCTTTTGCCAGCAGTGTGACTATTGGCCCTGCCCAGAGCCATTTGCAATCTTACAATAGTTAAGTGTTAGCACTGAAAGATACTAATGTTAAGAACAGATGTCTACTGTCTGATTATTGGGAAAATATTAGTGTTTCTTAGTAGAAGCAACACAGTTTTTTTTAATACTAGATTTCTCATTCTGAGTCTATACACAATTTTCTATGAATCATAAAACTTTGATAATTATGATAGTCTAATATTTTACTAGTTGTAAAAATGAAACTTATTTTGCTGTGATGTTTCACAATTGAAAAGCCTTTTTTTTTTTTAAGGCGTAGTACTAATTCTTAAGACAGTGTTTATCTAATTGTCCAGTCCCAGGATTCATTGGAATCAGAGACATTTTCTTAGGGGGTCTATAAGAATTTCCTTTAAAAGGCATCCGTAGGCTGCGTGCAGTGGCTCACGCCTGTAATCCCAGCACTTTGGGAGTCCAAGGTGGGCGGATCACCTGAGGTCAGGAGTTTGAGACCAGCCTGGCCAAGGTGGTGAAACCCTGTACTAAAAGTGTAAAAATTAGCTGGACGTGGTGGCGGGTGCCTGTAATCCCAGCTACTCAGGAAGCTGAGTCAGAAGAATCGCTTGAACTTGGGAGGCAGAGGTTGCAGTGAGCTGAGATTGCACCACTGCACTCCAGCCTGGGAGACAGAGCAAGGCTCTATCTCAAAAAAAAAAAAAAAAAAAAGATAAAATCTCAAGTTTAAAAAATTATTTACACTTGCCAGAATAGAAATGTTTTACTTATTTTTTTTTTTACACCTAATAGTATTAGCATGAAGACAGAGTTGATAGTAGGGAACATCACAATTTTAGGTAACTGAAGTATGTATCCTGAGCTAATTGGCTATATAGCTTCAAATTTTTGGGTTTGCATTTATATAACATTGGATATTGTACCATTAACTCTAATTCAGAAGTTTTTCTCAATTTATGTATAGCAGTGTTATTTCTTATTTCAAGAAATTGGTGTTCAGTTTTCTTGTAGAACATTTTAGAAATCATTAGCTCCAAGGTTATTGTATATATGATTCCCATGGGGGAAATGACATCTCAGCTCAAGGGACTATTTCCATGTTCCTTTTCCTGGGTTTTGCTACTAAAGTCAAGGCATATTTTTCAGGCAGCCATCCCTTTAAATTTTATTTATTCATTTGTCTGCTGGGTTATTTATTTATTTTAACATCTTGCCCTTTGTCTTAGTTCATTTTGTGCTGCTGTAACAGGATATCTGAGACTAGATAATTTATAAAGAACAGAAATTTATTTCTCACACTTCTTGAGGCTGGGAAGTCCAAGATCAAGGTATTGACGTCTGGTGAGGCCTTCTTGGTGTGTCCTCACATGGGAGAAGATGGGAGGGCAAGAGAGGATGAATGTGGTTTCCTCACATGGCAGAAGAGCAGGAGAGAGCAAACCCATTGCAATATGCTCTCTTTATGATGGCATTAATGCATCATGAGGGCGGAACTATTGTGAGCTAAATGCTTCCCATTAGGCACTATCTTCTAAGACTGTTGCATTGAGGATTAAGCTTCCAACACATGAATTTGGAGGGGACAAAAACATTTCAACCGTAGCACCATTTGTCTCCTTTGCTGCTATTGGAGGGAGAGTCCCAATTTCTCATTAGTTTATGCAGCTTGCTGCTTAGTAATGACTTATCAATGACAGTTGAAACTTGTAGTTGTATTTGATGAAGGAAATATGCACATTTCTTTATAGCACTTAGTTTTTTGCTTTGTTTTTCTACTTTATTAACATGCAGGCAAAGTGGGAGTGTTTATTTTTAAAGAAGCTTTGAGCATTAGACATGTTTTAAATCTATTTCTTCGTTTAATATCAGTTGTCTTCTAAGAAGTGTTTCTCATCAAAATGGAAACAATAAGGCTTAGATATTTAAGATAAAATGTAAGTTTTAAGCTAGTTATTGTAATGATTTACTTAGTAACTTTTACTTAGTAACTTATGTGTAACTTATGTGCCTTCCAGTACTTGAGAGTTCCTAATTTTTTTTGAAACCTTTGGCTGCAGTTCAGATAGCTGTCCTTGTTTCTTAGCATGGCAGTGCTCTTGGGTTTGGTATCATCCATTCTGTCATCTTTGTTCATAATTGTTTTTACTCATTTTAAAAATATGTTTCCAGAATTATAGTTAATTGCTGGAAACGTTGATTTTTCTTGAGTGACAAACCAATTAAGTGTGTATGACACCAGGCAACAAAGACACTTAAGATTCTGCGCTTTTCCTGTCTCTGAAAAAAATCCATTATTCATCATCTTATTGTTTTTAAATACTGAGGTAAAATTTTCAGTACAATAGGAAAATTGCCTTGGAAATGGAATAAATTGCTTGCCAGTTCAAAGGCTCCATTTCTGGAGTTGAGGTTACAAAACATGATGTTGCTTATATTCCTTATCTTTCAGAACTCGTTGTGCTGCGTTTCCCGCATTAAACTTGATAGGATTGTGACTTTTACTAAAATAAGACATAACTGTTGAATAACTTAATGAAAAAGATCAAAAGTCTCATTTAGGGTATTATATTACAATATATTTATGTGGTGGTTTGAATTTATTCACATTTTGTATAAATACTCATTTTCTAGTTGACTGTTTTAAAAGAAGTGATCTCATACAGAGAAGAAAAAAATGACATTTTAAGGGAAAATATTATTAATGTTTTAGTCTGTTACTTCATAGATCATGTAATTTTTTGCCTAAATTATAATGAAACTTGTATGTTGTGAGGTTGTTCTGTGATGCTGTCGATAGTGGTTGGAGTTGTGTATAAAAGATTATCTGGAGACACTAAAGCAAGTAACATTTTGATTGGTAGAGTAGGGTGTTTAAAAGAGGGGTGAAAAGAAGTGACTGCCATTTCTCCTAACACATTTACTTTCAACAAAGGTCTTCTTTGTGATTATTTTTAGTGACAATATTCTATTCCATGGTATATTTCACCAATTATTTATTCATGGATACTATGCTTTTTGCCATGTTTCCTTTGGTCTTTTTCAACATCACAGCACAGTGATGGTTATCTTTGTAGAGAAATCTTGAACACATTTTAAATTTCCGTGGGATAATGAGAAACCATGGTTAAAGTTTATTTACGTTACAGAAATAAAAAGCTTTCAATGCATCGTCACAAATTGTTCTCCACTCTTACCAGCGATTAAGAGTGCCTGTTTATCCAAGACCGTTGGCCATATTGAATGTTAAGAATTCTTTTTTACATTTGATAAGCAAGACATGGTCTCTTCTTGTTTGAATTTGCATATTTTAAAAGTCCTTTGTGATGGCATAAGAATGATGCAGTGGACTTTGGCGATGCAGGGGGAAAGGTTGGGAAGGGAGTGAGGGATAAAAGACTACAAATTGGGTTCATTGTATACTGCTCGGGAGATGGGTGCAGCACAGTCTCACAAATTACCACTAAAGAACTTATGTAACTAAATACCACCTGTTCCCCAAAAACCTATGGAAATGAAAAATTATTAAAAAAAAGTCCTTTGTGAAAACAAAAATTATTCCAGGTTTAAAACCTTCCAATAGCCTTCCATTACACTTAAAATTAAACCCCTTCCTGTTGCTTGGCCTGCACTGTGTCCCTTGTTCCTGCCCATCTCTTCAGCTGCTTCTGGTGTCCTGCTCCCCTTGGCCCACTGTGCACGTGCCCAGCTGGCTTTGTGTTGTGGCTCTCTTCAAGGTCTCTGTGCTAGTTGGCCAGTCTTTTTAGGCCTTCAGAGATTGGTTGCTTTTCCTCCAGATGTCACTACTTGGGGCCTAGCATCTTGGGTGATCTAAGGAAGACCTCTCCCTCACTTCCAGTCTTATGAAAAAAAATTATTGTTAATTATTCGTTATTATAGATACATAATGTTTATAGACATTTATGCGATACATATGATGTTTTGATACATGCATACAATGTGTAATGATGGAATCGGGTAATTGGGATATCCGTCACCTCCAGCATTTATCATTTCTTTGTGTTAGGAACTTTGCAATTTTATTCTTTTAGTTATTTGAAATACACAATAAGTTACTCTTAATTATAGTTGCCTTGTTGTGCTACTGAACACTGGATCTTATTCTTTGTATCTAACTGTATTTTTATACCCATTACCCATCCATTCTTTGTCCCCCACTCTCCACTACCCTTCCCAGCCTCTGATAAGCATCATTCTACTCTCTGTCTCCATAAGTCCAACTCTTTTTTAAGCTCCCACATGTGAGTGAGAACATGTGATATTTATCTTTCTGTACTTGGCTTATTTTACTTAAAATAATGTCCTTTTGTTCCATTGATGTTGATGTAAATGACTGGATCTTATTCTTTTTTACTGTTGAATGGTACTCCATTGTGTATATGTACCACATTTTCTTTATCCATTCATCTGTTGATGGACACTTAGATTGCTTCCAAATTTTAACTGTTGTAAACAGTGCTGCAACAAACATAGGAATGCAGGTATCTCTTTGATAACATCGATTTCCTTTATTTTTGGTATATACCAAGCAGTGGGATTGTTGGATCATATAGTAGCTCAATTTTTAGTTTTTTAGGAACTTTCAAACTGTTCTCCACAGTGATTGTACTAATTTACATTCCCACCAACAGTGTACAAGGGTTCCCTTTTGTCTACATCCTTGCCAGCATTTGTTACTGGTTGTCCTTTGGGTATAAGCCATTTTAACTTGGGTGAGATGATCTCTGTTTGTAGTTGTGATTTGCATTTCTCTGATGATCAGCGATGTCGAACACCTTTTCATATGCGTGTTTGTGATTTGTATGTCTTCTTTTGAGAAATGTCTATTCGGATCTTTTGCCCATTTTTTATTAGATTATTAGAATTTTCCATATAGAGTTGTTTGAGCTCCTTATAAATTCTGATTATTAATCCCTTGTCAAAGGGGTAGTTGGCAAATAGGCAAATATTTTCCCCCATTCTGTGGGTTGTCTCTTCACTTTGTTGATTGTATCATTTGTTCTGCAGAAACTTTTTAACTTGATGCTATCTCGTTTGTCCATGTTTGCTTTAGTTGCCTGTGCTTGAGGGGTATTGCCGAAGAAGTCTTTGTCCAGACCATTGTCCTGGAGATTTCCCCCAATATTTTCTTGTAATAGTTTCATAGTTTGAGGTCTTAGATTTAAGCTTTTAATGTGTTTTAATTTGATTTTTGTAGACAGTGAGAGATAGGAGTCTATTTTCATTCTTCTGCATATGGATATCCAGTTTTCCCAGCACCATTTATTGAAAAGACTGTCTTTTCCCCAGTATATGTTCTTGGCACCTTTGTCAAAAACAAGTTCACCATAGATGTGTGGATTTGTTTCTGGGTTCTCTATTCTGGTCCATTGGTCTATGTGTCTGTTTTTATGCCAGTAACTTGCTGTTTTGGTTACTATAGCTCTGCAGTATAATTTGAAGTTAGGTAATGTGATTCCTCCAGTTTTGTTCTTTTTGCTTAGGATAGCTGTAACTATTCTGGGTCTTTTGTAGTTTCATATAAATTTTCAGATTGTTTTTTCTATTTCTGTGAAGAATGTCATTGGTATTTCGATAGGGATTGCATTGAATCTGTAGATTGCTTTGGGTAGTATGGACATTTTAACAATATTGATTTTTCCAATCCATGTACATGGAATATTTTTTCATTTTTTGGTATCCTTCAATTGCCTTCATCAGTGTTTTATAGTTTTCATCATAGAGATCTTTCACTTCTTCGGTGAAGTTAATTCCTAGGTATTTAATTTTATGTGTGGCTATTGTAAATGGGATTACTTTTAAAATTTCTTTTTCACAGTGTTTACTGTTGGCATATAGAAATGCTACTTATTTTTGTATGTTGATTTTGTATCCTGCAACTACTGAATTGATCAGTTCTAATAGTTTTCTTGTGAAATCTTTAGGTTTTTGCAAATATACGTTCGTATCATCAGCAAACAAAGATAATTTGATTATTTCCTTTCCAATTTGGATTCCCCCTATATGTTTCTCTTGTCCGATAGCTCTAGCTAGGACTTCCAGTACTATGTCGAGTAACAGTGGTGACAGTGGGCTGAGAGTTTTGAAGTCTTCAGTTGCTATTGTGGATTTGTCTATTTTTCTTTCCACTTGTATTGGTTTTGCTGTATGTGTTTTGAAGCTCTGGTGGTAGGTGCATACATATTTAGGACTTTTAGATCTTAGTGGTGATTTGATCCTTTTATTATTGCGTTATGTCCCTCTATGCTAGGCAGTTCTTTTTTTGATGTCTTTGTTTTATATTAATATAGCTACTTGGCTTTCTTTTGACTAGTGTTTGCATTATATATAGTCATGTGTTGTTGAAGGATGGGGTGTGATGTTCTGAGAAATGTTAAATACCATTAATACTTAAAATACTTCCTCTAGATACTGAGTTTTGCACTCCAGAAATGTGTTTGGCAATTTCATTGTTGTGCAGCCATCCTAGAGTGTACTCAAACAGACCAAGATGATAGTGACTACTGCACATCTAGCCTATATGGTATAGCCTATTGCTCCTAGGCTACAAACTTGTGCAGCATGTTACTGTACTGAATGCAGCAGGCAGATGTGACACAATTGTGTATCTGTGTATCTAAGCATACTGAACATAGTAAAATACAGTATAAAACATAAAAAATCATACAGGACACAAATTTACAGTGTGTAAATTAATCTTTAGCTTACTGGAACTTTTTTACTTTGTAATTTTTTTAATTTTTAAAAACTTATTGACTTTTTTGTAATAACGCTTAGTTTAAAACATGAAGATATTGTTGCACAAAAATATTTTCTTTTTTTATATTCTAATTCTATATGCTTTTTTCTTTTTTAAAAAAATTTATTTTTACTTAAACTTTTTTTTTTTTTTTTTTTGGTTAAAAACGGAAACAAAAACACACATATTAGTCTAGGCCTATACAGGGTCAGGATCATCAATATCACTATCTTCCACCTCCGCATTATGTCACTGGGAAGGCAGTAACACACGGAGCTGTCATCTCCTGTGTTAACAGTGTCTTCTGCTGGGATACCTCCTGAAGGACCTGTCTGAGGCTGTTTTACAGTTAGCTTTTTAAAAAATAAATAGAAAATGTCTGATCTAAAATAATAATGATACAGTATAGTAAATACATAAACCAATAGCATAGTCATTAGTTATGATTGTCAGGTATTAGGTACTGTACATAAGTGTATATGCTCGACTTTTATATGAATGACTGGTAGCACAATAGATTTGATTTACACCAGCATCACCACAAAGATGTGAGTAATGCATTATACTGTGAACGTTATTATGGCTGTGATGTCACTAGGTGTTAGGAATTTTTCAGCTTCCTTATTATGGGACCACTGTTTTATATGCAATCCATTGTTGACTGGTATGTCATTATGCAGCGATTAACTGTTTATTTTTCCATTTTTTTTACTTTTAATCTTTTAAAGTAAGGTTGACAGAGTCTCTTAGTTTTCTTTCATCTGAGAACATCTTTGTTTTGCCTTCATTCCTGAAGGACATTGTTGCTGGATGTAGACTTCTGCTTTCACAGTTCTTTTCTTTTAGCACTTCAAACATCAAGTTCCACTGTGCTTTGGCCTCCGTTTTTCTCCATGAGAAATCTACAGGCATTTGAATCGATGTTCCTCTATATGTAATGAGTTGTGTTTCTCTGGCTGCTTTCAAGATTTTTTCCTTCATCTTTGCTTCTAGTAGTTTGATTATGATGTATCTTTATGTAGGTATCTTTGACTTCATCCTGTTTTAAGTTTGCTTTTTTAATTAGTAAATTACTTTCAGCAAATTTGGGAAGCTTTTGTCCATTTTTTTCTTCACATATTTTTCTGCCTCAATCTTTTCTGGTATTCTAATAATGACATGCATGTTAGACCTTTTCATATATAAATATAGAGAAATAGTGTGTATGCATGGGTGCGTGTGCACACACCCCCTCCCCCATCTGCTTAGAATTTCTGTCTACCCTAGGATGCTTGTAGAGTATTTTTAAAAAAAGAAAAAAAGAACTTCTGTTTTTCTATTCACTTCAAGACTGTTCAACTTTATCTCATGGAGCGTGGATATAATGGCTGTTTTAAAATTCCAATATGTTTTTCATACTGCAATTAGCATTTGTTGGTTGTTCTTTCTCTTGACTATTGGCCATATTTCCCTGTTACTTTGTATGTTGAGTTAAGTTTGGCTTGTATCCTGGACATTTTGAATATTGTGTTGTGGGATTCTGGGTCTCATAATCCTTTGAAGAATGTTTTAACAGTGCATTGACCTGGGTAGGTTTAGACCCCCAGTTCTGTTTCACCACCAGTGGGTGGTGGTTGCAATGTCAGTTCAGTTGCAAAGCCTTGGCTGTGCCATCTGCTCCCCGCCAGTGCTTGTCAGGGCCTGTTGTGTAGGACCTGAGTAATTCCCAGAGCCTGTCCTGTGCTTATTTGGGTTTGGGCACATTTTTGCAGCTCGGGGGTGAGCCTGGGACTTCTGTTGATTCATATACAGAATTAGGGCATCCCTCGTCCAGCTTTCTCCACTGTCTGGTTTATCCCATGTCTCCAATTTCCAGGGTTGTTTTTTCTCAGCTTTATGCTTTCTGAAAGTCAGGGTTTTCTCTCAGAGTTTTAGCTGTTCGTGTTGTTGTGAAGGTCCACCTGACTGGGACAGTTCTCAGGGAAAAGTTGTGTGAAAAGAGAGAACTACCAGGGACGTCCACATCCTGTTTGGACTCCAGGAGCCCATCTTCCTGTTTCCCTTGCTCTCATAGAAGGTGACTACAGTGTAGCCCTAATAGGGCTAGGAGAAACAAAAAGGAAAAAAGAAAAAAACGTTCTGCTTTGCAAGAGCCCCCTTTGCTGGGGCTGTGGCTAGAAAGGGTGGGTTTCTTCTGGAGTTTGCATTCTGCATATTGTGGGCAATGCAGATAGAGTCTTCACTTTGACAAGAACTCTGCATTGGATTTCAAGAGCCTGTTTTAGATACCTGGAGCTAAGCTGCCCTTGTCTTGAAACTGTGTGTGTCAGCCCCATCAACTGGAGGTCTGAAAGGAGGAAGAATTACTAGGAATGAAAATATGACAGGTTGTGATCAGAAATATGATTCCATCGTACACGACATGTACACTCGGCCACTGCATACGCGTACCTTCATATCACCCATGCCTTTTGGCCTCTGGGTACTTAAAACGTGCTGTTTCTCTTTGAGTTTTCTAGGCAGTGAGGACTGAATGACTGGGTTCCTGAGACTCCCTGTATTCTCTTGAAAAAAGAAAAGTCTTCCACAATACTGACCTATCTCTAAATTGCACTTTAGCAGAATGTGCTATAATTGCCTGCTTATGTGTTTGATTCCTATTTTTTGTTTCTGAAGAGCTCTTAATTTCCACTTATTGCTCCTTTCCTTCCCCTCACCAACAAGCCTTTCAAGAGGTGCATCCTTCTTCCCATGTGGACTTCTGCCCCCAACATTGATGCCTTACTAACCAAGCTTGCTGCCTTGGCTCTATGCACCCTCCTGTAGGTCCCCCAGTAACCAGTGCTGTGATCACAGACCTATTGCCCTTAGACTCTTTCTGGGTATAATTTTCATCCATGGTCTGCCGTTGCTAGGGCCCCCAGTCCTGTTTTCCCCCTAAGCTGCCTGGCTGTGATCCAGACTGGACTCTGGACCTGGCTTTGTTGGTTTGGAATACTTACTTTTCTCCTTATGTGTCAATTAAGGATGGTACTATCTCTGTCCCTTATTTATGTTTTAATAGTGGGTTTTGGTTAGTTTTAGCTGTCTTCTATATGGAATTTAGAGAATGTTAAAAAAGATTTCAATATAAATGACTGCCTTTATCCCAGAGGAACCCACGAGTCTGCTTTCTCAGTTTTTACATTGAGACAATGCCTCCACAAATACTTGATGCAAAATTCAGTAAGACAGCACTTGTTGAATCACCATTATAGTTTCTGACAAATTGTTCTCAAAAAGGTAAGTTTTTATTTTTTAAAGATAAATTACATTTGTGATTGAGGAAGGATAAAAGGAACAGTTTTGATGATAGGCTGCCTGTTTCTTGAAATCAAGAGGATTGTTGAGCTTTAAAAGGTCTGCTGGTTGTTGAGATTTTTTCATTGAATAGCGCATTTTAGTGAAGAGAATAACAGAATAAATGGGACATAGCATCATTCCCCAAAGATATAAACTGTCAGCAAACCAAGGGATGATGTTGATACCTTTCAGATACAGACAGCTACATACTGTCGAAAGTCACTTCTAGAATGTTGGTTGATGACTTAAAGTTGTGTAACATAGAGTGTTTAGATGTTGCTTGGAGTGAACATTCTTTGCTATAGTCATGTTTCAGAAGATTGGTTTTTTCTGACTGGATTAAGTGCAGTGAGGAGCTGTTGAGCAGCATTGGTTGTGCTGTCAGGCTGCCCATCCGCACCACAGATGCCTCCAGGATTATGCTCACAGCACGGTTAACAGAGACTTCTTCAGCTAGCACAGGTCTCGTTGGGCAGCTTTTTTACCTTAGCTAACTTATTCCTTTGCAAAAGAAAGCAGCCTCTGCAGTCTTATTTATAATGCTTTCCCTCAGCTGAAGACAGCCTAATTTGAGGAAATATTGTCCCTAAATGAAACACACTGTAAAGAAGACTGCTTGGCCTATCTCAGCACTCCATTTTTACCCTAACTAGGTACCAGCTGGAGGATGAGTCTGCGCATTTGGATGAAATGCCACTAATGATGTCTGAAGAAGGCTTTGAGAATGAGGAAAGTGATTACCACACCTTACCACGAGCCAGGATAATGCAAAGGAAAAGAGGACTGGAGTGGTTTGTCTGTGATGGCTGGAAGTTCCTCTGTACCAGGTTTGTTATCCATTGCTACCTAATTTCCTTATATGCTAAGGTTACTTATAAGGTTAGCTTCTAATATACTTATTAGCTATATTAATATAAAAACTCAAGGAGATATTCCTTAAATGATATCATGGAGATTATCAGTACATTAATCAAAGCCAAACAATGCTAATATGAAAGGAAAGGAAAGCCAAATTATTATCTTACGAGAAGTTTTAATGGTTAAAAGCTGGAGGCCGGGTGTGGTGGCTCATGCCTGTAATCCTAGCACTTCGGGAGGCTAAGGCGGGCAGATCACTTTGAGCTCAGGAGTTTGAGACCAGCCTGGACAACATGGTGAAACCCCATTTCTACTAAAAATACAAAAATTAGCTGGGCGAGATTGTGAGCTCCTGTAATCCCAGCTACTAGGGAGGCTGAGGCAGGAGAATCACTTGAACCTGGGAGGTGGAGGTTACAGTGAGCCGAGATCGAGCCACTGCACTCCATCCTGGGCAATGGAGTAAGACTCTGTCTCAAAAAAAAAAAAAAAAGCTAGAGAAAATTAGTGACTTTATAGCTAATGCATGATAGAATTAATAATGGTTGCTCTATCAACATTTATAAATGGTTTTTCTTTTTCTTCCCAAAAGATAGATATGGGCCTATACTCCTCTGGTATATCTTTTACTCAGATTCACCTATATTTTTCCCCACATTTTGCTACATTTATTTTATTATTATTTTTATATCATTATTTTTCTGAGTCATTTCAGACTAGGTTGATTACTTCATTCCTCTTCTTAATTCTTCAGTGTGTATTTTCTAAGAAATAGGTATTTTCTTTTTTTTTAATTTTTTTAATTTTTTATTTTTTTATTTTTTATTTGTTCTTTCCCTCCCCCCTCCCCCCTCCCCACCACAGTCCCCAGAGTGTGATATTCCCCTTCCTGTGTCCATGTGATCTCATTGTTCAATTCCCACCTATGAGTGAGAATATGCGGTATTTGGTTTTTTTGTTCTTGCGATAGTTTACTGAGAATGATGGTTTCGAATTTCATCCATGTCCCTACAAAGGACATGAACTCATCATTTTTTATGGCTGCATAGTATTCCATGGTGTATATGTGCCACGTTTTCTTAATCCAGTCTATCATTGTTGGACATTTGGGTTGGTTCCAAGTCTTTGCTATTGTGAATAGTGCCGCAATAAACATACGTGTGCATGTGTCTTTATAGCAGCATGATTTATAGTCATTTGGGTATATACCCAGTAATGGGATGGCTGGGTCAAATGGTATTTCTAGTTCTAGATCCCTGAGGAATCGCCACACTGACTTCCACAATGGTTGAACTAGTTTACAGTCCCACCAACAAGGCTACAGTAACCAAAACAGCATGGTACTTGTACCAAAACAGAGATATAGATCAATGGAACAGAACAGAGCCCTCAGAAATAACGCCACATACCTACAACTATCTGATCTTTGACAAACCTGAGAAAAACAAGCAATGGGGAAAGGATTCCCTATTTAATAAATGGTGCTGGGAAAACTGGCTAGCCATATGTAGAAAGCTGAAACTGGATCCCTTCCTTATACAAAAATCAATTCAAGATGGATTAAAGATTTAAACGTTAGACCTAAAACCATAAAAACCCTAGAAGAAAACCTAGGCATTACCATTCAGGACATAGGCGTGGGCAAGGACTTCATGTCCAAAACACCAAAAGCAATGGCAACAAAAGCCAAAATTGACAAATGGGATCTAATTAAACTAAAGAGCTTCTGCACAGCAAAAGAAACTACCATCAGAGTGAACAGGCAACCTACAACATTGGAGAAAATTTTCGCAACCTACTCATCTGACAAAGGGCTAATATCCAGAATCTACAATGAACTCAAACAAATTTACAAGAAGAAAACAAACAACCCCATCAAAAAGTGGGCGAAGGACATGAACAGACACTTCTCAAAAGAAGACATTTATGCAGCCAAAAAACACATGAAGAAATAGGTATTTTCTTATATAACCTTAGTACAGTTATCAAATTCAGGAAATTTAACATTGATACAATGCTTTGTATCTACTTTAAGTTTATATTTCAATGTTGTCTATCATCCCAGTAATGTCCTTTGTAGCCTTATTTTCTCTAGTACTGGATATGGTCACATGTCACATTTAGGTGGCATGCTTTTTTAGTGTCTTTTAATCTGGAGTAGTAGTTCAGTGTTTATCTTTCATTCCATTGACATTTTTGAAGAATGAACATCAGTTATTATACAGAATGTTTCACATTCTGTTTTGTTTGTGTTTCCTCGAAGTTAAACTCAGCTTAAGCACCCTCTGTGGAATACTGTGTAAGTGATGCTATGGCCTTCTCAGGGTGTTTGATTCCTGTTTGATTGATTTCTGGTCTTCCCTTTATTTTCTCTCTTATTTTGTTTGACTTTAACTCGCTTTTCTTTTTCTAGCTTCATAAGATGAATGCTCAGGTCTCCAATATTCTTCCTTTTTCCTTTCTAAAAATAGGTGCATTTAAGTTTTGACAGGTATTATCATTAAGTTCAAAATCTATTTCTTTTTTCTTTTCTTTTCTTTTTTCTTTCTTTTCTTTTCTTGAGACGGAGTCTTGCTTTGTTGCCAGGCTGGAGTGCAGTGGTGTGATGTCAGCTCACCTCAACCTCCGCCTTCTGGGTTCAAGCGATTCTCCTTCCTCAGCCTCCTGAGTAGCTGGGACTACAGATGTGCACCAGCATCCCCGGCTAATTTTTGTATTTTTAGTAGAGATGGGGTTTTGCCAAGTTGGCAAGCTGGTCTCAAACTCCTGACCTCAAGTGATCTGCCTGCCTTGGCTTCCCTTAGTGTTGGAATTACAGGCGTGAGCCACCGTCCCTGGGCCCAAATATTTTCTAATTTCCATTGTCATTTCTAATCTAAATCCATGTTTGATTTATAACTATGTTGCTTGATTTCCAAAGTTAGAGATTTTTCCTAGTTAACTTTTTATAATTATTATCATTTTAAATAGAGACCAGGTCTTGCTATGTTGCCCAGGCTGGTCTTGAACTCCTGAGCTTAAGTGATCCACCTCAGCCTCCCAAAGTGCTGGGATTACAGGCATGAGTCACCATGCCCAACCTGTTTTTTGCAGTTATTTTTTTGTAATTGATTTGTATCTGAATTTCATGAGGCCATTGAATATACTTATAATTTTAAAAAATGGGCCAGGTGCAGTGGCTCACGCCTGTAATCCCAGCACTTTGGGAGGCTGAGGCAGGTGGATCACGAGGTCAAGAGATTGAGACCATCCTGGCCAACACAGTGAAACCCTGTCTCTACTAAAAGTACAAAAATTAGCTGGGCATGGTGGTGTGCACCTGTAGCCCCAGCTATGCGGGAGGCTGAGGCACAGGAGAATCACTTGAACCCAGGAGGCGGCGGTTGCAGTGAGCCGAGATCATGCCACTGCACTCCAGCCTGGCAACAGAGTGAGACTCTGTCTCAAAAAATAAAATAAAAATTTCAGTGTTTGTAATGTGTTGAGACTCGCTTTATGGTTCATCATATAGACAACTTGTAGCAAATTTTCTTTGTGTATTTGAAAATAATTTGTATTTTTCAGTTGTTAAGTGCACTGCTCTGTATGTCAGTGAAGTCATAGTTGTTGGTTGTCTAGTTCAAATCTGTGTTGCTGTTCATGGTTTGCTTGTTTGTCAGTTACTGAGAGACTTCATGAGTTTCTAAACATCATTGTGGATGTGTCTTTCTTTTGGTTAATTTTGGAGTGTGTTATTAGATGATGGACATTTAGGATTATTAACCTTTTCAGTTGACCTTTTATTGTCTTTAATTGTTCCTCTTTTATCTTTAAATATACTTTGTGAAGACTTGTCTAATTTCAATAAAACTATACCAGCTTTTTTGATTAATGTTTGCATGGTATATATTGTCATTCTTTTACTTTTTAAAAAAATTTTTAAAAATTTTGAATTTGGAAATAATTAGCTACAGGAATTGCAAAAATAGTATAGAGGGGTCCTGTATTAGTTCATTTTCACACTGCTAATAAAGACATACCCGAGACTGGGCAATTTACAAAAGAAAGAGGTTCAGTTAGACTCACAGTAGTTCCACATGGCTGGGGAGGCCTCACAATTATGGCAGAAGGCAAGGAGGAACAAGTCACATCTTATGTGGGTGGCAGCAGGCAAAGAGAGCTTGTGCAGAAAAACTCCTGTTTTTAAAATCATCAGATCTCGTGAGACTCATTCACTATCAGGAGAACAGCCCAGGAAAGTCCCACCCCCATAACTCAATCACCTCCCACAACAGGTGGGAATTGTGGGAGTTAAATGCAAGATGAGATTTGGGTGGGGACACAGCCAAACCATATCAGGTTTCTTGTATTTTTGACCCAGTTTACCCCAGTTGTTACATCTTATGTAACTATAATATGAAACCAGGACACTTACCTTGGCACAGTGTGTGTGTGCAGTTCTCGGTGATTTCATCAGGTGTTGATTTTGTAATCACCACTGCAGCCAAGATGCAGAACCATTCCAACCCCACAGGGAGCTTCCTGTGCCACAGCCACTCCTGTCCCTCTGAGCCCTGGCCTTGGAAACCACTCATCAGTTCTGCATCTCGTTTTAATATCAAGAATGTTACATAACTGAAATTACTCAATATGTGATACTTAAAAATTGTTCTATTTTTTTTCCATATTGTAGTGATATCTGTATTATGTGATTTGTTTTTTGAGGTTGGCCTATTTCATTCAACATAATGCTGTGAGAGCCATCCAAGCTGTTGTGTAGGTTGTGTCAAGTTTTTGGATATTAGAAATAAGGCTGCCATGAACAATTGTGTACATTTGTGTGTGTGGATGTGTGTGGACAGAAGTTTTCATTTCTCTGGAATAAATGTCCAGAAACTTCATTGCTGGGTTGTATGGTAAGTGTATATTTAGCTTTTTAAGAAACTGCCAAAATATTTCCCAGAGTTGCTGTACCATTTTACATTTGCACTAGCAGTGTTTGAGAGATCCAGTTTATTGTCACTGTTGTTGATTGTAGCTGTTCTAGTAGATATGGAGTGATGGTTCATTGTGTTTTTCATTCCCATTTTCTTAATGCTAGGGAGGTTGGACATCTTTTTGCCATTTGTGTACTCTCATAAGTAAATGTTTTTCCATCTTTAATTTCTACTTGTGTTGTTTATTATTTTTTTCTTGTTGAATTTGGAGAGTTCTTTACATATTCTAACTATGGGTCCTCTGTCAGACATGTAGTTGGACATATTTTCTTTCTTTCCTTTTTATTTTATTTTTTTTCTTTTTTTTGAGACGGAGTCTCGCTCTGTCACCCAGGCTGGAGTGCAGTGGCTCGATCTTGGCTCACTGCAACTTCCGCCTCCTGGGTCCAAGCCATTCTCCTGCCTCAGCCTTTCGAGTAGCTGGGACTACAGGTGCCCACCATCATGCCCGGCTAAGTTTTTTTTGTGTATTTTGGTAGAGACAAAGTTTCACCATGTTGCCAGTCTGTATCTTGTCTTTCCATCCGTTGAGATTCAGAGAGACTTCACTGGATCCAGTGTTTTTAATTTTGGTGAGGTCTGAATTATTGCTTTTGTTACTTTTGTGAATTGTGCTTTTGGTGTCGCATCTAAGAATTTCACAGAACTCTTTGTTGAAGATGTTCTTGCATGCATTTTATAGCTTTACATTTGAATATTTAAAAAAATTTTTTTGGTGAGGTGAGAGGTTTAGGTTGAAGTTCATTTTTTAGCCAGTGCGTATCCAAATATTCTAATACCACTTGATTGTACATGAGCGGAGCTGTCTGTGGCCTTGGTTCTGTTCTCTTCTCCATCTCATCAGTGTGTCAGTTCCTGCCAGTACCACACAGTGTGCTGTACTGTGGCTTTATAGAAAATCTTAACATGGGTAGGCTAATTCTTCTTACTTTTTTCAGAAATCTTTAAGTTATTCTAGTTCCTTTGCCTTCACTTAGAAATTTTAGAATAATCTTGTTCATATCTACAAAATCCTTACTAGGATTTTGATAGGACTTGTGTTGAACCTATATATTTTATTAGTTTGGGGGGGATTGACATGTTTCCTATGTTGAGTCTTCTAGATCATGAACATGGTACCTTTTGCTCCGTTTTATTTGAAGATAATTTGATCTCTTTCACTAGCGTTTTGTAGTTTTCAGCATGCAAACATTAGATTTACTCCTAAGTGTTTAACTTTTTGGAGTGATCGTAAATGGTTTGGTATTTTAAATTTTGGATTCCACATTTTCTTTGCTAGTGTGTAGAAATACAGTTGATTTTGTATGTTAGATCCTTTATCCTATAACCTTGCTGAACTCACTGGTGCTAAGAGTGGTTTTGTAGATTCCTTGTAATCTATAAAGACAGTCATGCCATCTGCAGATAGCAGTGGTATTACTTCTTCCGTTATGGTCTGTGTGCCTTGCCTTGTGGAGCTGGCTGGAACGTACAGCATTGTGCAGTAGCGAGAAGGGTCACCGTCACCTTGTTCTTTCCCAGGTGGGAGCTGACAGTATTGCAGCATTAAGCAGATATGGACTGTGGGTTTTTTAAAGATATTACTTAACTAAACCAAATAACTATTTGTAGTTTTTTTTTTTTTTTTTTAAGAAATCTATCTTGTATTAAGAAACAAAACAAAGCATTGGCAGGAGAAGTGGTCTAATACATAGTTTTGTCAGACCCAGAAACAGGCTCTGGAGATGTAAGTTGCAGAGTCCTTATCATTGTGGTGATCGTGGAAGCCACACAGAAGGATGATGTTCTTGAAAAGGTTGGGAGACATGTGGTATACCTCTGTGAAGAATAAGGAGGTGACACCTTTGGAAAGAGGATGTATTGGAAAGGAAGAATAGTATCCATCCTCTTTGGCATGAGGAAAACTAGGGGAGGAAGAATGAAATAGTGGTGGTGACTGTGACTTCTATTCTCAATTGGGAACATCAGGTCAATTAAGTAAGGATATGATTAGGATTCAGACGAGGGCTGAAAAAAATGGGAAAATTTGGTCACGCTTTGGTAGAGATCATCAATAATCAGCAAAGGAAAATCAATAATAATTTGTATTGAACTTGGCATAAATTTATGGTGATGAGTCCATCAGGGAAGAGCCTGGGTGATGACAGAGCTGGCTGAGGAAGTGTGGTGTGGGGAGTTGTGGTGAGGTAGGCCCCCACGACGTTGTGAATTGATGAGTTTGTAGGGGCAGAGAGTTGACTGCTACCAATTTGCTTAGGCTAAGTGCTTTTCTTCTGTGGTCCATATGGTCCCTTCTTAAAGAAGATGGGTGTTCTCACCACTATTTACAGCCAAGAACCGGAAGAGTCCCTTTTGTGACAGCTAAGAGCCAGCCCAGAAATTGAACCAGGTCCTGACCTGGTGACCTAAAGCCCTTCCTTTTTGCACCCTGGACTGGGAACTTTGCTAGGATAAGGACGCGTGGCCCGAAGAAGACCCTGATTTGCTGTCTTTGAAGTGGAATAGCTCTGTGGCAAATGCCTGGTCTCCCCATCCTAGAGGTACATCACCATGGAGATCATTGGGTTGAGAAGGTTGAGGATCTGTGTCCAGGCCGTTAGGTGATTTTTTGTGTGTGTGGAAAATCACTGGGTATTGGGGGAGACTGCAGGATGTTCATAGAGGAAGTGGGAACTGGGCACTGATGGGTGCAGTGCTGGGGACATGGGCAATGCAGTGTTCATGGTGGGGACTCTTCACAGACCCTGTGTGTTGTGGAAGTGATACTTATTTGGCCATATAGTAACAGTAGCATACCAGCACTGTACTAGTCAGGTAGTTAACAAGAATTGCGGACTTTAGAATGTTCTCAGTCTCATCATAGTGTTAAATAGATTATTGAACTAATTTTTCTGGTTTTTCACATGATTTTGTTTTTACCAAGTGAAATGTAACAGCCAAATTTTAGGTTTTACTTATAATATACTCCTTTTCTTAAGGAAAATATTAAGAATATACTTGAAAATATAGATGGTAGCAGCAAAAACACCCGTGTTTGCGGGAGTTAAAACAGCTTAGTAAAATATCCTAGATTTGTCTAGGAAGTCTTTATCTTTTTTTTTTTCTTTTTGAGACAGGCACTCTCTTGCCCAGGCTGGAGTGCAGTGGTGCCATTATGGCCCACAGCAGCCTTGACCTCCAGGGCTCAAGCAATTCTTTCACCACAGCCTCCCAAGTAGCTGGGACTACAGTCATGTGCCACCACACCCGGCTAATTTTTTTATTTTTATAGAGGCAGGGTCTTTCTATGTTGTCTAGGCTGAAAGTCTTTATTTTAATAAATTGTGATCATGTGGAAAAAGCTAGCTGAGCCATCTTGGCAGGCTGTAATCAGTCTATATTGGCACTAAGGAATGTCCTACTGCCATATGGGATGAGAAGCGACCTGAGGTATTGTCATGCTGTTCTTATTCAGGAGATACCTGCTACACTGAGAAATCATTATGGAAATTAAACCCTGCACGTTAGAGAACCAAACTATACATTTAGCAAGTAGATTGGTCTTCTTTGTTTCTTATAAATTTTCAGTTGTGAATGTTTGCTACTTTTTAATTTCCCAAATACCAGGCATTATAAAATTCACTGTTACTAACATTATTTGGTGGCTCAAAGAATAGATTTATACAGTTAGTTTAACTGCAGGAGGAAAATGTTTGGAATCTTGCAATACAGGTAGATTGTAACTATTATTAATGAGTTGTAAATATTTAAGTGTATTTCTATTTGTAGATCCTGTAAGTAGTAAGGATCATTTTAAAATTATTATTAAAAGACTGAGCGAGTAGGCTTTAATTTCTTCATGGCTTGAGACCTGCTTTCTCATTTTTATTTGACAAAAATCCCAACTTGGACACTTTGAAAAAATTGTTCTGGTATCTGTCTTTTAAAACTTTGAATCTTTTTCATGTGAGTGAATACACCTTTCTGTAAGCGGTTGTGAGTCATATTGATAGTTCTCTGATCTGGGTTAATGTCTTTCTCACGAGATTTACATTTCACTTGTTATCAAAAATCACTTTGTCCTTAGGAAAGTGGAGCCAGTGAATGGCATTTCCATAAGAGGGGAGGGGAGGTATCAAATGCTGGGATTATTCCTAGTTCTAATGTCCTCAACTAATCGGCAGACGTTGAGGGCACAGAAGCATGGGCGAATGTGCTCATCTTTTAAGAAGACATCAGCATTGTGTTGCTTTTAAATTGGTGACCATAGGTATCTATTGGATGTAATAATTGTCTAATTTTTGGGGGGTGGAGAGAAAGGAGGCTAAATCTGTGGGAATTATTTAACTATGACTAGTTAACATTTTAGAAGATAGGCTCTTGATGTGTTAATATGCTTTGTTTAATGTTATGATTTGATTATAGAGGCATTTTGTGAAAAGCTACTAATCCTAAAACATTTTAAGAAAAAGTATAACTTGTACACTGCTGGATATAGTTTCAGCTGGACTTGATGATGTAAGGCAATTTAAATATAAGGGGGAAAGTGTTCCTGAATAATCAATAATTTAGAAACTATTTCGCGTACATAGAAATGCTATTGAGTAAAGCTCCTAGTTACTGTCTCCCAAGGACTTCTGTTTGCTTCTCCCTCGTTGTGCAATATTTGCCAGTATGCTTTCCTCACATTTTTGTCCTCAAAAATTCCCCATATTTCATTTTCCTTTTTAGCTCTACTACTCAGTGAGGCTTAAACATACTGTTTTCGTTACAGTGTTTATGTATCCTTGGGGCTCATGCCTTTTACTGCTAGCATGGAAGTCGCCTGACTCCCCTGTATAGTGGTTTCTGGCTGCATGATCCAGGGGCAGTTCTGGTGCACCTGCAGGCCTTTCACACCTCATGCCTGTTGCGAGTGTATTCATTCAGTTTTGTATAGTAGCACATGATATGATAGTGGCGTCTTAACCACTACTTTATTCTGTCTGTACACAATAAAATTATTAGTAGCACAGTGATACAAATAACATAATTTATATCATCAAAGTCTAGGCATCTTAGATTTACTGGTACAGGGTTATAGAGGAAAAAACTGAGTAAAATGTTGAATATTTATGTTTTTAGCAGTGGGCATTGAATTTAGAGTTTCTCGAGTGAGAGTGATGTCAGTGAGGCATTAGTTCATGTAGTTGCTGACAGTGATGGTGACGTTAAGGTTTCTGTTGTGCTGCTGTTTACAGTGCTCATGTTATGCAGACAGTGGTCTTGCGTTTATAGTGTCGTTTGTCTGGAAGAACATGTTAATATCAGATAATGCTATAAAGCTTATATTTTCTAAATTTTATATGTATCTTTTCAAATACTTAGATCTTAATATTTGATTTTTCATTTTGAATTTGTCTGACTTTTGTATACTAGAACATCAGAGTAGATAATTATGTGTCTTAGAGCAAAAATTCATATCTGAGTCCGTTCCTGAAGAATTTTGCTCTATTTGAAATGCTGAAGAGAAATGTGCTCATATGAAGCCTGTCTTGCACCTGTGGCCCAGCTTGCAATGTGCTCTGTTGATGCCACTGCTGTCCAGTAGAACTCACTGTAGTAATGGAATATTCTCCATCTGGGATGTCCATTATGGTAGCCACTAGCCAGGGTGCCCACTGAGCTCTTGAGATGTGGCTGATGTGACTGAGGAACTGGATGGTAAGTTTTATTTAATTTTAATTAATTGAAATGAAAGTTGCCACATGGGGCCGATGGATGCTCATTTGGACGGTCCAGGCCTGGGTACTCTTTGTGCCCAAGCTACTGTTGGGAGGAGGGTGACCTTTTGAGTGGGATGTTGGGAGGCAGGAGAGTGAAGACCGAGGCCTCGGGGGCTTCCTCCGTGGGCGGCATTGTGCTGAGCCTTCGTAGTGTGTAGACTCCACTCTTGTCAGTGCTTTGCAGATGAGTGAACAGAGACTCAGACCAAGGAGCTTCCATAGGGTCACTTGCTGGTGATTGTCTCCAAAACATGACTTTAAAATCCATGTTTTTCCATTGTGTTTTGTTGCCTGCTCACAAGTGATTCATTTTTTTCCCATCATCTCTTGAATGGCTGTGGTGCCATGCCTGGGCTGAGGAAAGGCGGTGCATGAACTTGAGCAAGAGCTGGCCTCTGCCTGTTGTCAGCTCAGTGAATGGACATGATACTGATGTGGCGGGAGGTTGAGATCCAGGCTCTCGTTTCAACTCTGCCATTGCCTAGTGGTTTAGTCTTAGAGAAGTCACTTGCCTGTGGGACCTCCAGTTTTCTTGTCTATGTGATGTGGGAGTTCGGCATCAGTATAGTGTAGTTGCAGTTGTCTGAGATGGTAATTCTTAGGTAACATAACTAGGATTTTCCTGGCACTAGGAGTGTGTGCTGTCACCAGATAAAAGAGTGATGATTTATAGCTGCTGTTGGTGGGAGGAGTTGGGGAAGGAGTGCCCATGAGCCCCTGCCATGGGGGAAGGCGACTCAGAGTAGAAGAGAGCACAGAGCAGTCGCAGTCTGCATGGCACCACAGCAGGGATGCTGGAGGGAAGGAGGCATGTGAGAGTGTTCGAGATGGACAGTACAAGCAAGAGGTAAGGTGAGAGAAATAGTCATTGAAAGCTTACTCTATTTTATTTGAAGCCTTATTTAATTTTTCTTTCATTCAAGCATAAACAGATAAAATATTATCAGCATTTTATTGAAATCTACTTGACCATTTCCTTTCCTACCCTACCAAAAATATTAATGGTGAACATACTTGTTTTGACAATCTTAAATCACTTTAATACCACCCTGATTTATAACTGTTGTGGACTTGAAAGTATGCTTTCAGTTTGGAGGTGTTTGGGTTTATTGTTTCAAAAGTGCTGATGGCAGTGCTAAGATGTTCCACTCTTGCAAAGCTCAGTCTTTGTGTGCTGCGGTAGAAGTTCTAGAATAAGGGTGGGGGGAGCTGGCTTGCTTGGCTATCCCCGTGGCAGAGCATCAGCCCCGTGAGCGAGCACTGCTTAAGGGAGCAGTGCTTGGCAGTCCTTCACGTGCTGGAACAGTCCCTGTTAGGGATGGGCAGCCTCCACAGAACCAACCTCTGACCTTTCAGTGTGAGGATCTTCCCAGCACAGCTGAGAATTAAGTGGATATTCATAGGGATAGTACCAACTTCAGTTGAGACACACACACATGCCCTCATAAGGAATGCTACTATGGGAGATTTATGAAGTTTACTTCATATATTCAAATTCATAAATTCAAATACTGAAACCTGCAAGTTTTCAGTATTTGTAAAGTGATTTCTAAAGCAGGAGAGCATTACGATTATATAGTAAGGGTGTGGCACTCCAGCATGGGAGACAGCAATTCTGAGATGGAGCTCTGATGTGTCAGCCTCATTTTGTAATCAGCCTTATGCTGTCATTTTCATGCAAAACTTTTTGTTAACTTTTAAGCTTCCTTTGTCACAAACATGAAGAATATTTGACTTATACGGCAGGCTTTCTATTCTAGCCTTGAATACAATTAGAAGGTGAGATTTAACAACTTCCTTTAGTAAGCCATTCTGAGTCTTTCTCTACATTTTGAAAATTTAAATTAAACCAAAATTTTAATACTGAAGTTTAAATTCATGATTATTTTGTGCTTAAAAGAGATGAATTTGATACCTTTTCATCATTTTCTGAGGTATTTTTAGAAACTCTATACTGTCTACCCCAAAATAATGGTTTGGATGACCAAGAAGGGGAAGAGTTGTGCTCCTGAAACCCAGACACTATTGGAACAGGGTAAATGTAAAATTAAAATATTTACTGCATAGATGAAGAGAGCTATGTGGAAATACAGTCAAGCTTTTATTATCATTAGAATATCACAGGAAACATTTGTATCCTCTTTAAATATTGGATTGAGCTGTCTTTTTTTTTTTTTTTTTTTAAGATGGAGACTCACTCTTTCGCCCAGGCTGAAGTGCAGTGGCATTGTCTTGGCTCACTGCAATCTCTGCCTCCCGGGTTCAAGCTATTCTCCTGCCTCAGCCTCCTGAGTAGCTGGGATTACAGGTGCCTGCCACCATGGCTGGCTAATTTTTGTATTTTTAGTAGAGACGGGGTTTTACCACATTGGCCAGGCTGGTCTTGAACTCCTAACCTCAGGTGATCC
Source organism: Homo sapiens (assembly GCF_000001405.40). NCBI lineage: Eukaryota > Metazoa > Chordata > Mammalia > Primates > Hominidae > Homo > Homo sapiens. The sequence goes on from NC_000018.10 coordinate 79,109,809, forward strand.
GCCTGCCTCGGCCTCCCAAAGTGCTGGGATTACCGATGTGAGCCACCACGCCTGGCCTGAGCTGTAAGTCTTAATATTGCATTAGTTAATACTACTGGAAAAGTCATTTTTTAAGAGTGGAAAAAGTGATTATTACTTCAGAGAATGAGCCACATCCTGGATTAATTGAAATCCAAGGACCTTTATCATTGAAAAGTGTATTGGGAATTACCAGTAGGTAACCTATAGCTATAGCTATACCTTTTCTCGACATATAGAGCATTGACTGCTTCAGAATATTAATGGTTTTATTTTGCCAATAAGAGTGTCTAAACAGAAAGATAATTCCCCTGGGGTACATTTATATAAGACTTTGTATTTTATGTCAAATTTAAATTTGTGTAACCAACCTATTATAAGAAAAACCCCACAAATTAGCATTAGGTGTGCTATTAGTGTGTGGTGAATACAGAAACAATCAATATTGACTCTAAATATGTACAATTAGTTTGAACTTTTTTAAAAAGCAAAAAAAAATACACAATACGTATCTTTTGTTTCATACAGTTGCTGTGGTTGGCTGATAAATATTTGTCGAAGAAAGAAAGAGCTGAAAGCTCGCACAGTATGGCTTGGATGTCCTGAAAAGTGTGAAGAAAAACATCCCAGGAATTCTATAAAAAATCAAAAATACAATGTGTTTACCTTTATACCTGGGGTAAGACTATTGCATTCTTGGAGATGGGTTGTGTGTCAGAGATTGCTGGCTTCCTTTGCTATAGGATGGAGCCTGTTGAGACTCTGACTTAGGTATTGAGTTGTGTCACATCCAAATCAGTGTCCTTTTGCTTTTGAACCATCTGTGTTCCCAATAATCGCTAAATAATTCATATGTATTTTTAATGGCTACATCATAGAGTTCAGCTCAAGAAAATGTACAATTTGATTATTGCCTTCAGTTCTTGATAAACATCATATTTATATTATTTTAGAAATATAGACATAATGAAGTAAAAGTAAATAAAATTAACAGAAAACAAGTTATACGTTTTGTTTGTCTGGGAACTAGTTTGGAGAAAACAGTAAATGTAATGTTTAAACCCTGCCAAGAGATTTCGCAAAGAAAATGAAACAATTTTTTATACTGAAATGATACAGTAACAAAGTATCTGTAATATGCATATTTATATATAGATGTCTTTGCTACTTCACATTATAAATCTCAGACCTTCTTATATTGTTATATCGTTAGTTATCTTTAATTGGGTATTATTGCTAAATTTAAATACTGTAGTTTAAATATTTTATTACTTTTGTTGCTAGTGATATTACTGGCTTAAATTATAAAACAGTTCATATACAATTAGAATAGTTGAATAATTTTTGTGTTTTGTATGTCATTCCTTATTTTAATAGATTTATTTATCTTTCTAAAGGAAAAGGAAGCTGGTATTGATTATATTTCTATATCAAAGTTTTTGGCATGTTTTATGTCTTTTATTTGCAAGAAAAGCTCTTGATTACATGGAATGTGGGTTGCTTTATCTTGTATATTTAATTTAAATAATCATGCTGACATTGTATTTGGCATTGATTTTACTCCCACCCCCACCTCATCCCCATCCACCTAGTGATTGGCAAATACTTGATATCTAATGCACTTCTTTATTAAAACCCACAAAACTAATGGCTTCATAATTAAAAGACAGACCTTTTGTCAGGATAATAAAATGTAAACTGTCTTACAGGCAGATAAATATTCGCATCTTTATTGAATGAAGCCACTGTTTTCTGCTTAGGTTTAAATTATTAAATACTCACAGATCTCAGAGATTGGCTAAGCAGTGTACGTTTTCCTAAAGGTCAGCAGGTTCAGTCAGTAGACTGTAGAGTATTGATTGCAGTCGTTTAAAGCCAGCAGTGCAGCTTAACTTTGATCAGTGTAAGTCCACACAGCCTGCCCAGATTGGCCGCATGCTGAAAATACCTGTGGATGTGACTGTATGATGATTACCATGTGTATGAGTTTTTTATCTTAGATCGTCTCTGAAATTAGTCTTTTCATCTAAAATGTAGTATTTTAGAAACATTTGGTAATTACCCAGTAGGAGTTCTATGTCATTTTTACCACGAATGGCAATTTCTAAGTTGCTAATAGATATAATTTATGCTGAGATTTTAAAGAAATCACTAAGGAAAAAGCACTTTATTTCCTGCTGAGATTAATTTATGAAATAATTCAAAACATTCTTAGACAGCAGGTTGAACGTGATTATGAACATAAATATATTGTCAGTGTAACTGATTTTGAGTCCCACACATTGCCGTATGATGATGCAGATAACCTCATTTTCTGAAAACAAGTTGCAGACTCTCTAGTTGAGCAATAAGCACTTAACCCATTGCCCTGCTTGGTGAAATTTTCATACCTTCTAAGTGGCATGGAAATGGCATCCAAAGAGATTGTGATTTGTAAGTTGCAGGTTTGCAAGTTTGATTTAATTGTAGTGTGCTGTTTGAATTATTCTCATCTGTAAACGTAAGTTTTGTTCCATTTTGATTTTCAATGTAAATCTAATAATTAGAGGCGTTTGTAAATTGAGATCTATTAATATGTTAGATCTTGGGTTTTCTTCTCTAAAGATAACTATTTAAAGTGAAAACCAAAACCAAAACCTTTCAGTATTGACATTCCTAAAATTTTATTGAATGATGAAATTTCTTTTATATTTGAAAATATTATTAAGAATTAACTACCCAAAGACCATAAGAGTAGCTGGGTAGCTGTCTTCTTGAAAACTGGTCTGCAATTACAACTTCTTATATTTTATCATTTTTAATGTTTTGAGGGAAGTAAATACCCACAAGAGATTAAGGCAGTCTATCTCGTGAAGTTACACCTGTTCACGTTTGGCTTGTTCATTCAGTCTTTGTAAAGCTACCTGGATGTCCGTGTTAAAAAAAAAAAGTGGCTATTTATTTGTTTTTTACCATTTCATAAATATAAGGTTAATATGACTTTTCCATTGTAAGATTTTCTGAGTCATTATCAAGATACACCTGTATATTTACTGGCTTGCTAACATTGGGAAGGTTTTGCTATCTAACTTTTTTTCATGTTCATGTAAAGACTTACTAAATGAGTATGGAAAACTGGAAAATTTCATATAAGAAAAATAAAAAAACTTTTAGATGACATTTTTAACAATTGAACGTCCTAATTGTCTTATTTTCAGTTTATTTAAAATATATTTTGGGAGTAACCTTACCTTTCTTTGTGATACAGCTATTAGAAAGCCAATGTGAAAATTAATACATTTACTTTGAATCACAACATATTCTCACTGTTTGATGGAAATGTGGTTATATGTTGTGCAGATTTTAATTGTTTAATTTAGGTATTAAAATTTTTTCCTTGAAGGAATTTTGTTAATTTTCTCTTTTCCTTTTTAGGTTTTGTATGAACAATTCAAGTTTTTCTTGAATCTCTATTTTCTAGTAATATCCTGCTCACAGTTTGTACCAGCATTGAAAATAGGCTATCTCTACACCTACTGGGCTCCTCTGGTAAGAAAAGACTTTAAAAATTAAGTTAAATTATGAAATATTTAGAATATAGTTTTAAGAGTTGAGATGGTTAAAAGTTAAATTGACCAGATTTTTAAAACATGGTGTTGTAGTGTTCACTGAACTTCTGTTAAAAGATTTTGCTGAGTGATTTCAGTCCCTCTGAGAACCATGGGAAGTATGGTGGCAGCACCTGCCTGTAGAGCTGCCAAAGTTACAAAGTGCCTGAGCTGGCAGCAGAGGGGTTTTCCTTGGTCATTCTGCACCTGTGTTAAGGTTGCAGGTCATCAGCAGCTCCCTCCTGTTTGATGCAGCTGTTGGGAATGGGGGCTGGGGCTGTGGGTCTGTTCTGTTACTCTCTTCACACCCTGACCATGGTGAGCATTCTGAAGTATCCAAGTGCAGTACGTATGATTTCTGGTTGATATCTCAGTGTATAAAGTTTTTCAAAAGGCCAGTGATGCAATGATGCTTATCAATGAATGTTTCCATTTCAAATATATGCTGTCTTGATAGTCTTAAGCTGTTGGCTGAGAGTTTTCATTAATTTTTAGCTTGTAGAGACAAGATGTACATCGTCTTTCCTCCTTTCATAGAAAAATGTACTTACTACTTCCTTTATTTTTATTTTTTATTTTTGGAGATAGAGTCTCACCCTGTCACTGGAGTGTAGTGGCACAATCTCGGCCCACTGCAACCTCCGCCTCCCGGGTGCAAGCAGTTCTCCTACCTCAGCCTCCTGAGTAGCTAGGATTACAGGCACACCTGGCTAATTTTGTGGTTTTAGTAGAGACGGCGTTTCACCATGTTGGCTAGGCTGGTCTCGAACTCCTCACCTCAAATGATCCACCTGCCTCAGCCTCCCAAAGTGCTGGGATTACAGGCGTGAGCCACTGCGCCTGGCCACTACTTCCTTTTTTTTGATTTGCTCCCTTTTGGGCAGATGACCCGAGGAATCTAGGTAGGAAACACAGAGAGTGAAAGGGTTCCTTCAGTGAAAGAAGAGTGCAGTCCTCGGGGTTCCACATGAGTTGTGGCCTTCCACATGGCGAGCCGAGCAGTCTGCTCCCGAGGGGTCTGTCCTGGCCTGGGTAGGCTCCGTCTCCCTAACCAGAGAACTCCAGATGAAGCAGGAGAACTGGAAGGTGGACTAAATTCTTGTTTCCTGGAGAGGCACAGTCAGGCTTTCCTGTTTACCTGTTAGTAAAGCCATGCTGAGGGAAATTTTTTGATTTCTCTTTCACATAGACTTCATAGTAGGGTGGATTTGAGGAATGAGTAACTTTATATGTAATATAAACACGAAATTACTAGATAAATGAATACATTTTTAACTTATTAAATTAGTAAGATTGAAAGAGACATTGGAGCTGAGCATGGGTAAAACTGTAACACTGTGGCGCTCATCCCATTAATATAGATGCCGTGAGCTCCCCCATTAGTGTGCATAGTGTGCATGCATGCCTGTGTTGCCTTTTTGGAGGGTCATTGGTAATATATATCAAAGACCTGAAAACCAGATTCAGCATTTTTACTTGAGGAATTTATCCTAAAGAAATAATGATTGACTTCCTCTTTTCCTAATTGAATACCCTTTATTTCCTTCTCCTGCCTGATTGCAAATTGTCCCTGTTTGCAGATGACATGATTGTTTATCTAGAAAACCCCATCGTCTCAGCCCAAAATCTCCTTAAGCTGATAAGCAACTTCAGCAAAGTCTCAGGATACAAAATCAATGTACAAAAATCACAAGCATTCTTATACACCAACAACAGACAAACAGAGAGCCAAATCATGAATGAACTCCCATTCACAATTGCTTCAAAGAGAATAAAATACCTAGGAATCCAACTTACAAGGGATGTGAAGGACCTCTTCAAGGAGAACTACAAACCACTGCTCAAGGAAATAAAAGAGGACACAAACAAATGGAAGAACATTCCATGCTCATGGGTAGGAAGAATCAATATCGTGAAAATGGCCATACTGCCCAAGGTAATTTACAGATTCAATGCCATCCCCATCAAGCTACCAATGACTTTCTTCACAGAATTGGAAAAAACTACTTTACAGTTCATATGGAACCAAAAAAGAGTCTGCATCGCCAAATCAATCCTAAGCCAAAAGAACAAAGCTGGAGGCATCACACTACCTGACTTCAAACTATACTACAAGGCTACAGTAACCAAAACAGCATGGTACTGGTACCAAAACAGAGATATAGATCAATGGAACAGAAGAGAGCCCTCAGAAATAATGCCGCATATCTACAACTATCTGATCTTTGACAAACCTGAGAAAAACAAGCAATGGGGAAAGGATTCCCTATTTAATAAATGGTGCTGGGAAAACTGGCTAGCCATATGTAGAAAGCTGAAACTGGATCCCTTCCTTACACCTTATACAAAAATCAATTCAAGATGGATTAAAGATTTAAACGTTAGACCTAAAACCATAAAAACCCTAGAAGAAAACCTAGGCAATACCATTCAGGACATAGGCATGGGCAAGGACTTCATGTCCAAAACACCAAAAGCAATGGCAACAAAAGCCAAAATTGACAAATGGGATCTAATTAAACTCAAGAGCTTCTGCACAGCAAAAGAAACTACCATCAGAGTGAACAGGCAACCTACAACATGGGAGAAAATTTTCGCAACCTACTCATCTGACAAAGGGCTAATATCCAGAATCTACAATGAACTCAAACAAATTTACAAGAAAAAAACAAACAACCCCATCAAAAAGTGGGCGAAGGACATGAACAGACACTTCTCAAAAGAAGACATTTATGCAGCCAAAAAACACATGAAGAAATGCTCATCATCACTGGCCATCAGAGAAATGCAAATCAAAACCACTATGAGATATCATCTCACACCAGTTAGAATGGCAATCATTAAAAAGTCAGGAAACAACAGGTGCTGGAGAGGATGTGGAGAAATAGGAACACTTTTCCACTGTTGGTGGGACTGTAAACTAGTTCAACCATTGTGGAAGTCAGTGTGGCGATTCCTCAGGGATCTAGAACTAGAAATACCATTTGACCCAGCCATCCCATTACTGGGTATATACCCAAAGGACTATAAATCATGCTGCTATAAAGACACATGCACACGTATGTTTATTGCGGCACTATTCACAATAGCAAAGACTTGGAACCAACCCAAATGTCCAACAATGATAGACTGGATTAAGAAAATGTGGCACATATACACCATGGAATACTATGCAGCCATAAAAAATGATGAGTTCATGTCCTTTGTAGGGACATGGATGAAATTGGAAACCATCATTCTCAGTAAACTATCGCAAGAACAAAAAACCAAACACCGCATATTCTCACTCATAGGTGGGAATTGAACAATGAGATCACATGGACACAGGAAGGGGAATATCACACTCTGGGGACTGTGGTGGGGTCGGGGGAGGGGGGAGGGATAGCATTGGGAGATATACCTAATGCTAGATGACACGTTAGTGGGTGCAGCGCACCAGCATGGCACATGTATACATATGTAACTAACCTGCACAATGTGCACATGTACCCTAAAACTTAGAGTATAATAAAAAAAAAAAAAAAATTAAAAAAAAAAAAAAAAGAAATAATGATTGATCACAAAGTCTAAAGAATGTCCATTATAAATATTTTAAAAAGTCGAATGTCTAACAATAGATTATTCAAACTGCCATATCCTGTGTACTTGTTGGAATACTGTGTAGCTTTAAAAATGGTGTTTAGGAAAAGTGTTTAATAACATAAAAGTTATGTATGTATTAGAATAAATTTTAAAAGGTGGCTCAAAATATGTATAGAAGGAAATCCACAGTTCTTTTGATCAATCAATATTGAGCTCCTTCATGTCCAGCCATAGTCTAGGTAATGTTGATACAACAGTGAACAAGACAAACCAAATCCTGTTCTAATAGAACTAAAATTCTGGGAGAAAAGGCAGTATATAAACTCCTAATGCCACGTAGCCATCCATCAGGCTATGAAGAAGAAAATATAAAGCAGGAAAAATGAGTAGAGGATGAAAGGGTTATTCTATATGGGATGGTCAAGGAAGGCCTCTCCTGTGAGGTGACATTGGAATGACATCTTACTGGTAAAACAGTCAGATATGAAACAGGGAAGAGTGTTGCAGGCAGAGGAGTAATTGCAGAAGGTCTTGGACTGTTTTAGCATGCTCCAGGGTGGGAGGAGGTCATCCAGGAGGGTGTGGGTGGGAAGAAGTAGTTGGAAAGGAGGTCAGAGGGCCTGGCGTCAACTCTTCCAGGGCTCTCAGATTTCATCCTGGGTGAAAAAGGAAGCCGTATGTTTGTGTATATATTGCATGTATTCACACACAGAAGAAACACTGAAGTGTATACAACAGAATTTTGAAAGTTGTTGTTGAAGCTAGGTAACCGTGGAAGAGAGTATAGATAACTGTTTCTCCTTTCTTTTCTCCACCTTCCACCACATTAGCAGTAACCTATTCTGAATGTGAGATTATAATTCCTATGTATCTCTTAATAGTTTTACTGTGTTTATATTTATCATTAAAACAATATGCAATATTATTTTGTATGCTTTAACATTTTTTATAAAGGTTATCTTAATCTGTGTGGCCTATTGCAACATACTTTTTTGGCTTAACATTTGTTTATAAAATTGATCCATATCAACACATATATCTACTTCATTTTTCACTTCACTAAAGTGTTTCATTGTATAAATATACCACAACTGATTCATCCCTTCCTTTGGGAAAGGAGACTTTGGGGTCGTTTCTCATTTTTTACCATTATAAATATTGTTAAACAATATGATTGTTCATAAGCATTGTTATAATGAACAATGTGATTGTTAACGATTGCTTATGCATTTGTGCAAAACATTCTACAGGCTGTGTACTTCCTAGAAGTCTCATTTAAAAACTGCTGTTGATTTTTTTCATTTTCTAATAAAAGCAGTATAGCATTATAGAAACTTTAGAACACAGAGAAAAATACTTGCTCATTTTAAAACACAATCATATTGAACGTTTTTGTTTTTTTTTTTTTTTTTTTTTTTTTTTTGAGACAGAGTCTTGGTCTGTCGCCCAGGCTGGAGTGCAGTGGCGCGATCTCGGCTCACTGCAAGCTCCGCCTCCCGGGTTCATGCCATTCTCCTGCCTCAGCCTTCCAAGTAGCTGGGACTACAGATACCTGCCACCATGCCCTGCTAATTTTTTGTATTTTTAGTAGAGATGGGGTTTTACCATGTTGGCCAGGATGGTCTCGATCTCCTGACCTCGTGATCCGTCCGCCTCAGCCTCCCAAAGTGCTGGGATTACAGGTGTGAGCCACCGTGCCCGGCCAATTATATTTATGATTTTAATGTATTTATTTCTAGCCCCTTTTTTTCTATTCATAGCTTTCACAGTTGTATTTACTGCTTAAGTATCGTTTCCCGGCTGGGTGCTCGTACCAGTAATCTCAGCACTTTGGGAGGCCAAGGCGGCAGGATATCTTGAGTTCAGGAGTTCAAGACCAACCTGGGTAAGATGGTGAAATTCCATCTCTACCAAAAAATAGAAAGATTAATTGTGTGTGGTGGTACATATCTTTAGTCCCAGCTACTCAGGAAGCTGAGGTTGGAGGATTGCTTGAGCCTGGGACACAGAAATTGTTGTGAGCCATGATTGCGCCACTGCACTGAAGCCTGGGTAACAGAGCGAGACCGTGTCTTAAAAAAAAAAAAAAAAAAATTGCCTTGTGGGTTAAAACTGTTTTAACTTAAACAATGATGGTCTGAGAACACAAATTCTTCTTAATAAAGTAAAGCAAATGTATTTATATATATTTTGCTTCAGCCTTTTGTACTTACTCTGATTTAACTAGGTTTCAACCAAAGAAAATGTCCTTTTGATGGTTCTTTCTGAAGAACTTTATTTGATTTGTTCACAAAATTGATGATCTTGGCCATACTTGAGTGAAGTGTGCACACAAGCACACACACGTCTGTTTACCAAGACGAGAAAACGTTTCTCTGTTTTTTCTTTTCATATGATTGTTCATTTCCAGTTCCAGCTGCAATTTTTAGTCCTTTAGCTTGAATTTTCATCCTCTGTTATTTTGAAGTACTTTATCATTTTTTGACATGTATTAGCTTTAATTATTTTTAGATAATTACCTCAATAAGCAACTACTTCAATATTCATATAAAAGATACTGTTATTCCACTATATTTGCGTTTTAAGATTTTAGAGAAGTGAAAAGCCACTTTTTCCATTTGAATAATGCTTGACGTTGCCTTCTGATGCACCTAGATGAGTTCTCTTGTGTCCTGAGTATCATATTGTTCGATCTGAGAATTGATTTACTTTTTAAATGATTTTCTTTCGTTCCTTGGTTTGGCAGCAGCCACAATTGATGCTACCTTTCAGATAACAAATGATGAATAGTATGCTTTCTCTGTTTATATGCATCTTAACCTTTGATTGAGCAAACCTCTTAAAAAGTTGATGTACACCTTAGGCTTACCTTCAAATCTGAGAAGCAAGCTTAGGAGAGCATATTGATTCTTTTAAAAAGCTTTTAAAAACGCTGAAAATCAAGACAATTTGAATAATTAGACAAAGTTAAGGAATAATTAAACATACACTAAATCTAAAGAAATCTCTTTAAAGGAAACTATTTAAAATAATGCAAATTTGAAAATATGTATAGGTGTCTCTTTTTTAACTGAAGAAAATGTTCTTCAACAAGAATTCCTCATAAGCCCTTGAGTTCTTGCATTTTCTATACCAGTTTATATTAACCCCATTATATCCAGTGCCAGCAACACCATCATCTTTATACATACATTGACTTCTTTTTGCCATCTTTTGTTCTCTAAGGTTCTATAATGTTCTCAAGAAAAAGATATCAGTTAACATTTCCAGATTTCTTCTAGCCAAAATCCTGCCTCTGAGGCATAAAACCATTTTACAGTTGTCGGTTGTAAAATCCTATTTCTGTTGTTCGCTAATTTTAAATAAAACAAGTTACTTCAAACTTACTCCCTCTGTTCTCTAATTAAAATTGAGATGTTTTTGAAAACAATGATAGCTTAATTAATAATATTTCTTTTTCAGTTGCTTTTGGTAATATTATTTATTAGCTTTAGGTCTGAACTAATTTCTGTTATACTTCCCATATAATAGAAGTGTAAATTGAAAATAAGTTGATTTCATTACATTTTTGTGTCTGGATGAAGATTACTTTTCATACTCAGCTTTCAGAACAATTCTTTAAAGCAAAGCTTGTGTAATCAGAGTAACAAAACAGAATGTCATGCTTCTATCAAAATGAACGAGATGGAATAGATCTGTCTATGCAGAAGATCTTTAGATAAAGAAAGCTCTGGCTCTAACAGTTTTTAACACTGTATCTTCTATATAAAATGTCTTCTGCTACTTTGTTAATAAATAATTGGTAACCGGATAGGCTATGTAGGTGAGAAATCAATCTATGAGGACTTTGATTTTTCAGTCTTATTTAAAAATCTTCCCTTCATCCACTCTTTTCTCGTGTGCGTGTCTCTGCATTAGAGGTGTGGGCAAAGTAAGAAAAGGAAAAACGAATGAAATTGCTTGGAATCATCCAGAGACAACCATTGTTAGTGATCTGTGTGGCCTTGGTAAGGTTACTTACTCACTTTGTGTCTCAATTCCCTTATCTGTAAATTAGAGGTAAAGATACATACTTTGTAGGATTTTTGTGATATTTAAAAGGGGTAACTCATTTAGGATACTTGGAAAAGTGTGTGGCACATGATAAGCCCTCAAAGGCACATCAATAATGTACCCATCTAACTTTTTCTCCTTTTACAAAAATGTATATTGTTTTGGACTAGCTCCGCATTGTTCTTGGGTTATCTGGAGAAATAGGAGAAAGGCTGTGGACAAGCCACGTGAGAAGAAGTCCATGTTGTCCAGTCTGTGTAACACACTTGTGCCCAAATACTGCTGTTTCCAGGATGACAGTAGTTTAAATGGCCCTTCTTGCTTCCAGTTTTGATTTTTCTAGGGAGCAGTGTTATAGCATAAATCTCTGACCTTGTTGGTACCGAGGTAATGGGAAGATCCAAGTGCTCCTACAGTAAGACTTGCTTACTCCAGTCCTCCATAAACCACCAATCTGTAATGATCCATTTAAGAACTCAGATCTAAACTCTTACGGGTAGAGGCTCATTTGTTGTAGACTCCAGTGGTAGAAGGAAATAGTGGCCTCAACTTCCCTTTCCTTTAGTGTCTTTTATGTTCCTAGGCTGGCCATTGGGCATTTCCTTGGATAGATACGCAGGGGATGGACGTGATGGTGGTGACATCTTTTGGGTGTTGAGAATCGTACACATGTGTTACTTATTCAGAGAAACAGATTTGGAAGTGTGTTGTAAAACAGCTTGGACAGTCTAATAGTCCTTGCCTGTGACCAGGATCTTGTTTCCTCTTAAGAGTGTTTAACTCCTGTTTTCAGGACTTAGGACCTAACCCTCTTTATTCTGTCTTCTCTAATACTACTTCATTTGAAGTGGGAGCTTAATTTCACTGACTTCCTTGAGTTCTTAGGAACTAGCACATTTTTGTGGCTTATGATTACTCAATGAATTTGGTTAACTTTTGCTGTCTTTAAGCCATAAGTTTAAAGGGGTGAAAATTAGAGTCACCTGGAGAGTTTAACATATGTGTCTGAGGTCTCTTCCCTGGAAATTAGAGGTAAAAGTACACATTTCAGGTAGGGTCTGAGCAAATTTATGTTACAAAAAATCTTTTCAGGTGATTATGATATGCTTACCTGATTAAAAAACACTCCTTTAAAATATTGTCTATACTATATAAATAAAATGTGCTTGGTAATCACTTTCATTCTCTTATCTCAGTGAGTCACAAACAGAACTTTTTTTAAGAAGTTACCTCTGCATCATGAACATGAGTCTGTAGCAGTAAGTCTTCTCTTACGTGGGAATAGCTGCAGACAAGTATATTTCTTGGATTCAAAGATGCATATTTTTCATGTTACTAAAATTAAGCTGTGGCTTATAAAATGTGTATATTTACAATGCTATTGTCTTCCCACCCAAGACTACTACTAAAATAATACTGACGTATCTTAAAACCAGTGACATCTTTGAATCAAGGAAATATAGCATTTCATCATATGACTGTGCTATGAATTTCTTACTTGTGGACATTCAGGTTATTTCTAATTTTTCATATTCATGCTGTGATCCTATAATTTTTCCTTTAAGATAAGTTTCTAGAAGTGAAACTGCTTGTTTAAATATGTGCAAATTTTAAGGCTTTTGACAGCACCAACTTTCTTAGAACTTTTTTGGGGATATCTGCTGCTTTGGCTTTTCATATTCATTTTCTTTGTTTTTCTGTTGCTAACTCTAGTTCAATAAAATGATGAATTTATATTCAAGTTCTTCTTTGTCTCTAACAGGCTTTTTGATAACCACTTTTATTTCATTGCTGCTTTGTCATAACTTGTTACCAGCTTTGAAGAAACTGGCCATCATTCCCTATTGTATATTCTTCACTCTATTATGGAGACGTTTATCATAATATAAAAATTTCTTCTGTTCTTAAAATTTTGTACTTCACACAGCTGACATCACTCTTAATCATAAAAGACTGAATGTGTTCCCCTTAAACTTAGGAACAAGGGTGTTTGCTCCCACCAGTTCTGTTCAACATTGTATAGGGCAGTTAGTTAAGAAAATGAAGTAAAAGGCATCTAGATGGAAAGAAAGAGGACTGTCTATCTCTAGTCACAGATGGCATGATCTTGTTTATAGGAAAACCTAGGGAATCTACACACAAAAACATTGTAACTAAACAAAATGAATTAGCAGGGTTGCAGGATACAAGATGAACATACAAAAGTCACTTGTATTTCTAGCAGTGACCATCCCAAAATGGAATTAGGATAACAATTCCATTTATAATCTCATCAAAAAGAAAATTATAGGAATAAGCTTAAAGCATGAAATTACATAATGAAAGCTATAAAAGAATTTTGAAAAAAAAGAAAGGTCTAAATAAGTGGAAAGTCATGTTCATGAGTTGAAAGACTTAATATTGTTAAGATGGCAGCACTCTCCAAACTGACACACAAATTTAATCCAACTCCTAACAGTATCCTAGCTGGCTTTTTTTTTTTCTTTATGTTTTTAAATGTTTTTGCAGAAATTGACAGATTGATCCTAAAATCCATATGAAAATGCAAAGGGCTCAGAGTGGCTAATACGTCATAGAAAAAAGTAGATCAAAGTTGGAGAACTCACACTTTCCCATTCCCAAACTTATTACAAACTGCATGATCAAGACAGTATGGTACTGACATAAAGATAGGTGCATAGATCAGTGTAATTGAGAGTCCAGAAATAAACCTTTAAATTTATAACACATTGATTTTCAACTCGGGCACCAAAATAGTAACTTTTATAACTCAACAACTAAACCTAGGAAAAAGGTAGGTAAAGGATCTGAGTAGACATTTACCCAAAGAAGATATACAAATGGCCAATAAGCATGTGAAAAGTTGCTCAACGTCATTAGTCAGTAGAGGAATGCCAGTTAAAACCAGAGATACTACTTCACACCCAGTAGGATGGCTGCAATACAAAGGGCAGACAGTAACAAGTGTTGGTGAGGATGTGGAGACATTGGAACCCTCATTAGTTGCTGGCAGGAATGTAAAGTGGTGCAGCCACTTTGAGGAGCAGTTTGGCAGTTCCTCAAAATACTACACACACAATTACCATGTCACCCAGAATAGGCAAACTCATAGAGACAGAAAGTGGATGAGTCATTGCCAGGGCCTAGGAGTGGGAGGGAATGGGTATGGTGCTTCATTTTGGGATGATGGAAATCTTCTAAAATTAGATGATGGTGACGGTTGTACAACTCTGTGAAGGTACTAAAAAACGAATTGTATACATTTATAGTGTTAATTTTATGGCATGTGAATTATATATCAACAAAGCTATTATCTAAAAAAAGAATACAGTGTGTGCTAAAGGACCTAAGTGAGGTCTTACTCTGCTCATCAGCTGGTGTCTTCAGTGGAAACCATGGCAAATACATGGCACATGCCGTGCCATGCCTGCCTTCTTTGCAGATGGGGCACATCACAAATTGTTCATGGCTTCTTTTTCCTTGAGTCCAAGAGTGGCTTTAGGATACTTCTCAAAACAGTGCTTCCAACAACCCCTGGGAATACACTGGCAAAGATCAGAAAGACATCATGGTGTTTCAGGAGACTACTCATAGTTCCCTGGTGTTGAAGGATACAGCAATATTGAGTGGGGGACAAGGCTAGAGATCTGTCTATTCGTAAGGTTAGGGGTTTGGGGAGAGCACTGTATTTCATTGGGAGAGCTGGGGAGAGCCTGCGTCCGGCTGGGGTGCCACACCGAGTACAGTCAGGCTGGAGAGATGTGTGGAAGGAAGCACAGTTAGCAGTTGGAGGAAGGAGCCATAGTATTGCTTATAGATGATGGCAGTGGGATGGGTAGAGAATTAGGCCATCAGTGGGCTGAGGCCAGCTTTGGGGTGACTGGATAAAGAGGGGTGCATGGCTTCAGAAAGACAGCCAGGAGAATGTGGTGTCCAGGAAGCCAAGGGATGGGGAATTGGAAAGAGGGCCTGGTGAACAATTGGAATGCACAGAGGAATGGGAAGTTTCGTGAGATGGTCTGCCTTACTTGAGAATAGTTTTAGTCAAGTGGTGGAAGGAAATTGTGGCAAGTGGAGAAGTATACTGGATATGAAAAGGTTTCCGATGGTGCAGAGTGCAGACTAAGGGAGGAGAAGACTTGATGTGCTCAGGGAGAGATGGTTGTAGGGCCGAGGGAGGCTCATGATTAGGGGGAGAGCACACAGTATGGCTGAAGAGAGATGGCAGAGGGGCTGAAAAGGAGTGAGAGACACAGGCTGTCAGGTTGATTTTGAATGGGAAAGAGACTAGAAGAATCCATGTTTAAGTCATGACTGTTGAAGGGGTTTTCAAATAGGACACTTGAGAAAAATACCATTTCAGTAAATACAAGAAACATTCTTCAGCAGCACACTTAATTTGGCCTATTGGTTATACAGAAAACAAAAAACTGAAATAAAAAAGATTATTGTGCTTTCAGTGGACATACATCCAGTGTTCTGTTATTTACAGTTTTGACTGAAGCAAGGTCATCATTAATAATAGAGATTGACTTGAAGAATATTCCTGTAACATGTCAGAAAATATATATGCAGCCTTTAAAAATGATGGGCATTAGCTTCATATTAGTGGTATAATGGGCTTCACAATAAATTATGAGAATATAAAAATTTTTTTCTAGCTAGCATCATATTAATACAGGCAGATTTTTACTTAAAAAGTGAGATGAAAGCACTATAATTGTTCATTCTACTGCAGTTATATAATAATGCACTATGTAAGAAAATCGATGTGTGATTATCTGGGAATTGTTTTGTGTTCCTAAATACTTTTATTCTGTAAGAAAAATTTAAGTGCAGAAATTAAGTGTAAGATTTTTATGTCAGTCATTGTAAATTTTGTATTTGAATGCCCAAGTATTCTAAATATAATTTGTGGATTTATTGAAGATTGTTAATTTCTTTTTCTTTGGGTTACTAGGTATTTTCTGACACTTAGCTTGAAGTATCTATTAGGAGGTGAATTAAAAATTTGGGGAGTATACTAAGAGTTGCATACCTTTTACAATGAATCCTTTTGTAATATTTCATTGTTACTTTTTGACTTTTTTGGTTTTCATTTATTTTATGTTTTAGAGAGTAATATAAATTGAAGGAAAAAAGTTAAACCAAGTAACAAATAATTTTGTCTTTTTTGTTAAAGTTTAGTTTTCTAAAAATACCTTATTTTGTTTTATAGGGATTTGTCTTGGCTGTTACTATGACACGGGAAGCAATTGATGAATTTCGGCGTTTTCAGCGTGACAAGGAAGTGAATTCACAACTATATAGCAAGCTTACAGTAAGAGGTCAGCAAGATGCTTTAATCCTGCTTAGCGTTTGCTTACTGTAATTATCATTTTAGAGTTAACATAACAAATGTATGAAAACATTTTAATTCTATTATTGAAAATAGTATTATGTGATTGTATATGATATCTAATTAATTTCCTTATAATGTATAATGCAATTTTAGGGTAGATATTTGTTCATTCTCTAGCTGTTTGGATGTATGTTGTGTACACATATATACAAATGCACACACAACCACACAAGCATGTACATGTATTACTAATAATCATGTAATGTGTTCTATTGGTATATACGTATTTTCTGAGAGGCATAATGTCACTTCATCTAAAATCTATCTTGGTATTTTAAACACACTCATAAAGGTCAAATGTCTATACCATGGCATTAACCTATTCTTAAGTACAGAGGCCTTTGAACAACAGAAATAAATATCGTGATCCAAGATGATAACTGATGCAAGCACACTTCTCCTTAACCTTCATTCAGGGCCTTAACTCTTGCTTAACTTACATCCTTCAAGCGCTTGTTTATTTGATTTTTCAGTCCATAGTACAAAAGGAAGCAATGTATTAAGAAGAGAGTGGGGGAAACGATGACAAGTAGGCATAAGATAGTAAAAAAGTGACTGAAAACCTTGGGAATGAGGGAGACACTGAAAAACTGAATGGGTATTCATAGTAACCCCAAAGTCTGTTTAAAAAGTTTGCAGTGGATTTTTATCTTTTGTATGTATATAAGAGGACATTTACAATGAATTATTTAACTTGAAATAGTACCTTCAAAAATGACTTATTTTTAACACCTTATTGGGCTCTATTTCACATAACATAAAATTTATCCATGTAAAGTATACAATTCAGTGTTTTTGGTGTATTCATAAAGTTGTGCAGCCATCACCAACACTGTCATTTAAGTTTAGCATACTTTTGACATTCTCAGAAGGAGCCCTGAATACATGAGAAGGCAGTGGTCGTTCTTGCTGTTTCCCTCCCCACCCTACCCCAGCTCCAGGCAGCCGCCGTTCTCCTTTCTGTCTCTGTGGTTTTGCCCACTCTGCACATTTCATATCAATGGAATTATGCAATGTGTGGTCCTTGGTCACCAGCTGCTTTCACTGGACATGTTTTCAAGGTTCATCTGGTAGTAGCATTCATCAGTACTTCATTTCCTTTTGCTGCTCAGTAATGTTCCAGTGTATGATAGAGCACATTTTGTGTATCCATTCATTAGTGGGTGGACATTTGGGGTTGTTTCTACTTTGTGACCGTTGTGAATAATGCAGCTATGGACATTTGTGTACAAGCTTTTGTGTGAATATTGTTTTCATTTATCTTGGATACATACCTAGGAGTGAGATTGCTGGATTATTTGGTAACTCTATGATTAGCATTTTAAAGAATTGCCAACCTGCTTTCCTAATTGGCCACACCATTTTACATCCCCACCAGCAATGGATGAGGGTTCCAGTTTTCCCACATCCTCACCTGTACATAACTCTCTGCCTGTTTGATTGCAGCCACTGCTTTTTGATTATAGTGGGTGTGAAGTAGTATCTCATTGTGGTTTTGGTTTGTATTTTCCTAATGATTAATGATGTTGAGCATCTTTTCATTTGCTTATTAGCTGTTTGTATATCTTTTCTGGATAAATGTCTGCTCAGATCCTTTGCCGACTTTTTTTTTTTTTTTTTTTTTTTTTGAGACGGAGTCTTGTTCTGTCGCCCAGGCTGGAGTGCAGTGGCGCAACCTCTGCTCACTGCTACCTCCTCCTCCCGGGTTCGGGCGATTCTCCTGCCTCAACCTCCCGAGAAACTGGGATTACAGGTGCCTGCACTGCGCCCGGGTGATTTTTTGTATTTTTAGTCGATACGGGGTTTCACTATGTTGGCCAGGCTGGTCTTGAACTCCTGACCTCGTGATCCACCCGCCTTGGCTTCCCAAAGTGCTGGGATTACAGGCGTGAGCCACGCCCATCCCTTTTGCCAACTTTTTAACTGGGTTGTTTGATTCATTTTGTGTATGGGGTAAGGTGTGGGTCCATATTCTTTTGTATGAATATCAGGTTGTCCTAGTATGACTTGTTGAAAACAATGTTTTTTCTCCATGGAGTTGAAAAATTATTAAAAATCTTTGATGCTCGAATGGTGGTGTGGTGGAGGAAGGATGAAGAAGGTAAGCCTTAGTATTGGAGAAAAAAACCCCCAAATGGCCCGGTAAATTGTGTATAACTTTGCATTGTCTTTGTAAGAATATAATATAGATCTATCTGATTTTTAAAATTGTTGTAATGGAGGGGCTAGGCAGAGATGTTTTTCTGGTGTATTAATTGTATTATTCAGAAATAACTAGAGTGGTGATGGCAGTGAAATGGCAGAGTTGGCGGCTCCATATGCCTGCCCTTCCACAGAAACATTGAAAATCAAGCAGAAACTGTTAGAACTAACTACTTCAGACCTCTAGAAAAGTCAAAGGTTTACAGCACCCAGGAAATTGCTGCATCCAGAGAAAGTCAACCTAGAAACAGTTGGAAAGCTTTTTCCCCACAATTGTCCTGATCTCAGCACCTTCTCCCAACACTGTAACAGGGCACTAATCTTGAAGATAATGGCCCATGTTCCCAGTTTGCAGCTTATTCCAAATAATTGTTTCTGCCTCTAACCAGTCGGGGGACTGCTTGGAGGGTTGACCCTAGGTGCTTGTCTTTTTTCACCTAACTTGAACTCAGGGCAGAAAAGTAGAAATGTAGCGCCATTTCTCAAACATATGCAAGGCTAATGAATAGCCTGTAGTAGCAGAGGGCAAAAGATGACAGTCAAGCCAGATAGTAGAGTGTCAAATGCCAGGCAGAAGAAGCTAGGGAGGGAGTTTCTTTGGGAAATTTGAGCATTCAAAAATTCCCCTGTGTATGCTGGGGAATTTTGGAAGCGACATGCAAGCCAAGAACTGGAGGAATGCTCAGATCCAAAGTCTTTCCCTCTGGCCAGTCTCTAGGCTCAGTGCAAGAAGGAAGGGAAGGATGCAGCACAGTTGTTAATGGCCTGGCTAAATCTTCAGTGAGGCTGCCGCACAGAGCCAGGCTCCAAAGCCCAGGACAGGTTTTGTTTGGGTTTGTTTCCTCCTCCCCCCTGCCCCTCCTTTTTCTCTCTTCATTTTGAAGGAAATCTTTGTCAGAACACTGGCTGAATATAAGAATGGAAGAGAGACTTTAGAGACCATCCATGATAAAGAATACACACTTTACAAAAATAGTGTAGAAAAATCAGTAGACAAACACAGCTACAGCATGTAACAATAAAATCAACCAAGAAGAGGGAGAAATAGCTAATTTCCAGAATTACCAGATTATAATGTATGTCCAGTTTTCTTTTTTTCTTTTTTTTTTTGAGACAGAGTTTTGCTCTGTTGCCCAGGCTGGAGTGCAATGGTGCGATCTCAGCTCACTGCAACCTCCGTCCCCCGGCTTCAAGTGATTCTTTTGCCTCAGCCTCCTGAGTAGCTGGAATTACAGGCATGCGCCACCATGCCCGGCTATTTTTTGTATTTTGTAGAGATGGGGTTTCGCCATGTTGGCCAGGCTGGTCTCAAACTCCTGACCTCAGGTGATCCACTTGCCTTGGCCTCCCAAAGTGCTGGGATTACAGGTGTGAGCCACTGCACCCGGCGTATGTCCAGTTTTCTACAAAAAACATTACAAAGCATGCAACAAAACAAAATGTGGCCCACTCCCAGAAGAAGGTAATAGTAACTGCCCCTGAGGAAAGCCAGACATCAGACTTAGGAGACAAAAAGTTTAAATCAGCTGTCTTAAATGTGCCAGGGCGCTCAAGGAAACCATGGGGATGTTGCTTAAAAGATATCAGAATGATGTAGAAGCAAGTAGAGAATTATCTAAAGGAAGCAAACAAATTCTGGCACTGAAAAGTATAGTAAGTGAAAAGAACACTCACTGGAGGGATTCAGTAGCAGAATTGAGCACACCAAAGAAACAGTGAACTTAAGCCTAGGTCAGTTGTATTTATCCAGTTTGAGGAGCAGAAAGAATGGGAAAAAAAAAACAAAACCGCTCTTAAGAGACCTGTGGGACAGCATCAAGCGTACCAAATACACATGATGGAGATGCAAGAAGTCGAGGAGAGAGAGAGAGGACAGAGAAAATATGTGAAGGAATAATGGCCAAAAACTTTCTAAATTTGATAAAAGACATTAATCTGTACATTCAGGAAGTACAGCAAAGCACATGAAGGATAATACGAGAAAAATCCATAATGAGATACATAACCAAGCAGCTGACACCCACAGACCAAGAGGACACCCTGAAAGCAGAGAGAGAGAGAGAAGTAACTGGTCACACACAAGGAACCCTCCGTAGGATTTATCAGAAGCCATGGAGGTCTGAAGGCAGTGGGGTGACATTTTTAAAATGGTGAGAGAGAGAGAAAAAAAACCTGTCAGTTAAGAATTCTATATCTGGTAAAACTGTCATTCAGAAATGAAGAAGTTTTCTGGGCCTGGTGGCCCATGCCTGTAATCTCAGCACTTTGGGAGGCCGAGGCAGGTGGATAACTTGAGGTTAGGCATTCAAGATGAGCCTGGCCAATGTGGTGAAACCCTGTCTCTACTAAAAATACAAAAATGAGCTGGGCATGGTGGCATGCACCTGTAATCCCAGTTAGTCAGGAGGCTGAGGCAGGAGAATCGCTTGAACCTGGGAGGCAGAGGTTGCAATGAGCTGAGATCGTGCCACTGCACTCCAGCCTGGGCGAAAGAGCAAGACTCCGTCTCAAAAAAAAAAAGTTGTTAAGACATTCACAGATAAACAAAAGCTAATACGCTTTCGTGCATCTAAGGGCATTATCAAAAATGTAAAAAGAAAGAATGAGAGAAAATTGTATATCTGATAAGGATCCAGTATCCAGGATACATAAAGAACTCTTACAATTTCAACATTAGAAAGATAACCCAATTAGAAAATAGGCAAAGGACCTGGACAGGCAATTCTAATTCTCCGAAGAAAATATACAGATGGCCAACATACATGTGAAACGACAGTCAGTCAACAGCCTTAGACCAGAGGGAAGTGCAAATCTCTATGAGACATCACCATACACCACTAGGTTGGCTGTAATTTTAAAATATAGAATATCGAGTGCTGGAGAGGATCTGGAGAAATTAGAATCTTTGCACATTGCTTGTGGGAACAAAGTGGTTCAGCAGCTGTGGAAAACACACTGTCAGTTTCTCAAATAGTTAAAAAGAATTTAAAGCAGGGACCCAGTGTTTATTTAGTGTTTATTCACTATTCACAATAGCCAAAGGGTGATAATAGCCCAGATGTTCACTAAAAGATGAGTGGATAAACGAATGGATAGCAAATTTCTATGATGGAATTTTATTCAGGCATAGAAATCATGAAGGGTTGCTACATGCTACAACCTGGATGAACCTCAAAACATTATGCTATGTGGAAGAAGCCAGATGAAAAAGGTCCCATATTGTGTGACTTCATCTATAGGAGATATCCACAATTGGTAAATTAGTAGAGATAAACTGCAGACTGGAGGTGGCCATAGATGAGCGGAAGAAGGGAGCACGAAGCATCTGCCTAACAGGCATTGGGTTTCCTTTTTTGGTGATGAAAGTGTTTTGGGACTTGATAGAGTTGGTCGCACTGCATTGTGAATACAGTCAATGCCACTGAATGGTTCACTTTAAAATGGCTTTTTATGTTACGTACGTTTCACCCAAAAATGGCATAAAATGTTGAGGAAGACCTTCTGCTGTTACGTCTTTTGTACTTCTGTGATACTTGAACTTCAGGTACTTTAAAAATAATTTTCAGTATGTTTATTTCAAATGTACATGAAAATTTACCATTTAAGAAAAATTAGCCATCATTGCTGGTCATCTAAGAAGTAGAAGTTTCACATGTCAATAATGATAATGATAGCTACTTTTTTACTTCCTTGTGTGTGTCAGATAACATTCAGAGTACGAGTTCTCATATCCAGCATCGTCCAAGCGGGAGTTGATGTGCTCTCCGAGTTCTAGATGAGAAAGCTGCGGTTTGTGAATAGTTTGCCCTGAGCCACAGTAGTTTTAGGTAGAGCTGGTGCTTGAACCTAGATCATTCTGACTCTAATCCAGTGTTCTTTCAGCTGTGGCACACTGCTTCATGGCTGGTGGTTCTGATACAGATGTTTGATGAGTAAAATCCGTAGTATTAAAAAATGCATCAGTTTAGGCTTATTATTGAGCACAGTTTAAAATTTACTTTTTTATTAAGAATATTTTCTGTTGACCTCCTCCTCAGTTTCCAGTATTTCACAGTTACCTCTTTGAATGGCATTGATGGCAGCCTCCTTGTGTGCCTTTCTGTAGTTTGCTGGACCATATTTACAACATTTGGACTGTGTCATTTTGGAGTTCTCAAGCACATTCTTATAGAAGTAAACTGGAAGAATGTTCTCTGTTACTTTTTTCTTTTGAAAAGGAAAGCCACTTATAAATACGCTTTGTTTGGAAGCAGAAAATATTTTAACCAGTATATTATCACAATCACACTGAAATTATTTTGAGTTATCTTGTGTTTTATTTTCTGATAACTTTTTTGGGTGTAGGAATTTTCTATGTATGTTGCTGTTACTTTACTTTCTTCTTGTTTATGACTGCTTGTTTTTGTTTTGTTTTGTTTTTAGTAGAGGCAGGGTTTCACCATGTTGGCCAGGTTGGTCTCAAACTCCTGGCCTCAAATAATGCACCCGCCTCAGCCTCTCAGAGTGCTGGGATTACAGGTGTGAGCCACCATGCCCAGCCTTTCTTGAAGTGTACTTAAATCATTTTTGTTTCCGTGGTCTGACACCTGAGCAGCATTTGAAAAGGATCCATCCCAGTATTTCATTCAGGAACATTCAGTATACATCCTGGTATTAGATTGGTGCAAAAATAGTTGCACCAAGTAATTTTGTCATTGGAAGTAATGGCAAAAACCACAGTTACTTTTGCACCAACCTGTATTTCTGCTATGTAATGATATTTCATGAACACCTTCCATTTTTTATTATTAGTTCTCTGTGGCTGGACCAAGGTAGATATACTCAGATGTGGCCATATAGACTCAGGAGTGGTTATAAACACACACACACACACACACACACACACTCACTCTCAAGTGGGTAGATACACTCAGGTGTGGCCATATAGATCCAGGAGTGGTTATAAACATACATACACACACACTCAAGTAGATACATAAACTCATTACCACTGTTTCTTCTCAGGTCACCCTTAGAGGATCTGTGTGAATTCATTTCTTCATGATATATCAACTACAAGTCTTTCCATCCTTCCTTTTCACTTGAGATGTGTGTGCTACCTCTAGGTCTCACCAGTGCTTCTAACCAGGGAGATACTTCTTAGTCACTAAAGCGGACTGAGGTCTGCCCCCCGCAGCCTTTGAACAGCCCTTAGCTGGGCCTGGCTGATGGGACTTTACTGGCGGCCCTGCAGCTCCTGGCCTGGCTCCAGCTCTGACTCCAGCTGTCTCTTCTGTCCGAAGTGGGAAATGGACTCCTCACTGCTGATACTGCTCCATCTTTCCTTTGCGGTAGCACTCTCCTTTCAAAGTAAAAAGTATTTTCCAAAAGTGCATCTGATGCCATTTTATGGCTTAGAACCCTTGAGTCGCATGTGACTCTCCAGCTCCCTGTGGCCTGGCTCTGGCCACCTGCTCCAGCTCCTTCTGTGATTTCCGAAGTGTGGTTGTACTGGTTTTTCCTTTAGTTCTTTGGATAGGCCTCTCCTTTTCCCTCTTAGAGACTGGCTTTTAAAGTAATAGCCACTCTGTCTGGTGGTTCTTGTTCTGTCCTGTACTGTTTGGCCACTTCCTACTCAAAACTTCAGGTTTTATTAAAAGATTATCTTAGAGAGTTCTGCCTCGATTTCTTCCAGTGTTATTCCCCACCCCAGCCCACACATACATCCCATGGCACCTGTACCTCCCTGTGGGGAGTGGCGTTACTCTGAGGACTACTTTAATTCCTGGACTCTCAGTTTCGTGAGCTTGGGGTCCTGGTTTCCCCCAGAGTAAGTAGAGTCATTGGCATGGCATGTGGTGAGCACTCAGTGAACTGCGGGAGTCAAGAAAGAAAGAAGTTCCAGATCCAGATGAAAGTGCTGAGCCTGGTCTAAGGCCAGGGGGCTGCCCTGTGAGATGGCACCAGTTTGCGTTTCCATTGTGCCAACAAATGTCCTTCCTTGCCCACTCATTCCAGTTAAAAAAGTTTCATTGTTCATTTGTGATCTTTTATAAATTACTTAATACCTTTTGTTTCTTTATCTATTTTTACCTTATTACAATTTTTCTACTAAAAGGAATTTGCCTTTGTCACATGTAGCAAATGTTTTTACCTTGACTTATTTTTAAAAAATCATTTTTCTTGGATGTAATGTATAATTTTTATATAATTTAAATATCCTGATCTTTTGTGATTTTTACTTTAATCTTGGAAAGTCTACTCATTCCCCATATAAGTGAGCATTGTGTTTTCATACAGTGTTTCTGGATTTTCATTTTTTGTAGTTAAGGTTTACTGCATTTGTAATTTTACACTTAAGATGTATACTATGTGGAGAAGGGATCTTTCTTTTCTTTTTTCCCCCACAAATGCTCAGCAGTTGTTTTGAAACCATGTTTAAAGTTAGCAGAGTTCTTCCCCAGACCTTTGAGACTTAACCAGGTTTGTTGTCCAAGGACTCAGAACATGAGCTGGCTCCACTGAACCTGTGCCTCTCAGCCTGAGTACAGTATGGGCCTTATGTGCACCAGAGCTAATCTCAAGATGAATTTTATGTTTTATATTACTTAACATGAAAAGCCCCAGACTCCAAGTCATCCTTCAGATTCTGCATTTTAATTACCATGGGATACTGTGTATCTTTATTCTTACCCTTGGTCTTGTTTCACTGTGCTTCCAGAATTCATGTTCTGTTTTTCCCTTCATAACCTGAAGCTTTTCTATCTATGGATTCTTCTCTGAATGTGCCTTCTTGCTCTCATTAAACTGTGGCTCTTTTCTGAGGGCCCACATCCTAAACAGACTCTTTGGTAGCTCTAGTTTTGGCTCCTGTAGCCTTAGTGCCACTCCACCTGCAGTTAGGCCCCTCTTTCCGGCTCATTCTCTTTAGTGCCTGGACTTCAGTTCGTTTTCAACCTCCAGTTTATTGACTTTGCATCCTTTCTACCATTCCTAGCCCCTTCGATCTTCTATTTGAAGAAGTCCAGTTGGTCAGTTTTATTTATGATTGTGCTTTTGTTGTTCTAAGAACTCTTTTCCTAACCCAGGTTTTACAAATGTTTCTTTCTGCTCTGTTTCTCCTGTTTTCTTCTAGAAGTTTTTTTAGTTTTAGGAATTATACTTACGAATATCCATTTTGAGTCTATTTTTGTCTACTGTGCAGAGTATGGGTGTTTTTTTGCATATGGCCATTCAGTCGTTGTCAGTACTGTTTTTTGAAAAAGTGATCCTTTCTCTACTGCATTGCCTTTAAACTCTTCATGTAAGTTTATCTCTGGACCCTCTTTCTGCTCCATTGATCTGTTTGTCTGTCTGTAAACATCATGCTCTTTTGGTTACTGTTGCTTTATAATTTTTGAAATCAAGCCTTCCACCTTTGTTCTTCATTTTCAGAGCTGTTTTTGTTAAGGAAATACAAAGGGCCTACATCTAACAACTAATACTAGTGTATTAATACAACTAATTATTAATACAACTAATTAATACAACTAATACTAGTGTATTATTTGGCTTACCAATTTCTACAAAAAAGCCTTCTGCAGTTTTGAATGGGATTTCATTGAATCTGTAAATCCATTTGGCAGAGAACTGACATTTTAATAATATTTAATCTTTTGACCCATGTGTGAGATACATCTTCCCCTTTAAAATTTTTTTCTCAGCAGTGTTTTGTTGTTTTTTGAGGGTTAGTTGTCTTTTATCTCAGCTTTCAATATTTTGTTACTGGTTTTGAGCGATTTGATTATGATGTGCCTAGGTGTAATTTTCTTTATTTTTTTATGCTAGGGATTCATTTAACTTTTTGAATCTGTGGGATATAAGTTGCATTAAATATGGAAAGTGTTTAGCCTTTATTTCTTCAAATATTTTTTCTTCCCTCTCCAGTGTCAAGGTTTCCAGTTATACCTGTATTAGACTGTTTGAGGTAGTGACACATTCATTGATGTTTTTAAATTTTTCTTTTAAATTCTTTTTTCTGTTTTATTTTGCACAGTTCTATTGCTGTGTCTTCAGATTTACTGTTCTTTCCTTCCACAAGGTCTATTCTATTGTGTGTTAGTCTGTTCTCACGCTGCTAATAAAGACATACCCAAGACCGAGTAATTTATAAGGAAAGAGGTTTAATTGACTCACAGTTCAGCATGGCTGGGGAAGGCCTCAGGAAACTTACAACCATGGAGGAAGGAGAAGCAAACACGTCCTTCTTCACATGGTGGCAGCAAGGAGAAGTGCAAAAAGGGGAAAAGCCACTTACAAAACCATTAGAACGCACTCACTATCACAAGGGTAACAGCATGAGGGTAACCGCCCCATGATTCATTTACCTCCCACCGGGTCCCTCCCACAACATGTGGGGAGTATAGGAACTACAATTCAAGATGAGAGTTGGGTGGAGACACAGCCAAACCATATCATACTTTAATTTCATTTGTTGTATTTTTTATCTCAAGCATTGTTTTTGTGTCTGGAAGTTTGATTTGGGTCTTTTTTGTATCCTTCATGTCTCTCACTTTCTGGTCTGGGAATACAGTTTTCATAGCTGTTTTCATGTCCGTGTCTGCTAATTATAACATTTGTGTCAGTTGTGGGTCAGTTTTGATTGAATGGTTTTTCTCCTCGTATGGGTCATATCTTCTTGCTTCTTTGCATGCCTATTAATTTTTTATTGGATGTCAGACATTGTGAATTTTATCTTTTTGGGTGGTGGATATTTTTATATTCCTGCAAATATTGTTGAGTATTGTTTGGGATGCTGTTCAGCTACTTGGATAGGCCTTGCTTTGTTGCATCATTGGACAGATCTGGGGCATGCTCCATGGGGTTGGTTATTCCCCAGCGTGAGGCCAGACGTGCTCTGTGGGTCATGGGCTTCTCCAGTCTGGCTCGAAGGGCACTTTGTAAACATGGGCATTCTCTGTTCCTTTTGGATATCCCCCGTCACTGCCTTCCTTTCTGGACACTCAGTTTTTCTCAGCATGCAGGCATGTTCTCCTTCAGGAACTCTGCCCTGGCCCTTCCTTCAGCCTCTGCATGCTCTTAGATGCCTGTTCGTGGCCTCCGCACTGTTTCCTGACTCCTGGCTCCAATGCCTCCTTTTCTAGGCGTCCTCTCCTAACCCTGCAACAGTCACAGATGCCCACCTTTGCTCTCCACCAGCATCCTGGGCCGTGTGCTCTGCCCTCATTTTTCCATAGCACCTGCTACATTCCAGCATGCCATACACCCTTTAAAGGTGTGCCATTGTCACTAATGTAGCACAGGTGCCTGCAGTAGGAACTGGAATGTAGTAGGTGTTGAGGAAATGGGTTAAGTACTGTCTTCAGATTTTGTGGAGGTTTGCTGTACTTCTTTCTTGAAGTATGTTCTCAGTGCTTTAATACATTTTAGGAATTCATCCATTTGAATTCGCTTCTGTGGAGTGTTTTACAGCCTAGAGTAGTAATGCCATCTACATCATAAGATAAATTGTAACTTTTTGTTCAACTAGAATTTTTACCAGTATTTATGTTTATTAGGTAAGAAATTTTAGAATTAGCTAGAAGATAGCAGTAATTTTGTTCAACTCAGTTTATTGGAATTATTTTTAGGAACGTTTATATGAAATATGTGGATGTTGTGGCCTGCAAAGAAACTAATATGCTCAAGTGACACAGTTTTACATGAGAAAGCTCCAGCCTGGACCTCAGTGTTTTTGACTTACATTTCACACACCTTTGCAAGCAGAATGGAGAGGAATCCTAGTTTGTTCACTCAGCCACTTCATCACGAAATGTTTATTGTGTACCTGCTTAGGGCTTTGGCACATCCCATTTACTTACTTAAACGATATGCCTCAAACTCTACAGAGATACATGGATGTGAGTAATTTGGCAATGAGTCTACCTGCTTTTGCAGTTGAAGATCTTAGAGATCTAAGTTTTGTTTACTTTGATCAGCATATTCATTTAGTTTACTTGTGAGGTGGTAAACTATCATCTCAACTAAATTTGTTTATAGAAAAGTAAGTTATACTTTATTTCACTTTAATGGATGGATATTAAGATGTAATGATTAATTACTAGAAGTATTAGAACCTTCTGTTCATTATTGTTGTTCTTACATTAAAAAAAAAAAAAAAACCAGTATTGGCCGGGTGTGGTGGCTCCTGCCGTATTCATAGACTGATGTGGGTGGATTGCTTGAGCTCAGGAGTTTGAGACCAGTCTGGGAACACGGTGAAATCTCATCTCTACAAAAAATACAAAAATTAGCCGAGTGTGGTGGTGCGTACTTGTAGTCCCATCTACTCCAGAGGCTGAGGTGGGGGGATCACCCGAGCCAGGGAGATCGAGGCCACAGTGAGCCATGATTGTGCCACTATACTCCAGACTGGGTGACAGAAAATAATTTAAAAAGTTACTTAATTATCTATCACTCATACCTTGTGTGTGTGTGTTTGGATATAAATACATTTTTATCCTTAGTTGCTAGTATTTGTGTTTAGTAGGTCTTACTTTGCTATGTGCCTTAATCCGTTATGACATTGACTCATTTTAACTACTTAGGACATTTTACTTAGGTTGTAAGTTCCTTTGATTTTAAAATGGGTTAATTTTTTATAGTAAATCCACAAACCAGTAATGTGGTCATTTATTATCATTATCAAGTCTGTTCAGTACATAATCGAGTGTGCTAGACTTTGACACAGCTGCAGTGCTGTGGATGTTTTGCAGCAGGATGTTTTATACCACAAACACGTGACTCCCTCCTTGTGCTGCGGTGGCACGTCAGCTACTACATCACTGGGACAGTAAGAATTTTTCAGCTCCATTATCATCTTGTTTTCCCCAAAGTGGCTGTATTTTATTTTGTTTTCATTTTTATCTTTTAAATTTTTGTGAGTACATAGTAGGTATATATATTTGTGGGCTACATGAGATATTTTGATGCAGGCATTCAATGGGTAATAATCACATCAGGGTAAATGGGGTATCCATCCCCTCAAGCAGGTATCCTTTGTGTTACAAACAGTCCACTTACACTCTTTTAGTTGTTTTAAAATGTACAAGTATTTTTGACTGTAGTCACTTTGTTGCTCTAGCAAATATTGTCTTATTCATTCTTTCTATTTTTCATACCTATTAACCATCCTCGCTTCCCCCCACAACTCCCACTAACCTTCCCAGCCTCTGGTAATCACCCTTCTACTCTCTGTCTCCATGAGTTTAATTTACTATGGGTAAATTTTGGATATGCATTTGGAAAGAAGAAACTACATGTCATAAAAGTATATTTCAGTTACCCTTTAAACCTATCGTAGGATCTGAAATTTAGTGGATACTCAGATATTTAAATATTGATAGCATTTTAAGCACATTATTTACAGGTATATATAAAATATTACTGGTGTTAATGTGGGTTATTAAAAGCTTCACAGAGGTTAGACTTGCTGTGTCATTAAGTCTGGGAAGGGAGGGATTTCAATCCAAGGGAGCAAGTGCTGGGAGCTTCTGCGAGTAAGTGGAGGGACGAGGTTCCCGGTGAGGTAGAGCAGGGGCCGACAGAGATGGAGGAGCCAGCTGGTAAAGCCTGGCAGCTAACTTAGGGTCCATTTTGAGGAACTTATATTTTTTGATACAAATATGATTATCTTCTAAATAATTATCATCGAATGGAATTTTTTGGGGGGGAATTTCTTTAGTTTTTTTCAACTCATTCATTTGGAATTAGGGAAATTATAGTATTATATTTTCTTTACACGGGCAGAAATTAATGACTGGTAGTGGGGTTGGTGGGCAGGTTATATGTTTAAGAAGCATTGGTATAAGAACAGGTGGTTATGGCCAGGCACGGTGGCTCATGCCTGTAATCCCAGCACTTTGGGAGGCCAAGGCAGGTGGATCATCTGAGGTCAGGAGTTCAAGACAAGCCTGGCCCACATGGCAAAACCCTGTCTCTACTAAAAATACAAAAAAAAAAATTAGCCGGGCATGGTGGCGGGTGCTTGTAATCCAGCTACTTGGGAGGCTGAGGCAGGAGAATCACTTGAACCCTGGAGGCGGAGGTTGCAGTGAGTCGAAATCGCACCACTGCACTCCAGCCTGGGCAACAAGAGTGAAACTCCATCTCAAACAGCAGCAAAAAAAAGAGTAGGTAGTTATTTGGTATACATTTGGATCTTTCTCAGAGGAGCCCATATAATTTGTTGTTCATGGGAACAAGTGAGATGAATGCTTTTCCTCTATGAGGAAAAACCCACTTGTGCTATTATGTTTCTGAAAAATAATGGAAGGGAACATTTATTGCTAGAAAGATTTAGTGGAAATATTTAATTGAAATAGTTTAGAGAGTGGAAAGTACTGTTGTTACCTTACTTGGCGATACCGTTTGGCTGTGTCCCCACCCAAATCTCATCTTGAATTGTAGTTCCCATAATCCCCATGTGTCATGGGAGGGACCCAGTGGGAAGTAATTGAATCATGGGAGTGGTTACCCCCATGCTGTTGTGATAGTGGGTGAGTTCTCACGAGATCTGATGGTTTTATAAGGGGCTTTTCTCCCTTTGCTCGGCACTTCTCATTGCTGCCACCATGTGAAGAAGGACGTGTTTGCTTTCCCTTCACCATTATTGATTGTAAGTTTTCCAAGGCCTCCCCAGTTATGCTGACCTGTGAGGCAATGAAACCTCTTTCCTTTATAAATTACCCAGTTTTGGGTCTGTCTGTATTAGTAGGGTGAGAACAGACTAATATACTTGGTCACTATTAACTAGTTCATTAAAAAACAAAAAGCTGATAATACACGACTTACTGAGTGTGCACTTGATAGTATATTGAATAGGATAGTTTTAAGAAAAAAATATGTCATTAGATTTAAATACTAGCATTTACATTGAAATGTCTTTGCTACTGTATTAGAGCTTCCTTCTCTATCAAGTGCAACTCTGAGATTATTAAATTCTGAGTGTCCATTTCCTAAACACTTTGTGTCGTCGATTGCTCTGTAAGATTATTGAGGCCAGGTGACAGTTGTGTGTTTTATATGTGCCCAGTGACTCTTAAAATTGGGAGATTTTTCTGTTTTTACCAGCCTCTCTCAAATCTGATATTAGTATATTACTAGGATCAGTTGTCAGCTCCGTCAACAAAGTGTTAGCCAGAAATCAAATATTTAATGTAAGTGTAGGCTGTTAGAATGTGGCAGAAAAAGTAATTCATGCTGGACCTTCACTGGTGGACAGGTGTGTGAAAGCGGGTAACTTTCCTCCCCTGTGTTCTCTGTCCAGTGCCTTAAATGTTCTTTGGCAAAGAGGACAGCAAATAAGTTATTTAAGAAGCTAGGACTTGATAACAATATGATCATTTCTTCAAAATTTAGATATGTGTACTTTGAGCAGATATATAAGGCAGGTGGTCATACTATTTTGTTACTGTACTCTGTTTAGCTTTCTAATACTTTGTTCATTGTGTAATAGCATTTTGAGAACTTTTTATGCTGTATTTGATCATAAACTTTTTTCGTTAAACATGTAATTGAAGGTAATTTCCATAGAAATTAATCGTGATCACTATATAATGCCTGAGAATTAAAGGCTATTAAATATGTTAACTCTCTTACCGTGCTACAGAATAATAAATCTCTCAGAAATGTTAGATCTTAATTACAGAGTCAGAAAGGATATGTTTTCTATTCAAAATGTTTTAAAGTTATTTACTGTATTATGTGTTATGACTGTAGTGTTTCTTTTTCTCTCCTTTTAAGATGTGTTGATTACAGAGAATGTGAAAAAAATAGAAGGAAAGAAGGGTGAATTGGATAGCTAGGAGAGAGGGTGAAATTAGATGATGAAGTAGGAACTTTAGGTCAGTGGGGCATCTCTACTGCCGGATGCTTTGCTGTGAAAAGCATAGCAGTGGGGGAGGAGGCCTGAAGCTCCTAATGCTCATAGGAATTAAAGTGGACATTTTATTACAATTAATGATTTTAAAGCTCAGTTAAGATTTGTTTCACACGTAATTCTAAAGACCATTGCTATTTTATAATATAAATAAAAATAGCTTCAGCCCTTATTGGCTTGTATAATTGAGGCATGTAGAAAAAACTACAACATAATGC
The DNA here is from genome assembly GCF_000001405.40 of Homo sapiens. Taxonomy (NCBI): domain Eukaryota; kingdom Metazoa; phylum Chordata; class Mammalia; order Primates; family Hominidae; genus Homo; species Homo sapiens. The sequence goes on from NC_000018.10 coordinate 79,142,767, forward strand.
ATATAAAAGTTTTGATATATCCAAATCTTTAGGAACAGTGTGATACTACTGAAATACAGCTGCTTTAAGAGGTATTTGGGAAATACGATCTTTTAATAAGTTGGATATGGGTCTAAAAGTCAGTGTAACGAGTGTGATGTTAGTTTTTGATAGCTGTCAACATAAACTGAATGTAAAAGGAAGGAACATTTTCCCTTGTTAGGACAGTAATTACAAAAATGTAAAAATTAACACACAAGGCCATTGCTAGTCTTAAAAGAGAGTGAGACAGGGAGAGAGTGAGGAAGTGAGGGAAAGAGGTTGGGAGAGGCCCAGGAAGAGAAAGAGGGGCAGAGACAGACAGAAAGGGAGGAAGGGAGGGAATGAATTTGCCTGTTTTGTTACGTGTGTCTCAAATTATGGGTGCAACATTCATCTACTCTACATCATATTATACATGATATTTAAGTATATATGAAACTTTGTCAACGACTATTCTACATTAGATGTTTCGTAGATAAGAATTTATTCACATAGAGAAATCACTTTTAGTAATAAAGTTTTAGATATAACTTTTTCACTCTTCTCCTGTGTTGGTAAAGCTATTGATAGAGGGTGATTTTACATATAATTTGCTTTATTTCTTTTTTGGTCAGTTATGTGCTAATTAATGCCATTTATGATATTAACTTAAGGATTTTTACATCTCTGTGTTAAGTTTTAATGCTGAGATCATTTAGTAATATTTCTGATCATTGTTGACTTGGAACTGAAACAATTACAAAACATGGGAATAATCTTCTGAGTGTAGTCCCCTTTTAAATTACTACGAAGAAATTCTCCCTCTGTTTTTATTGGGAGATAAAAAATTATTTGTGTTTGGCAGTTTACTAAGAGAAGTTAATTATTAGTGACTGTCTGAAAGTACAAGTATAGGGAAATTTCTAAAGTTTTTTTTTCTGTAGCTTATTTCTAAAGTAATTATTTTTTAATTGAAAGTTGAACTTGGGTGTGCTGTTGTTTCCTTGAGTTGACTGTACTTCTTCTTTTTTTAAGGTAAAGTGCAAGTTAAGAGTTCAGACATACAAGTTGGAGACCTCATCATAGTGGAAAAGGTTGATGATTTTTTAATATATTTTAGACCTATGTATGCTAGTTATTAATGTTTAGCCTGATTATAAGTAACTTCTGAATTTGAAAGAAATTGAGACATGTATTTTGAATCATAATATCCTTGTGTAAGATTTGTTGTATGTGAAGAAAAATCTAGATTTTTGTATATTGTTTTGCTAAAGTATATTTCAGTGTGTGCAGGCAAAGTCATATTTTTTCTGAAATAAGATGGTTAACTGCTTAATGTTGCATTATCAAGATTATTTTATATCATCACAGAATTGTATTCAAACCTGTTCATAATACTGTGCTTCAGTTTTCAGAACTTCCTCCTACAGGGATAATCATCCCTCAATATCCATGAGAGGGTAGTTCCAGGACCCCACCAAGGATACCAAAATCCACAGATGCTGAAATTTCTTATATAAAATTGAATAGTCTATGCATCAATAAATCCTCTGTATGCTTTAAATTAGTGGTCCCCAACCTTTTCAGCACCAGGAACCAGTTTTATGGAAGACAATTTTTCCATGGACCAAGGTTCAGTGGGCTTGGTTTTGGGATGAAACTGTTCCACCTCAGATCATCAGGCATTAGATTCTCATGAGGAGTGTGCAACCTAGGTCCCTTGCGTGTGCAGTTCACAATAGGGCTCTTGCTCCTGTGAGAATCTAATGCTGCTGCTGATCTGACAGGAGGCGGAGCTCAGGAGGTCATGCTCGCTTGCCCTCCCCTCCCCTCCTGCTGTGCAGCGCCATTCTTGAAAGGCCCGGGGTTAGGGACCTCTGCTTTAAATCATCTCTAGTTGATTTATAGTACTTAATACAATGCAAATGCTATCTAAATAGTTATACTGTCTTTTTTTATTTTTGTTTTATTCTTATTTTTATTTTTTTTCTGAATATTTTCTCTCAATGCTTGGTTGAATCCCCATCTATGGAACCCGTGGATACAGAGGGCCAGCTGTAGTTATATTACACATAATTATTGGATATAATTCATACAGTTAAAAAATTTAAGAGGGAAAAGTGAATAGAAGTAAAAGCATTACAAAAGAAGAAGTTTAGATCAGTGTACGAAGAAGCTATAAGAAAAACATCAAAGGTCCAACGTGGAGATTGTCAGGGCTGCTGGCGGTGTGGAGAGTGACTGAAGGTGCAAGCTGCATGTCGGGGGAGCTGGCGGTGTGCAGAGTGACTGAAGGTGCAAGCTGCATGTCGGAGCTGGCGGTGTGGAGAGTGACTGAAGGTGCAAGCTGCATGTCGGGGGAGCCGGCGGTGTGCAGAGTGACTGAAGGTGCAGGCTGCATGTCGGAGCTGGCGGTGTGCAGAGTGACTGAAGGTGCAAGCTGCATGTCGGGGGAGCTGGCAGTGTGGAGAGTGACTGAAGGTGCAAGCTGCATGTCGGGGGAGCTGGCGGTGTGCAGAGTGACTGAAGGTCCAGGCTGCATGTCGGGGTTGCTGGCGGTGTGCAGAGTGACTGAAGGTGCAGGCTGCATGTCGGGGGAGCTGGCGGTGTGCAGAGTGACTGAAGGTGCAAGCTGCATGTCGGGGGAGCTGGCGGTGTGCAGAGTGACTGAAGGTGCAGGCTGCATGTCGGGGCTGCTGGCGGTGTGCAGAGTGACTGAAGGTGCAGGCTGCATGTCGGGGGAGCTGGCGGTGTGCAGAGTGACTGAAGGTGCAAGCTGCATGTCAGGGGAGCTGCCGGTGTGGAGAGTGACTGAAGGTGCAGGCTGCATGTCGGGGGAGCTGGCGGTGTGCAGAGTGACTGAAGGTGCAGGCTGCATGTCGGGGGAGCTGGCGGTGTGCAGAGTGACTGAAGGTGCAGGCTGCATGTCGGGGGAGCTGGCGGTGTGCAGAGTGACTGAAGGTGCAGGCTGCATGTCGGGGGAGCTGACGGTGTGCAGAGTGACTGAAGGTGCAGGCTGCATGTCGGGGGAGCTGGCGGTGTGGAGAGTGACTGAAGGTGCAGGCTGCATGTCGGGGGAGCTGGCGGTGTGCAGAGTGACTGAAGGTGCAGGCTGCATGTCGGGGGAGCTGGCGGTGTGGAGAGTGACTGAAGGTGCAGGCTGCATGTCGGGGGAGCTGGCGGTGTGCAGAGTGACTGAAGGTGCAAGCTGCATGTCAGGGGAGCTGCCGGTGTGGAGAGTGACTGAAGGTGCAAGCTGCATGTCGGGGGAGCTGGCGGTGTGCAGAGTGACTGAAGGTGCGGGCTGCATGTCGGGGGAGCTGGCAGTGTGCAGAGTGACTGAAGGTGCGGGCTGCATGTCGGGGGAGCTGGCGGTGTGCAGAGTGACTGAAGGTGCGGGCTGCATGTCGGGGGAGCTGGCGGTGTGCAGAGTGACTGAAGGTGCGGGCTGCATGTCGGGGGAGCTGGCGGTGTGCAGAGTGACTGAAGGTGCGGGCTGCATGTCGGGGGAGCTGGCGGTGTGCACAGTGACTGAAGGTGCAAGCTGCATGTCGGGGGAGCTGGCGGTGTGCAGAGTGACTGAAGGTGCACGCTGCATGTCGGGGGAGCCGGCGGTGTGGAGAGTGACTGAAGGTGCAGGCTGCATGTCGGGGGAGCTGGCGGTGTGGAGAGTGACCGAAGGTGCAGGCTGCATGTCGGGGGAGCTGGCGGTGTGGAGAGTGACTGAAGGTGCAGGCTGCATGTCGGGGGAGCTGGCGGTGTGCACAGTGACTGAAGGTGCAAGCTGCATGTCGGGGGAGCTGGCGGTGTGCAGAGTGACTGAAGGTCCATGCTGCGTGTCGGGGGAGCTGGCGGTGTGCAGAGTGACTGAAGGTCCATGCTGCATATCGGGGGAGTGCATTCGGAGTGTTCTCATCTGTCTCATCCCTGACCACGTGAGTACGCAGGACACCTGTGTCTGTGTTAAGGGAGTTCGTTCCTAAGTGCTCTCATCTGCCTACTTCCATGACTGTGTGAGTAAAAAGGGCTCAGGTCACACACAAGAAGGAAGAAATTGGAAACCCAGGAACACATATCAGAGGAAACCAACTGAAAACAAATAATAAAATGCAGACGTACGTTCTAATGGTCTAAATACGAGACAGAATGGATAAAAAACAAAAAAACCAAGACGCATTTCTATGTTGTGTGCACGAAAGTCTCTTCAAATACAGTGACATAGATAGGATGAAAGTAAAAGGATAGAAAAATAGATACAATGTAAAATTAAACAAAAGTAGTAGGAGCTATGTTAATGTCCAAGAAAGTGTACTTCAGAGTGAAGAAAATTAACACAGACAAAAAGAGATGTTATACAACAATAATAGGATTAATCCATCAGGAAGATACAATGATCATAAATTGTTACTCACCAAACAACAGTTCCATAAAATTCGTGAATCAACAAGTGTCAGAGCTGAAAAAAGTAGGCAAGTCCAGTTACAAGTGGTTACTTCAGCACCACCCTTCAGGCATTGGATAAAAGTAGGGGATAGACGCTCCGCAGTGATGTGGAAGATTTGCATAGGCAGCAGGAGTTGCCTAGCATGCATAGACCACCGTACCTGTCAGTAGGAGAGAACACATTTATTTCAAGTGTCTATAGAACATTCACCAAGATAAGCCATTTTCTGTACCATAAACCTCAACAAATTGAAAAGAATTGAAATCACACAGAGTGTGTTCTCTCACTGTAATAGAATTGTTAAAAATCAGTAACCAAGGCAGCAGGAAAACTCTAAAACGTGGAAAGTGAACAGCACACTTTGAATTAATTTATAGGATAGGTAGTCTCAAGGAAACAATACATACAGCTGAATAAAAGTGAAAATTCTGCATTCTGGAATAAGTGGGATGCGTGTAAGGGCACTGCTGGGAGGAATTCTGTAGCATGAAACTCCTGTGGGGAAACAAGCAGAGGTCTTGGGTCAGTAATCTAAACCCCTACTGCAAGAAATTAGGAGAAGACAGCAAAGTTAAACCAAGGCAAGCAGAAGGAAGGGAATAATAAAGATACAAGTAGAAGTCAGTAAAATGGAAAATAGGAAGACAAGATAGAAAATCAATCAATACAAAAGCTGGTTCTTCTAAATAAGTTAATAAAATTGATAGACCTTTAGCAAGGAAGACTGATCAAAATAAAAAGTGATGTCACAAATCACCAGTATTAGTAATGAAATAGGGGCTTTCACTATAGATCCTGCAGCCATTAAAAAGACAGTTATGAAATACTACAAACACCTTGATGCTCATAAATAGAAGAAATGGACAAATTCTTCTGAAACCATAAAGTATAAGAACTCAGTCAAAATGAAATAGACAATATCAGTAGTCCTGTAGCCAATAAAGAAGCTGAATTAGTAATTTAAAGCTCTAGGAAGGAAATACCTAGGTCCAGGAGAATTCCTTAAAACCATTACAGAAGACTTAGCATCAACTTTGCACAGTTATTTTCAGAAAATAATTGAGAATGGTACACTACCCAACTCATTTTATGAGGTCAAGAATATCTTTATCTCAGTACCAGAAAAAAGTACAATAAAAGAAAACTGCAGCCCAGTTGGTATCAGCAGTATATAAAGAAGAGTAATACATCACAACCCAGTACAGGTTATTCCAGGTGTGTAAATGTGGTTCAGCATTCTAAAATCAAGCAGTGTAATCTACGCTATCAACAGAATAAAGAAAAATCACACAATCAGTTGTTGCAGGAAGACCATTTGACTTAACCCAACACTCATTCATGATAAAAACTCTGAGCAGGTTGGATTAGAGGGACAGTAACAATATCTTGTTTAAAAAGAATCTATAAAATACTTAATGGTGTAAGACTGAATGCCTCCTCTCTGAGACTGGCGACAAGGATGTTTGCTGTTACTGTTACTCAATGGCACTTCTAGTCTGTAAGGCAAGAAAATAAAAGATGGATTAGAAAAGAAATAAAAATGTCTCAATTTGCAGATGACATAACTACGTATACATGTACATAAATACATATACATATATGTTGAAAACCCCAACGGATCTATAGAAAATCTCCTGGAACTAGTGAGTTCAACATCGTGTCAAGTTATAAGATTGATGCACAAATATGAACCTCATTTTTATATAATAATGAAAATGTGGGCACAGAAATTAAAAATGCAGTACTCTTACAGTCATTGCTATGAAAATGAAATCTATGCTGAAACTTACAATGTGTTGATAAAAGTAATCTAAGAAAACATAAGTAAATAGACCCATCTCTTTTCGATTGGAGCATTCTGCATTCCAGTTTTCCCAAAATTGTTTTGTACACTTAATACCATTCCTATCAAAGTCTCAGCAGGGTTTTTTTCTTCTTATTTTTAAAGACATAGATCATCTTACTCTAAAACTAATTCGGAAAGGCACAGGTGTAGAACAGCTAAACCAACTTTGACAAGGAAAATAAAGTGAGAGGAATCACCCTTGATGTGAAGGCATATTGCGTAGTTACATTAGTCAACATAGTGTGGAAGAAGGATAGAAACAAAGGTTAACAAAACATTATAGAGAAACCAGAATTAGACAAAGGTGTGAAAACAATTAAGTGGAGAAAAGGTAGCCTTCTCAAATGGCGCTGGGCATCCTGAGGTTTAAAAAAAAAGATCATGGACTTAATGTAAAATGTGAAACTGCAAAACTTTTAGAAAAAAAAAATATTTAGAATCTAGGAATAGGAAAATATTTCTTAGACTTGATACCAAAAGGACAATGTGTAAAAGGAAAAATTGATAAATTGCATATCATTAAAATTAAAAATGTGTGCCTTGTGAAAACCATGTGAATACAATGAAAAGCTACAGATGGAGAAAATATTTGTAAACCATATATTCAACAAAGATTTCTGTCTAGAATATATAAAAACTCCTAAAACTTAACAGTAAAAAAAAAAAAAATTTGAAATTAGAAAATGAGCAAAAGATTTCAAGAGACATTTTGACAAAGATTTACAGATAGAAAATAAACACATGGGCCAGGCACAGTGGCTCACACCTGTAATCCCAGCACTTTGGGAGGTCGAAGGGGACGGATCACAAGGTCAAGAGATCAAGACCATCTTCGCCAACATGGTGAATCCCTATCTCTACTGAAAATATAAAAATTAGTTGGGTGTGGTAGTGTGCACCTATAGTCCTAGCTACTTGGGAGGCTGAGGCAGGAGAATCGCTAGAACCCGGGAGGCAGAGGTTGCAGTGAGCCAAGATTGCGCCACTGCACTCCAGCCTGGTGACAGAGCAAGACTGTATCTCAAAAAATAAAAAAATAAAAATAAACACATGAGCAGGAATTCAACATCATTAGTCATCAGGAAATGCAAATTAAAACACAATGAAATATCAGTATGCATCTATCAGAACAGCTAAAATGAAAAAATGGTGACAATACCAAATATTGGAAACAATGTGAAGAAGCGGATCACTTGTATATTGCTTGTGGAAATACAAATAATACAGTTATCCTGGAAAATCGCTGGATAGTTTCTTAAAAAAAAAAACTGTAACTATCATACTACCCAACAGTTGCACTCCTGGACGTTTATCACAGAGAAATGTTAAATTATGTTGATTCAAAAAAACCTGTGCAGGAATGTCTGTATCTACATTATTCACAGTAGCTCAATTCCAGAAAGTCCATATATCCCAGGTGGGTGACTGGTCAGAGAAGTAGCTGTGCGTTCACACCGTGGCATGTGGTGTTAGGAGAACACAGGGCTCCTTGCTCTTGTGGTGCCCCTAGTTTTGAGGGGAAGCAAAAAGAAACAAAAAGTGTCCATAATTATTTGAAATTATCTAGTTTGTTTATGAGTACTCCATAGAAAATAAGACAGAATAAGGACATAAAGAGTCTGAATATGACATTTTTAAAAATACTTTTAAAGGCCGGGCATGATGATTCATACCTGTAATCCCAGCACTTTGGGAGGCCAAGGCGAGAGGATCACATAAAACTAGGAATTTGAGACGAGCCTGGACAACATAGACCAAAATTTAAAGAATTAGCCAGGCACAGTGGCATACATCTGCTGTCCTAGCTACTTGGGAGGCTTAGGGAGGAGGATTGCTTGGGCCCGGGAATTCAAGGCTGCAGTGAGCCATGATCATTGTTGAAACGTATTAAAGAGACCAAAGTAAATGTAAGACAGTTCATGCCCATGGTTAGAAGTATGTTATTCAAAAGGCAGTGTTCCCTAAATTGATCTGTAGATTCAGTGTTACCCCTCTCAAAATCCCAGTTGATGTCTTTGCAGAAATTGACAGGCTGATTCTGAAATTCATAGGGACATTGAAGTGACCCAGAATGGCCAAAACAATTTTGAAAAAGATGGACAAACTTTGAATACTCGCATTTCACTATTTCAAAACTTAATGCAGATTTACAGTAATCAGCATTTACAGGAACTAGCATTACATTGAGAATCCAGAAATAAACTCAGAAATTTATGGTTAATTGATTTTTGGCAAGAGTGCCTAGAAAATTTACCGAGGTGGGAGTGTGTTTGGGCAGGTGCTTTTTTGGCCCCATGTTCTTTATGAGATACATCCATGTTGTTGTGTGGTTGTTACCCACCCATTTGGGTGTTATATAGTGTGGTTTTTATCTGTTTTCCTGTCGATGGGTTTTTAGGTTACATCTAAGTTTTGCCCATCATGAAGGATACTTTTGTGTCATATTTGACTATATTTCTTGGTGCATACATCCACACATTGCTGTTGCAGGTGTGCCTAGGAGTGGAGCTGCTGTGTTTTGGGTTATGCAGTTCCGCTATGGTAGACCCTGCACGTGGTTTTGCAAAGTGGTGTACCAAATTCTACTCCAATCAGCGTGCCTTGGCATGTTTGCCAGCATGTGCATTTTCAGCCTTTTAAAATTAGCATTTCTGATATGTATGTAGAAGTGTTTTTTTTTTTTTTTATGAAGTTCTGGGATACATGTGCAGAACGTGCAAGTTTGTTACATAGGTATACACATGCCATGGTGGTTTGCTGCACCCATCAACCCGTCGTCTACATTAGGTATTTCTTCTGTTGCTATCCCTCCCCTAAACCCAGAGTGAGCAGGCAACCTACAGAATGGGAGAAAATTTTTGCAATCTGTCCATCTGACAGAGGGCCAATATCCAGAATCTACAAAGAACTTAAACAAATTTACAAGAAATAAAACAACCCCATCAAAAAGTGGGCAAAGGATATGAACAGACGCTTCTCAAAAGAAGACATTTATGCAGCCAACAAACATGAAAAAAAGCTCATCATCATTGGTCATTAGAGAAAAGCAAATTAAAACCACAATGAGACACCATCTCACGCCAGTTAGAATGGCAATCATTAAAAAGTCAGGAAACAACAGATGCTGGAGAGGATGTGGAGAAATAGGAACGCTTTTACACTGTTGGTGGGAGTGTAAATTAGTAGAAGTGGTTTTAATGCATATTTCTATGAAGTCTAATAAGATTCAATACTTTTTCATATGATTTTGTGTGTGTCTGTCTTTTATATGACAAGCCTGCTAAAATCTCTTGGCATTTCTCTTCTGAGTTATTCTTTCCTTTCTTATCAGTTTGTGGGCTTTTATGTACTCTGGTTTGGAGTCTTTTGTTAGTTATATATGCGTTGCAGATATCTTCTTTCCTGGCAGGCTGTGTTGAACAGAAATTCTTAAGTTTAATGAAATCTGCTATTAATCTTCATTTAAGGTTAGTTTTTTAAGACAATTTTTGTTGATGGTCTTTATTAAGCATCCTTACCTCTCAAAAAGTCATGAAAATATTCTTGTCATGTTTGATGAATGACGACAATTCAGTGGGGAAAGAACTTTTTTTTTCTCTTTTAGGCATTTTATTGTTTTGGCTTTCACATTTAGAGCTGTAATTCTAGATAGATTTTTGTGTTTACATTGAAGTCGAGGTCAGGTGTCGTCTCCCATCATCCCCTGACGGTACTGGGTTTTCTCAGCGCTATTGATTGAAAACACAATTATTTCCTCACTGATTGGCAGTTTCATCTTTCTCATAGTGTCCCTATATATGTGGACCTATTTTTGGACATCTAGCTTTGTATTGGTATAATCGTCTATCTTGGTGTAATCTCATCTTTTCTTAACTACTCTAGTTTAATCTAGTTTTATTAGGTTGTACAGTTAATCCTCACATTTAATTTCTCTCAACGATATTTTATAGTTTTTTATGTAGAGGTCTTGCACATCTTTTATTGGTTTCATGCTAATATTAGTTTTTTTCCCCTAGTGTTAGAAAGAAATAGCTCTATCCAATAACATAGCTTTCTTCAGCTTTAACATGTTACCTGTTGACTGACAATCCATTTACCATTTATTATCCATTTATTTACCATGGGTAGATAAGTCTTTACTTAGGTCTCAAAAATCATACATAATTCATGACATTATGTGACGTATTCTTAATACAATTATATATTTTTTCTTTAGACTGATATAGCTTTCCCAGTTGATAGAACTATTAGTGATAATAATTAAATGTATGAATAGTGACTTGTTAGAGTTTTTATATGCCATAAAATGTCTTTGAGTTTTTCTGTGTCATGAAAGAATATCTCCTCAAATCTGTGGGGTTTTGCTTGTTGGCTTGTTCAGTCATAGATTTATTCTTTCACATCTATTAAGTGTTTTGTGTATGATGTGCTCTGTTTTGTGGGCATTGCAGGACCACAGTCCTCCTCACTTTCCAGGGCCATTTAGTCTAATAGGGAGGACATAATTTTTTATAAGGCAATACCTGCTGTGTTACATGTACAGACTAACAGAGGCCACAGAAATGGCAATATTTAACGTTTTTTTCAGACATAAAGCTTTTTTTTTTTTTTTGAAACAGGGTCTCCCTCTGCTTGCCAGGCTGAAGTGCAGTGGCATGAACATGGCTCACTGCTGCCTTGACCCTCCTGGCTCAAGCCATCCTCAGCCCTCAGCCTCCCTAGTAGCTGAGACCACAGGCATGCCACCACACTGGCTGCTTTTTAAACTTTTTGTAGAGGTGGAGCTTTGCCATGTTGCCTCGTCTGGTCTCAAACTCCTGTCCTCAAGTGATCCTCCCGTGTTGGCCTTCCAAAGTACTGGGATTACAGGGGTGAGCCACCATGGCTGGCTGACATGCAGCTTTTTTTTTTTTTTTTTTTGAGATGGAGTCTCGCTCTGTCACCCAGGCTGGAGTGCAGTGGCACAATCTCCACTCACTACAAGCTCTGCCTCCCGGGTTCACGCCATTCTCCTGCCTCAGCCTGTAGCTGGGACTACAGGTGCCTGCCACCACGCCCAGCTAATTTTTTGCATTTTTTTTTTTTTAGTAGAGACAAGGTTTCACCATGTCAGCCAGAATGGTCTCGATCTCATGACCTCATGATCCGCCTGCCTCGGCCTCCCAAGGTGCTGGAATTACAGGCGTGAGCCACCGGACATGAAGCATTTTTGAAGTCACTACTACATACCATTATATGGCTCACTTATGGGGAAAAAAATCTTAGCATTTCAATTAAAATGTGAATTAAAATATCAATTTTTTATATACAAATTGTGTTAGTTATTTCAGCACAATTTTAATTATATTATCTTAGTTGTTTTCATAGGTATTTCTTATTTGGAATGGAATTGTGTTAATTTGTAAACCTGCATATAGATAATTAATCTTTTATAATGCTCTTTGCAGAATCAAAGAATTCCATCGGACATGGTGTTTCTTAGGACTTCAGAAAAAGCAGGTATTTTTACATTTAAAAAAACTTACCTAACTGTATATTATTGCAAAAACAAATTTACAAATATCTATACAAGGAAAAACTGTTTTCCTTACATTTTTAGTATGCTGCAGCAATGAGGAATATTCTGTAGAAATGCTATTTTACTTTGAATGTAAACACATGAAACCTCTGAAAAGAGAGTCCACATTTTCATATGAAGCTACTTTACAAAGTAAAAACACATGCTGCAGTTACATTGCTGATGATTTAGTATTTTCATAGTTTAATTTTCACTTTAAAAGGTAAAAGTAAAAAGCATCCTATAAAAATTTTCTTTGAATGACAGTATATTGAATTCATTAACATCTAAATTATATTTAATTGTCAATATTTAAAAGGGTGTTTGCTGTGAAATATATTTGTTTAAAAATAATCCTTTCAGGACCTAGGTATCCAATGAGTGTTTTCATTCAGATTCATACTGACATCTAATTAAATGATGATGTTACTTAAAATTTGATGGCTATTTTGCATTTGCAGTTTTATTCAGCGATTCAGCAAATACTTATTTACCACTTATTATTAATATGTACCAGGCACTAATTGTTGCTTAAGATACAAAAGGGAGCAACTTTCAAAGAGTTTATAGTCTTGGTGGAAGTGCATACATTGACAGCAATAATCCTAACTGTATAGGTACTGTACTCAGAAATGTTTGGGGCTATGTGGGAACAGATAATTTTGCCTATTGAGTTGATGCAGACTTTGCAGAAAAAATGCTGTTTATATGACCTGAGCTTTCAAAAATACTAAGATGGAAAAGAGGTAATTGGATAGAAGCCTAGTGTCGCCAAATAGAAAATCTGTTGGAAATTGGGAAACCTGAGTTTAAATCACTTTGGCCCATTTCTAGTTATGTGACCTTGCCAAGTGGGCACACGTTTTCATCATCTCTGAAACGAGAGAGGTATATCAAGTAATATGCAGAGTTTCTTTCTGCCCTACATTCCTGACGTTATTTATAAATGAACAGTAGTTTTTATAGGAAGCTAAGCATGTTATTATTTTTATTAAAAACTCATCATATATCTTATTTCTAATGTGAAAACTGTAGAAAGGACTGTTAGATTTCAGAGTTGTTGATTTAATTTTTCTGTATTTATAAACAACATACTTTTAGAAGGGACATTTTTGTCAAAGAAGAAACATGTTTTCTCTCTTTTTTTTTTTTTTTTTTTTTTTTTTTGAGATGGAGTCTCGCTCTGTCGCCCAGGCTGGAGTGCAGTGGTGCGATCTCCGCTCACTGCAAGCTCCGCCTCCTGGGTTCATGCCACTCCCCTGCCTCAGCCTCCCGGGTAGCTGGGACTACAGGCGCCCACCACCATGCCCGGCTAATTTTTTGTATTTTTAGTAGAGACGGGGTTTCACCATGTTAGCCAGGATGGTCTCGATCTCCTGACCTTGTGATCCACCCACCTCGGCCTCCCAAAGTGCTGGGATTACAGACGTGAGTCACTGCACCCGGCCAAATGTTTTCTCTTTCTACCAGTTGTAGTTACATGGTTACTTACATTGTGAGATGAATTCTGCCATTAACGGGAGATCAGCTCTACCCAATAATCAAGTGACTTCTGTATACTTGATACGTTTATTATGTGTTGTTTCATGTGAGCTTTTATTTTCCCAACTGTGGCAGGGACTGGCTGGCTACTTCCAGCCCATTTCTCTTTCCTCTTGGAAACACAGCTGGACTCCCTTTCCTGCCTAGTTAGCTGGTCCCATGTCACTGAACTCTGGCCAAAGAGGGAGAGCCAAAAGTCTGTATGCCACATCTAGCCCTGCGCCTAACCTCTCCTGCAGGCACCTGCTCATCTCTTCCGCCTTGCTGGTTAGATGGCCATGACTAGGGCAGTCTTGGAAACTGCTTGTTAAAGATGCCAAAGCTTCCGTCAGCCTGGTGTCCTGAATGAATGTATGGAACAGAGCCCCTCCCCTTCCATTATCAAATGGACTCTATATAAACTATTGTTAAGCAGTTCCGTTTGCAAGGTTAATCTTTTATGATAGCTGGTGTTTCCTTAACTGATTTCTCATCCTAATTGCTCTTCATTCTGGAAGCCTTCTTACTAATTCTCTTTGCAAGTGGCATTATTTGCTTTTGAAGTGTTACTGCTTATATTTTGAAGCCATCATTTGCCAATATTGGAGTATAATGTGATCTTTTTTCAAGTAATTCTGCTCTTCTTAACAATAATGTAATGAGACCATTTAGGTGCTTTTGCAGTCCAGTGGGTAGGCTGCCTTCATAGTTTGTCACATGTGAATGACTCATCTCATAGTGCATTGCTTCACAGCACAGACTGCTGCGTGGGAGAAGTCTGCAGGCCCTCCAGTCCCCGGAAAGGCTCATCTCCTCAACCACAGACAGAGGCCAGAATACATAACCTTTGATCATGGGCGTGTAGTCCTTCTGTGTGTTGCTGGGTTTGATTTGCGACTGTTTTGTTAAGGCTTTTTTTGCATCTGTTTTTAAAGGATGTATTGGACTGGGCGTGGTGGCTCACACCTGTAGTCCCAGCACTTTGGGAGGCTGAGGTGGGTGGATCACTTGAGGTCAGGAGTTTGAGACTAGCCTTGCCAACATGGCAAAACCCCGTCTCTACTAAAAAAAATACACACACACACACACACACACACACACACACACACACACTAGCCAGTCATGGTGGCACAGGCCTATAATTCTAGCTACTCAGGACACTGAGGCAGGAGAATCACTTGAACCTGGGAGGCATAGGTTGCAGTGAGCCGAGATTGTGCTAATGCACTCCAGGCTGGGTGACGAGAGTGAAACTCCATCTCAAAAAAAAAAAAAAAAAAAAAAAAAAAACATGTATTGACTTATAGTTTTGGTTTTGCTTTTTCTTGTGTTATTTTTGTTTTGGTGTCAGGGTAATACTGGCCTTAGTGGAATGAGTTAAGAAGTGTTCTTTCTTCTATGTTTTGGAAGAGTTTGTGAAGAATTATTATTAATTCTTTGTTAAGCGTTTGATAGAATTCGCCCATGAAACCCTGTGGGACTGGACTTTACTCTGATTTTTAAAAAATTACTAATTCAGTTTCTTTACTTGTTACAGGATTATTCAGATTATCTATTTCTTTCCAAGTCAGTTTTGGTAGTTTGTGTCTTTTTCATAATTTGTCCACTTTATCTAGGTTATCTAATCCACTTTATCTAGGTTATCTAATCTGCGGCCGTGCAGTTGTTTTTAGGATTTCCTTACAGTCCTTTTTATTTCTGTCAGGTTGGTAGTAATGTAACCTCCTTTGTTCCTGATTTTAGTAATTGAACTCTTCTCTCTTTTTTTCTTGGTCAGTCTAGCTTAAAGGTTTGTCAATCTTGTTGATCTTTTAAAATAACCAGCTTTTGGTTTTAATGATTTTTCTCACTTGTTTTTCTGTTCTTTATTTCATTTATTGGTTTCTGTTTTTATTGTTTTCTTCCTTCCACTTATTTTCTGTTCAGTTTAGTCTTCTTTTTGTAGTTTAAGGTGGAAAGTTAGATTATTTACTTGAGGGTCTTTTTTAGTACAGGTGTTCATAACTACAAATTTCCATCTAAGTACTGCTTTTGCTGTATTTCATGAGGTTTGGCCATACATCTCAAAATTATTTTCTAATTTCCCTTGTGATATCTTCTTTGATTCATTGCTTATTTATTTTTAGTTTTTATTTTTATTTTTATTTTATTTTTGTAGAGACAGGGTCTTGCTTTGTTACCCAGGCTGGAGTGCAGTGACATGATTATAGTTCACTATGATGATCACTGTAACTTTGAACCCCTGGGCTCAAGCAGTTCTCTTGCCTCAGCCTCCCAGGTAGCTAGCAATACAGGCATACACCACCACACCTGGGTAATTTTTAAATTTTGTTGTAGAGACAGGCTGTGTCTGTTGCTGTGTTGCCCAGGCTGGTCTTGACCACCTGGCCTCACGTGATCCTCCCACCTTAGCCTCCCAAAGCACTGGGATTACAGGTGTGAGCCACCTTATCTGGCCTGATTCATTGTTTATTAATGAATATGAATTTCCTCATATTTATACATTTTCTAAATTTCCTTCTGTTATTGATTTCTAATTTCATTCCATTGTAGTTGGAGAACATACTTTATATGATTTCTATCCTTTGAAGTTTATTCACATTTGTGAAAAATGTCCTAACATACTGGGTATCCTTGAGAATATTCTGTATGCACTTGAGGAAAATCTACATTCTGCTCCTGTTGAGTGGAATGTTCCATAGATTTTGTTCTAGGTCTGCAGCATTGTTCAAATCTTCTTTTTTTGTTCATCTTCTATCTAGTTGTCCTATCCATTATTGAATGTGGAGTACTGAAGTTTGTCACTATTTCTCTGTTTTTCCTTCTATTCTGTCAGATTTTGATTCATGTATTTGAAGTTCTGCTGTTAGATGTAATATATTTATGTTTGCTTGGCAGATTGGCCCTTTTATCATTATAAACTGTCTTCAGCCATGCACCTCTCTTTTGGTTACTGTTTGCACCTTTTTTCTGTTGTCATACTTTCTACCTATTTGTGTCTTTGAACACGAAGTGTGTGTCTTGTAGACAGCATGTAATTGCATCATGATTTTTCATTCATTCTGTCAATCTGCTTGTTTAAAAAATCAGCTTTAGTTAGGAAAATTCACATCCAGCAAAATGTATCCATTTAAAATCTTAGCAGGTATGTACACTTGCTAATTATTATTATTCTCCCCATCCAGATGAGCTCCCTTTGCCCTGTTACCCTGCCTGATCAGCTTTACAGCCCTACATCAGTCTCTCCAGTGTCTCTTCTCTCATACCTGGCTGTAGAGTTCCAACTCAGAAGGCCACACAAGCATCTGACTGCAGCTCTGTGAATCAGTAGAGTTCACTGTGTAACCCACAGTGTTCCCGTTGACTAGGCCCATTCCTGAAGGCAGCTTATTCCAGCTTTCTCAGTGTTTCTCCTGTCTGCCTTTACCACCTGTTCATTAACTCTTAGCCATCAACCCTCCCCTCAACCCCGCCACTTTCAGCTACAGCTCCATTGCCTTCTTCCTATAGGCGTTGAAACGTGTCTCTACCCAGTCACCAAAGACCACCCCCAACCCCCAGTGACCCAGCACACCTATCTAGCTACCATCCCGTCTCTGTCCTTTGCTTTGCAGCCAAACCTTTTGAATGAGATGTTTTTCGTCATGACCTCACCCTACATCCCCTTTCTCTGTGAAATTTAAATGGTGTTTCTCAGGATTCTGTCCTAAGCACACCTACATTTGTGATGTACATGTTCTTCCTGGGAAACTGTAACTTCATTCATGGCTTTATATCATCTGATTATACACCAGAGCCTGATGGGAGGTAGGTGGCACACTCAAAAGGTTCCATCGATCTCTGCCTGTTGATTGGAGCCTTTAATCCATTTCTATTTAATGTAATTACTGATAAGGCAGAATTTACATCTGCAATTTTGCTGTTTGTGTTCTGTGTGTCTTGTGATATTTTTGTGTCTTTGTTGCTCCATTACTGCCTTCTTTTGTTTTAAATATTTTCTAATGTGGTGTTTTAATTCCCCATCATTTCTATTATAATGTACTTAAAAAACTATTTTGTTAGTGATTGCCGCAGGGATTTTAACTAACACAGCTCACTCTTAGCTAGGTTTAGTGTTTTTGTTGAATAAATGCTCCTGGAATTCTTTCAAGTCCGGTTATTTTCCAGAGTTCTGAAACAGTTGCTTTTGGCAATTTTCACTAGTCTTCTCATTGCAGTTACACAGAAGTATATTTTCAGAGGTTTTTATACTGCCATCCCTGCTTACTTCACCTACTTATTTATGATTTATTTGTCCTGTTTTACAAATGTGTATCCAGTGTAATGAATAACAAAATGCTTTAATTTGGGAGATGCTATTGTATTAATTGCCCTTTTAACAGTTGTGATAGAAATATGTGGAAGATACTATTCCAAATATGAAAACAGTTTTGGGTAATTAATTAAGTGGAAAAGATTATATAGATTGTGTTAGAAGATAAATTATGAACAAAGTCAAGCACTTTAAAGCTGAAAGGTGTTTAGAAATGTCCACTTTTCAGAAGAGGAATCTGAGGGCTGGAGAATGTAAATACCTTGCTTAACATTATATGACTATTAGCAATTTTATGGGTTTGTTTGTGTTTGTTTGTTTGTTTGTTTGTTTTTTCTCTTTTTGGAGGAGGTCTCGCTTTGTCACCCAGGCTGGAGTGCAGTGGCGCGATCTCGGCTCACTGCAACCTCTGCCTCCTGGGTTCCAGCGATTCTCCTGCCTCAGCCTCCTGAGTAGCTGGGACTCCAGGCACGCCACCACTCCTGGCTGATTTTTGTATTTTTAGTAGAGATGGGGTTTTACCACGTTGGCCAGGCTGGTCTTGTACTTCTGACCTCAAGCGATCCACCTGCCTTGGCCTCCCAAAGTGCTGGGGTTATAGGTGTAAACCACTGAGCCCGGCCACTAATAGCAATTTTGGAAATTCTTCCTCAGCCTCTTAATGTTTCACTGCATCATTTTTAAGCCATAGTAAGACAGAAAAACGTAAATGGAATATTAGAACATGACTCAAATGAGATAATCTATTGTGTTAACCTTGGATAAATAACACTTTCAAATTGATGATGTTTTAAAACATTTCTCTCTAATTTTGTCTTACATTCCATGTTGTAGGGAGAATCACTCTTCATAGTGGAGTAATAATATTTTGAAGGTCGTGGATCCCTTTGAGAATCTTAAGAATTATCACCTCTTTCCTCAGAAAAATGTATACACTGCACAGGCATGCTGGATTTTTTATTGTTTGCATATCCCTGGAGGATTATTGATGGGTTCAAGTTAGGGCCCTGCTGTAGTTTGTTTTAATCTATGCTTCTATTTTCATCCTCAGTTTTATTTTTTCTGTCAAATTTAAATTGTTAAAATAATAGTTACTCAAATGCAGATATTAAGAAGTCAGGGCTGGGCACGGTGGCTCACGCTTGTAATCCCAGCACTTTGGGAGGCCGAGATGGGTGGATCACGAGGTCAGGAGATCGAGACCATCCTGGCTAACATGGTGAAACGCCATCTCTAGAAAAATACAAAAAATTTGCCGGCGTGGTGGCGGGCGCCTATAGTCCCAGGTACTTGGGAGGCTGAGGCAGGAGAATGGCGTGAACCCGGGAGGCGGAGCTTGCAGTGAGCCGAGTTCGCACCACTGCACTCCAGCCTGGGTGACAGAGCGAGACTCCGTCTCAAAAAAAAAGAAGTCAGATTGTTTTTTCATGCTATTTTTCTTCTTATAAAATAGACCAAATAGCTTTCAAGCTATATAAAATTTGTGTTATAATATTGCTTTCAATCAAGAATTCTTAGCTTTAGAAATTCTGTTTATGTGATTTTTAAGTAATTAAAGTTATCTTATTGCCTAGTTGTTTTCAGTAGACTACAAATGTACTGAATTTTTGTATCTACTAACAGTTTTAATACTATTTTATTGCTTTTTAGTTTCAGTTTGAAAAAATCTGATAATACACTGTTTATTATAATTACAATATTTTAAATCTTAGGTATGATGGAAGTCCTAAGTGTTAATATATGCAGCATATCCCAGCTTGAACACTGGCAGCTGGGTGCTTGTCAGTACAGCATGGTGGGTTGCTCATGGCATCGTATTGACTGTGTATTAACACAGAATATTCTGTTGGGCTGTGAGCTGATTGTTTAGAATGTAAATGAAGCTGCTGATGGATCTGGTGACTGATGGCTTAAATTCCAATTAATCAATTACTTCATCACTTTCTTAATTCAGATCAAATATCTCCAGAGTGCACACAATTCTTTTAGTGGTATTAAGAGAAATTAATGCTTTAGAACTAATTTTCATCAATCTCTTATAAATGTCAATATCTTTTTCACTTGTCTCCTAAGTGATGACATTATACTTTAAGTGTTTGGGACATATTATAGTACCTCAGCTGTCTGTCACTTGTTAGTGGGACGGGGTGGTGGTTAAATGACACTGTACTCATCCACATGGTCTCTGTAGTGCTATTCGTCTTGCTACCAGCTTGAAAATTTCATGCAGAGTCATTAAATCGTATGAATGATTTAAAAATTAAGTTTAATGGCAGACAATCTGGTATTATAAATGCAAAGTCAATGCCTATCTTTCTTTTGTTGGCCGTATACCCTAGCCGATCTCTTTCAGAGCTGTTGGATTTGTGAGCTGTTGTAGGAAGTCTACTAATATTACAGGGTAACTTATTATGCGATATGACAGACTCGTGCTCCGACGGTGTCCTGTCAGTTTCTTCAGCACACTTGATGCACCCTCCTATGTGACACATACACGAGTTGATCTTAATTGTCATTAAGCCTGTTGACTCTTGTCAGTTGTATAAAATAAAATCAAGTATTCATAAGCAGTCTGTAATAGGATATAAGCAGGCCAACTTAGTAATACATTTTTTGCTGAGCCTTAACTGGCGTCAGTTTTAGCGAGTGCTTTCTGTTAAAAAATTATTAGATGCAGTTCTTGTGAAATAAGTCAAGCTGGCCATCTTTCTGATTTGCTAGAGTTCATTCTTTCTCTCTTTAAATCACCTCAGTTATTGAAAGGTTAGTATTTTTAACTGTACTTAACTTGAGTAAAAGTAATAACGTTGTTTTTCTCTAAGTTTAAAAAATAGCATATGATTTAACATGAGGCATGGCTTTTTTCTTTAAACAAAGTCAGCTATTTTTTCAGTGTTTAATAAGTTTACAGAAATTTAGATATTTGTTTCACTTTTAGAAACACAGAATACAGGAAATTTATGAGACTCCAGAGATTCTCACTTGTTTTTTTCTTTATGTAATAGAAAATCTAGAGTAGAGTGAATGGCATTGACATCTCACAGATGTGTCAGATAGAGTCTAGAATTTAGTCCATTTTACGTTACTTTAATATTTTATATCAGAACATTCACCCATATATAAAGGGGGAAATTCAATCTAGAAAAAAACTGTAACTTTAAAATAATATGCACTGCAACCTTTCTTGTACTGCTTCTTAGTTGAAACCAGTGAGCTCGTGCAATATATTTTTTTATAATTCTTTTGACAAATAACCCCTAACGGTTTATTTAAATATATGTATGCGTGTGTGTATATATATATGCGTGTATAATATAATATATGTCTCTAAAATCTCTAAAATTAACCTCAATTGTTTAGTTATTTACCTTTAGGAATAGTTGTTTTAATATTTTTATATTTTATTTTCATATTTTATTTTATACACACACACACACACACACACACACACACACACACAGGGGGAGACAGAGACAGACAGACAGACAGAGACAGAAAAGGTCTCGCACTGTCCCAGGCTAGAGTGCTGTGGCTTAATCATAGCTCACTGCAGTCTCGAACTCCTGGGCTCAAGTGATCCTTCCACCTCAGTTTCCCGAGTAGCTGGGACTACAGGTGCTTGCTACCATGCCCCACTAATTTTTTATTTTTTAGTTTTTGTAGAGATGGGGTTTTCTCGTGTTGCCCAAGCTGGTCTTGCACTTCTGGGTCCAAGCCATTCTCACGTCTTGGTCTCCTAAAGAGTTGAGGTTACAGACGTGAGTCACTGTGCCCAGCCCTATATTTTTTAAAGTATATGTAATCAGATGACATTGTCTCAGATATACTTTAATTGATAACGCCAATAACTGGAGAATCTTTTCATGGCTCTTGATCTTTTTGTGCCTTAGACAGGTGGGTTCATGTCTCTGTATTTCCCAGATTCCATTTTAACAATGATAATTCCCATATTACAGGGTACTTAAAAGGATTAAAAATAAAATTGGTGACTGGGCATGGTGGCTCATGCCTGTAATCCCAGCACTTTGGGAGGCCGAGGCAGGCGGATCACGAGGTCAGGAGATCGGGACCATCCTGGCTAACATGGTGAAACCCCGTCTCTACTAAAAATACAAAAAAAAAATTAGCCAGACATGGTGGCGGGCGCCTGTAGTCCCAGCTACTCAGGAGGCTGCGGCAGGAGAATGGTGTGAACCCGGGAGGTGGAGTTTGCAGTGAGCTGAGATCGCGCCACTGCACTCCAGGCTGGGTGACAGAGCGAGACTCCATCTCAAAAAATAAAATAAAATAAAATTGGTGAGGTAGTTACATAGATAGGGCAGATTTAGGCACTGAGTTGCTAGAAGCTATAATTAGTTGAAAATGCATCAGCTAGGAGAGAAAAGCATTTAATATTTGTGTAGAGTAAGAGACCACAAGAATGCTCAGTAGCATGTGGAAATACTTTTAGGAGGTTCAGAGGGGGAAATGAGGGTATTATGGATGTGGATTTGCATGGACATTTTAGTTGTAGAATGTTCTGTGGAAAGGGTGGGCTGGACTAAGCCATGTGAAGATCTGTTCTTACATAATCTACTTTAATGATTTCTCCAAATTTGAGAAACAACTAGCTACCATGATACGAGTTCCCAGTATATGACACTCATGACAGGCTTTCACGTATTTTCCCTGAATTTTACAACATAACTCCAGGGTAAGTCTTATACAGATTAAAAAACTGAGGTCTAACAAGGTCAAGTTATTTGAAAGGGAGCATTGAGTAGTCAGTTACAGGGCTGGTGTTCAGCTTCTGACTGTCTGGCTCTGCCTACTCTGTTATGCCAGTTTGGGATGGAAGCCTCCAGAGCAGGCATTCTCACCTCTACCTAGCACTGTTGGTGCTTTGGGCCCAATATGTCTCTGCTGTGGTGGGCAGGTCTGTCTTCTGCACTGTTGGGTGTTGAGAATATTCTTGTCCTCATTCCACCAGAAGCCAGTAGCATTCTCCTAACTTCCTTTCCAGTTGTGAAAACCAACAGTGTCTCTAGAAGTTGCCAAATGTAAATTGTCCCTAGTTGAAAACCTATGGAGGGCTTTTCATCCATTGAAGAGAATCTCTAAAATTAACCTTACTTGTTCAGTTATTTACCTTTAGGAATACTTGTTTTAATATTTTTCGAGACCTTCTTTCTCAGTGAGAACAGACTGAGTCTGCAGAAATTGAGCCATGGCCTGTTATCTTCCTCTCTACCCCAGCTCCATGTGCAGGAAGCTCTACTCTAAGCCCATGCAGCCAAAAAGTCAGGGGCTCTGTCTTCCTGCACTTCCTAGGCTATGGCTGCAGCCCCACCCAGGAGGGGCTGGCCATGGTTCTTATTTTCCCCAGACTCATGTTGCCGAAGCCCAATTCCTGACAGGCTTGGCCTAGGGCACTAACATAAAGTAACTTAAAGTGGACTATATTCTAGACTCTACCTGGGCTCCTGAGCATTGTATCCCAGTGAGTTCCAGCCCCAGCAGCTTGTAAGGCAGAGGTGACAGTGCTGGAGGGGCTACACCACAACCCCATCCCCAGTGCCCACTTGATGACCTGAGTATCCCTCCTGGTAGAGCTGGCTGCTGTCCTGTCCCCAGCTCCAATGCCATACTCCAGAGGTTCTGCCCAGGGTGAGAGACAGGTCCTAAGTGCTGAGATGTCTGCAGCCTTCCCTACAGACTTTGTTTGAAAAATAGCCTGGCAGAGTTCATTTCTGAGGATGTCGTTGAGAACACTGGAGAGCTTGGTGGCCACCATTTCAGAGGGCAGAAACAGCAACCCAGTCAGAAGCTTCATGGAGAGTCCTAGATCCAGCCTATCCTGGAGCCAGGAGACTGTGAGCATGTGCTAGGCGCTCTCAGAAGCAGCTGCAATGGGACTCGGAGCAAATGTGAAAGGACTCCCTGGGAGATAACAGCCCTGCATGATGCCAGAGCCCACTGACCCAAGGGGCTTACCTACAACCTCTGAGCTGGCCAAATGATGCATGGTCCTCTGTCCCCAAGGTGAGTCCTACAATGCTGAGCTTACACATGACATCACAGGCCTCCCTGTCAGCCTGGAAGATGGTTTTTGCCCAAGATGATGGTCTCAGGAGTCAATGGAGAAGACCTCCAAGCCACCCATCCCTGACTGAACACGGGCAAAGTCGTGAAATCCCTGAATTGTGAGAGGTCTCTAAGCCACACACAGCCAGTGATGAAGCTTGGAAGTCCAACTAGCTAAGCCAGCCTGAGCACCACCTTTTGTCACAGGATCTTTGGGGTGTTGCTTTTCCAGCCACAAACCTCTATGGCCCGTGGAGCCTTTGTCCAAGTTTTGCTTAGGCCTGCTGGGCTCATTCTGCCTCCTTGGCCCAGCAGGCTTTGCTTAGCTTGTGCTGCCGGCCCGGATCCCACGCCTGCCGAGGGTGAGCCCAGAACAGAGTGGCAAGGTGTGTGTGAGCGAGCGTGGGATCTGGCCACTGCACACAGCCAGGCATGCTGGCTGTGGCAGGGCAGGCAGCTCCAGGTGCCGGCTCTGTGTGAGGCTGTGGCCAAATCAGGCGTTCCATAAGCGACTTCCACTGTGGGCACCAGGAAACGTGGCCCTAGGAGGCTTGGAGACGCTAGGAACCGCAGATCCCCAAAGAGGATGTCACAGCCCTGGCTCGGTGAGCTGTTAAGTCTGGGCTCTCTGAAGAGCCACAGATCTTCTCTCCTTCTCATTGCTTGCAATAAGGCGAATGGCAGGGCGTGTTTCTGCCCTGTTTGTGCTACAGCTCTTTCATTCCCACCATTGAGCTGGTCTCAAGTTCTTGTCCGGCATCCAGGAAGAACAAGGTATATGGACAACTAGAGGGTAAGCAAGGCAAAGAGGTGGTTTATTGAGCGACAGTACAGCTCTCAGGAGACGCTAAGTGGGTAGCTCCTCTCCACAGGCAGGTGGTCCCGATGATTGCAGCTCTCAGTGGAGAGGAGACCCGGAGTAGGTAGCTCCTATCAGCAGGCAGGTCGTTCTGTTGAGTGTGCAGCCCTCAGCGGACAGGGGACCTGGAGTGGGTAGCTTTTCTCCGCAGGCAGGTTGGCTTGTGGAGTGTGCAGCCCTCAGAGTAGAGGGGACCCGGAGTGGGTAGCTCCTTCCCACAGCTGGTAGTCCCAATTTCTGTGTGAGTCTGGCCGAAACTCGCTTTTTTTATGAACTTAGAAGGGAGGAAGCGCATGCTGATTGGTCCATGGGCAGCCATGGGCGGGCCTAGAAAAAGCACTATCCGATTGGCTGTATGGTCATCAATGAAGTCCTCACTTCCGGCAGTGGACCTCACTGGGAACTGGCAGCCCGGCCCCGAGGCTTCAGGTTGTTCCTGGCTTGAAGGTAGGGTTTCACAGGGGACCTGCCAATTTTTGCCCAGGAACTTGTGGGACTCCCACCATCAACATGCCATGTATGGTTCCCAGGCTGTTTGTCCCAAGGTTGCCTGCAGGCCTGCCCCGAGCCACCCTCCCGTGCTTGTTGGCGCCCAAAGTCTGGAGAGGGCCAAGCCGGCAGAGTGCCAGGCATGTCAGCACTGCCCTGAGCACATGCATACCTGCCAACTCGGAAGGGGATGGGGATCCTGCCAGCTCCATGGAGCATGCAGCCCTAGGCACACCTCCCTCATTGCAGTCTTCGCAGCCGCCACTCCAGAGGCGCCACTGCTGCCATCACATTGACCAGAAAGTGGTTTACGTGGAGCCAGGAGCAACCTCCGGAAAGCCAAGAAAAATAGAAGGAGACTTGGTGGTGGCATTTCAGCCTGGCGACTGCAGAGTCTGAGCAGGGGGTCCGTGGCTGCATCCTGCGGGGGGATAGATTTCCTAGAGTTCAGCCAGTGACTATAAAAATAAACAAATGAGTATAACAACAAACAACCCAAATAAGTTTTGTTTTTGATTTTGTTTTTTTTTTTTTTACATTTGTGTATTGTAGTTGCAACTGTTCAGGAAGTCAACTCTTGGTTGAAGTGCTGAGGTGGAGGGCTGAGCTATGTGTTCTTGTATAATGGGTTTGGAGTTAGATGGACCTAATCATGGCACTCTTCACTCACTTGGGAGACCTTGGGGTACTTTACCTCTGAGCCTAAAATAGGGACAGTTTTTCCTTCTGTCTCACAGGACATCAGATATTGCAGATAGGCCATGACTGGCACTTCATAAGTAGATGCTTAGTAAATGTCAGTAACCTTCCCCTTTTTGGGGGAGAAAGAAGTGACTTCCCAGTAGACATGTATAACTCCATACATTTTTTGAAGAAGGGGTAGCTGTGGGCAAGTCTGGAGTACAGTATGGAATAAATTCCATTACTCCTTCCTTAATTAGGAGTGCTATGTCTGTTTCTCCCCTGACAGTCTTTGGGAGGTATTTTCTCAATGAGCCAAGCACCCAGTGTGTGCTTGTATTAAATCTCTTCCATGCCTCATTCTTCTCCTTGCCACATTATCCCTGTCCTTCTCTCTTCTCCTCTCCAGCCCCCATTGTTCTCTCTGATCTTGGTCCTTTGGCCTTTGAGGTTCGTGACAGAAAAGAGCATCATGCTTGCAGAGGCAGCATATTTGTGGAGGCAGCGTCCTGCCTCGTTGAGGAGACTTTGAGAAGACCTGATACAGGCTGTTGTTGGTCATCTACTTCCTGTACAGTGGAGGCATTTTTCTATGACGGGTCCCTCAAGGGCTTCCACCCTGTCTCTGGAATGGGACTTTCCGTATCTTCCAAGTGGTGAACAGTGAGTTTTCTTGGTGATTTCTGAGGCTGGGCTATTTGTATGGTCAACCCCATACCATTAATAGGTCCTTCTAGAACCTCTTATTTTCTCTTTCACATTTGGTTGTCTGTCTTTACTTGTTATACTGTCACCTAACACTGTTAAGGTCAGTAGGAAACTTGGTAGCTAGAGTAATGCTTTCAGTATAGTAGGTGTTCAGTAAATATTGGTGAAATATGTGGGAGCTTGCTGTGTGTCACCTGTGTTGAGGAAGAGCCTGGCTGGACTGTGTGAAAGCCGTGAGTCTTCACACAGAGTTTCTGGACTCAGCGTTCCCACGGAGTGTTTTTGGACATTTCCTGTAAAATCTTCATAAAGTCTCCATTTGCTTTCTTCAAGATAAAAGTAAACCTTTTCTTAACATACCTTTTCTTAACCATTATTTAGTTATACATTTGTTAATTATGAATACTTAATAGTATTAGTTTAACCATTTTGAATTATTTTGACCATTATACCGTAGTATTTCAGCTGCTTTATGCATTAGGTGATCTTTATCAGACTTTATTAGATATATAAAAGTTTAGTCATTTCTGTGGGAAGAATGGTTCCTGAATGCTGAATGGCTTAGAAATGACCACAATCAGAAGTTTCAGGCTGTTTACTACATGGCTGTCACCTCTAAGCAGTGAGGAGCTTTGAAAGGCTGTTTACCTATTTTTTCATTTTAACAGTAAATTACAAAGTTATCTTACGACTTCCAGCAAAGTTACAAAATTACCTTACGACTCCCCAATACTTAAAGCCATACTGTCATTACTGTTACTGTGTAAGACCCTTGTCTTTAATGCTTCCGTTTTGCTGCGGTGATCACTTGCAAGCTGACTGAGCTCAGACTGTCTCTTGCTCTGGAGAGGGAAAGGCCAGGAGCTCTGTTCTGGCTGACCTTGGCTGCCAAGGTAGGGAGGAGCTGCAGCCGGCCGGTAACTTTCATTCACCGGCTCTGTCCGATGAGCACAAGCTCATGTCAGGCACTCCCCAGAGCCACACTGGGCCTGGGTGGCATCGATTCCTAGTGTGATTCTGAATGAAATTGATGAATGGGAGCACACAGTGATAAACAGGATGGGGAACTCTCCTAGAATGGCAGTGGGAGCCAAGAACAATTGAGATGAGTCTCCTCCTCTGTAGGTGTTGAAATAGTTACAGTGTGCTTCCTGTAGTGCAATATTTAGAGGTTAAGTCCAGTTACTTGCATTATTTATCTCTTTACTGCAAACACCAAATGTTTGAGTCACACTTTTAGGTTGGCCTTTTCATTATTTAATCTAAATGTGTTTTAAAAACAGATTTTTAATCTCTGGGTTTATAATATGATTTTTATGCCATTCTGTAGACTTTGTTTGGGAAAGCATCTTAATATATTTTTTAGGTTTCTGGAATCAAATTGTATATTGTGTTGGAATTGTTGTTTCTGAGTTTAAACATTTCCATCAGTTGCTGGAAAGGCTGGTGTGTGAAAGCCCCCTTCTGGTCCAGTGCAGTGTCAGAGGTCTCTCTCCTGCATGTCAGATTAGTTCGTCTGCTGAGCTACTTGATTATAAGCATTCGCCAGTATAATACTGAGTTCTGAAAACTAGACCCTACCTGATTGTGACGCCAAATTTATTCAGTTTATTAAGTTGTAGGCACTAAAACACATAGTACTTATTGCCTGAATCTTGCTTTCAAAACTTGGAGGAAAAACCATTTTCTTCCCTGGTTTCTTGTTTTTGCCTTGGCTGTGCTGTGCAGCTTTACATGGTATGCTTCAGAATCTTCGTAGATTTTCTTAAGTTGTACCTGAAAGATTCTTTGCTAATGAGCATATTTTGTTTAGTCTAATTGATGCCACCTTCCCCCTATAGTGTTAAGTAACTTTTTTACTTAAAAACAGAATTAAAATTCAAGATTTGAAAGTATATTTGAAATATTTGGAACTTGATAGAGCTTTTTTATTAAAAACCTATTTTTAAAAATCTAGATATTATTTAAATCTGATTGTTGCTTCAGTACCATTGTAGTATATTAGCACTGTTGAAATTTTGTTCATTTCCAAAATTTAAGACTGTTCATGTTTGAGAAAGGGTGTTATGAAGCAATTCACTCGTGAAATATGAATATTTTTATACTAGTATAGTTGAGTTATATAGATACATATTAATAGGAAAGATAGATTGCAGTTCTATTAGCAACCTAAATTGAGAGCTTTAATTTGCTATTTAAAACTTATTCCTAGAGTGAACAACACCTTTTTTAAAAATACATTTTATATTGACATAATTAATGACTCCTGGGAAGTTGCAAAGGTAGTACAGGGAGACCCCGTGTGTCCCTTCACCGAGATTCCTTCAGTGGTTGACAACTTACCTGTAGTAGAATATCAGACCAGGATGTTGACACTGGTACAGTGTGTGCGCGTAAGGCTGTGTTATTTCATCTTGAGTGTGGGTTCCTGTCACCACCAACGCAGTCAAGGTGCAGAACTGTTGCACCACCGTGAGGATCTCCCTCACACTAGCCCAGTGGGCTCAGCCATCCCTCTGCTTCCAGCAGCCCTCACCCTGGGTAACCTTGAATTTGTCTTCATTTCTATAAATTTGTCATTTCTGGAGTGTTATATAAATGAAATAAACCATTCATGACCTTCGGAGACTCGTTTTTTTTTGTTTGTTTGTTTGTTTGTTTAGATGGAGTCTTGCTCTGTCACCCAGGCTGGAGTGCTATGGCGCGATCTCAGCTCACTGCAATTTCCGCCTCCTGGGTTCAAGCAATTCTCCTGCCTCAGCCTCCTGAGTAGCTGGGATTACAGGCACACACCACCATACCCGGCTAATTTTTGTATTTTTGGTAGAGACGGGGTTTCACCATGCTGTTCAGGCTGGTCTCGAGCTCCTGACCTCATGATCCGCCCACCTCAAACTCCTGACCTTGCGATCTGCCTTGGCCTCCCAAGGTGCTGTGATTACAGGCCTAGCCACCGTGCCCCGCCCTTGCGATCCGCCTTGGCCTCCCAAGGTGCTGTGATTACAGGCGTAGCCACCGTGCCCCGCCCTTGCGATCCGCCTTGGCCTCCCAAGGTGCTGTGATTACAGGCGTAGCCACCGTGCCCCGCCCTTGCGATCCGCCTTGGCCTCCCAAGGTGCTGTGATTACAGGCGTAGCCACCGTGCCCCGCCCTTGCGATCCGCCTTGGCCTCCCAAGGTGCTGTGATTACAGGCGTAGCCACCGTGCCCCGCCCTTCCGATCCGCCTTGGCCTCCCAAGGTGCTGTGATTACAGGCGTGAGCCACCGTGCCCCGCCCTTGCGATCCGCCTTGGCCTCCCAAGGTGCTGTGATTACAGGCGTAGCCACCGTGCGCCGACCTTGCGATCCGCCTTGGCCTCCCAAGGTGCTGTGATTACAGGCGTAGCCACCGTGCCCGCCTAGAGACTTTTTCTGCTTAGCACAACACCCTGGAGATCCATCCAAGTTGTTGTATATGTCAATAGTTTGTTCATTTTTTACTGCTAACTAGGATTTCATGGATGGATGTACCACAGCATATTTTAAACCATTCATCATTGTTGGTTGAAGTTTTTTGTTGTTTACAGGTTTTTGTTATAAATAAAACTGCTTTGAACAATTATGTACAGCTTTTTTGTGGACATAAGTTTTTATTTCTCCAGATCGATGTCCAGGAGTGAGGTTGCTGATTTTTATGGTCATTCTATGCTTATTTTAAGACTGACAAACTCTTTTCCAGAGTTACAGTTTTGTTTTACATTCCCACCAGCAATGCCTGGGACATCTAGTTTTGCCACATTTGGCCGATGTTTGATGGAAGCGGTGCTTCCTCGTGGTTTGCGTGTGCCGTTCCGTTATGGCTGGCGACGTTGAGCACGTTCTTGCTGCATGTTTGCCATCCTCAGGACTCTAGTAAAGTGTCTTTTCATGTCTTTTGCCCATTTTCTAATTGGATTTATTTTAAACTATTGATATTGAGAGTTCTTTATATATTCTACATAGGAGTCCTTTGTCAGATATGTGGCTTACAAATATTTTGTACTAGTTTGTAGTTTGTCTTTTCATCTTCTGCAAGGATCTTTACATATTCAAAGTATTTAATTTTATCAAAGTCCAATTGATTTTTTTTTAATGGGTTGTTCCTTTGATGTCCTGTTTAGGAACTCATCTTCCAGCCCTGTGCCCTGAGGATTTCTTCTTGTGGTGGTTTTTTTTTTTTGTCCTAAAAGTTTTACATTGAGATCTGTGGTCTGTTGTGAGTTAATTACTGTATAAGATGTAAGGTTCAGGTCAAGGCTTTGGGTTGTTGGGCTATGTATGTCCAAATGCTCTAGCGTCATTTATAGTGAAGACTCCATTCTCCATAAATTGCTTTTGTAAATGCATCAAAAGTAGTTGCCATACTTGTATGTTGGGGGGACTCTCTCTGGGTTCTTTATTTTGTTCCATTGATCTGTGTTTCTGTTCCTTCTTCAGTATCAAACAATCTTGATTACTGCAGCCATCTGGTAAGTCTTAAAATCTGGTGGGCTGATTTCTCCCATTTTTTCTTCCTTTTTCCCCCACATTGTTTTAGCCATTCTAAACAACTTTTAGCTGTTTTAAACAACTTTACCTTTCTATACACATTTTAGAATAATCTTGCCTATATCTTTAAAGAAAGTCTTCATGGGACAATGATAGTCATGAAGTCTGCACCTGTTGGCATTTATGGGTGGCCGGGTTCTTCATTTGCTAGTCTGAGATAAAAAGGGCAAGATGAAAACAGGAAATCACCACTGTCCTTTCTTGATACCCGAGGAATTGAGCTGGACTGCACTTTTCCTCCTCTTGTAGAATCATCATCATTTTTAAAAATTTAATGTTCAGCATTTTTTGCTTTATTTAGGAAGAATAAGAAAGAGTACATCTGCTCTATCTTTCTGGAAGTAAACTTCCCTTAAAGGTTTTATTCATTTTCTGTTTTTTAAATTGGATCTTAAACTTTATTCTAGGAATTTTCACTGCATGAAGCTATAGTGTAATGGACTGCTGCGTCACCATCGTCCCCTGGAAGACTGCTCATTAAATGGCCAGTCTTGCTTCATCCGTATGTCTCATTTGGATGAAATCCTGTGTATAATTTGATTGCATTAACAAATTCAGCATTTACAGATTACAACCACAATTCCATTATCATACCATAAACTATTGAACAGGGATTTCTTAGATTAACGCTTGGTGAGTCTCCTGGTTTCTGATTGTCTCACACACTTCTTACAGTTGATCTGTTCCAGTCAGGATGCGAGGGCCCTTCTCTTGCGCTTGGTACAGGTGTCTCTCAAATCTGTTTTCTTCTAAAACAATTCCTTCTCTTTCTTTGTTTTTTATTTGTTGAAAAAACAGGGTTATTGGACATAGAGAATATCTGATATTCTAGATTGTGTGAGTGCATACACAAAACAACCATGTTATTAATTAATACATTCCTTTATATCCTGTATTTTTGTTAACTGGTAGGTGGATCTAAAGGGTTGATCATACTCATTTTTGGTTTTCTTTTAGCTTTTCATTTTTTTGGTTAAAGAATACTATAGCAATGCTCCTGTATAGTCCTGTTTCTAACTCCAGGCAGATGTCTACATGTCTCTCTTTTAGTGATGAATAAATACAGGTGCTATCAACTGATCTTCCCAGTGTAAAGTTCTTCATCAGGCCAGGCGTGGTGGCTCACACCTGTAATCCCAGCACTTTGGGAGGCTGAGGTGGGTGGATCATGAGGTCAAGAGATCGAGACCATCCTGGCCAACATGGTGAAACCCTGTCTCTACTAAAAATACAAAAAAATTAGCTGGGCATGGTGGCACGCATCTGTAGTCCCAGCTACTCGGAAGGCTGAGGCAGGAGAATTGCTTGAACCTGGGAGGTGGAGGTTGCAGTGAGCCGCGATTGTGCCACTGCACTCCAGCCTGGCGACAGAGCGAGACTGTCTCAAAAAAAAAAAAAAAAGAAAAAAAAAAACATCAAAACTTTTGAAACCTCAAAAGTCACCTGGATGAATTCTCTCTGTGATTAAACTGAATTATGTTTTATACGCTGCTTTTTATTTTTTAGGAGTTTTTTAAAAGTTTGGTGTAATTTGGCTTTTTAATTATATAAAATGTATCTGGTTTTAAAGTGAACAGTATAAGATATATTCAAAAGGCCTAGCATCTATTCCTGTTCCCTTCCTGCCTCTATAGGTATTATACACACATACATGCGTACACAGATATATGTGCACACACACAGAAGCATTTGCATGCATACAGATACACTCACACACAGAGGCACACACATAGAAACACAGATTTGCATGCCCTCACATCTGTCACACAGATATGCATGCATGCGTACATAGGTACACTTGTGTGCACACAGATATGTTCACACACCAATATGCACACACACAGAAACACACAGATCCTCAGGTACTTGTTCACAGTTATACATGCATATTATACACAGATACCCATGTACACAAACATACACACAAGCACACACAAATACATATGTACACATGCATGTGCACACACAGATACGCTTGTGCACACACAGCACACACAAGTTAGCCATGCACGCGCACACACATATACATGCACACACACAGATACACACATAGATACATATCCACACACAGATGAACATGCATGTATACAGTTATATATGCATAGAGATCTGTATGGACGTATACAAATTCTCTCTCCTCCCTCCCTTGTTCTTAACTATAATGTATTTTTCTATATATAATGTCCTGCACCTTACTTTCTTTATTTCACAATCTATATCCTAGAGATCTTTCCATGACAGTGTATTGAGGTCATCTTGTTTGCTTTACTTTCTTCTCTCTGTATTGCCGTATGTGCTCTGTTTTATTCAGCTCGTCCTCTGTTTGTTCCCCTTTGTTTCACAACAGTCTTCTGTTATTATAAATAATGCTGCAAGGAGCAGCCTTGTGTGTATGTCATTTTGTGCTTTTGCTATTCCATCATTAGAATAGATTCTGAGAAGTGGGATGATAGCACGGCCAAAGAGTAGTGGATTTTCATAATAGAATATCTTAGCATGTTTGAAACTGGATAGGCCTGAGAGCATATGGTAACATTTACCTGGGTCTTAGCATTGTAGCTGTGCTTTTATGATTGAACATTTTTTATGACGGTAAATCTGGTATTTTATTAGCAAAATAATACTATACACTGTTGGATATTTTTGTGTATTTGTTATTTTGTTATTATCAAAACATACATTGAAAGTAGAAATGATCAATGCAGTTTTTCTAAAATAGAAGGCTGATTAATGTTAAACCTTAATAGGCAAGAACAGCAAATAGGAAATAAGTGATTTAAAAAAATATAATGGCCTACATCTTTTCATGAAACCTGTTTTGTGAATCAAGGAACATTGTGTAAAATAAAAGTTTTTAAGGAGTTTTGTTCCTGGGAATATCTAGATTGTTATTTCTTTGTCCTACTGTGCCCTGGAATTATTCTTTGATGGCACCTGTAGCTCAGGAAAAACCTTCTGTAACAATTCAAGAGTGGTAAATTTTTATTCTCTACTTCCAAGGTTCGTGTTTTATTCGAACTGATCAACTAGATGGTGAAACTGACTGGAAGCTGAAGGTGGCAGTGAGCTGCACGCAACAGCTGCCGGCTCTGGGGGTGAGCAGCACCAAGACTACTCCATCCTTTTATCTTCAATGGTAGTTTCTAGGCTTCACGTATATTTCTGTTTATACCAGCTAATTTATTTAATGCATTGAGAATTTGTTTTATAATTTCTTTATTCCTCATGAAGGTTCATTGAAGAATTGTGCCAAAATAATTTCTGTGATGTCTTAGCACATAATCAGTTTTAGGTAATTGTGAATTTTCTTTGACACTTAGGTTTTCTTTCTCCTTCTGCTCACCTTCCTGCCCTTCCTCCCTGTCCTTGCCCCCTTCCCCCTCTTCCGCCTCCTCCTCCTCTTAATGTCCTTTTCCTTTTTCAATTTATTTTATTTTTTAAGTGATAGGTTGTCACTCTGTTGCCCAGACTGAAATACAGTAACATGATCATAGCTCACTGCAGCCTCAAACGCCTGGGCTCAAGTGATGCTCTCTCCACAGTCTCCTGAGTAGATGGGAGTACAGGTGCACACCACCACGCCCAGCCAGTTCTTAATTTTTTTTTTTTTGTAGAGATGGGGGTCTTGCTATGTTGCCCAGGCTGGTCTTGAACTCCTGGTCTCAAGCAGTCCTCTCTCCTTGGTCTTTCAAAGTGCTGGGATTACAGGTTTGAGCCACCATGCCCAGTGATAAATTTTTATTTCTTATTTGGCTGTGTGCTCCTCTCCTTTGCGACTTTGTATTGATATTTGCCAATTAAAAAGTACATACATGCTCGTGTGTGTAGAATCTTTCAAATCAGTAAAACCAGATATTCACAAATGAATATCTGTTTTTAATTTTCACTTAGGCACATAAAAGTGTTTTTCTTTCTTCTATTTTCTCTCTGTACCTCACATGGACTTCATTAGCCTTCAGGTCAGAAGCTCTATTTGAAAATTGTCCAAGCTGCTTCTCTGGGTCAGGCTTCTCAGTCAAAGCCAGGCAGTGAAGTGCTGCTCAGATGATTTGTTTTCATGGGTTTTTAATTTTCAGTGTTCTATGATTGTTTACTTAAATTATCTAGGATACTATGCATAATTTATATGTTTAGAGTTATTACAACTTAACATTTTTCCGTGGTCAGTGAATGAAGGAAGGTAGGTTCTACTGGACCAACAGATGAGCAGATTGGAGAGGTTGGGCAGTTGACAGCTGCCTTTTACCTGCTTGGTGGTGGGTAGAGTCAACCAGGCAGCTATTAAATAGTGAAGTTATATGTCAGGGAGCAGCACCTCCTCACCTGAGGATGGGGCTGGGGTGTGTGTGCATGTGGCAGTTCCTGGATCACACAGTGTGGCTTTCAAAGGAGCTGCCAAACTGTTTTCCAGAGTGGCTGTGCCATTCCCTGTCCTCACCAGCACCGGATGAGTGACCCGGTTTCTCTGTGTCCTTGCCGCCTTCAATGTTGTCACCAGTTTTTATTGTAGTCATTCTGACGGGTGTGCAGTGATATCTTATCGTGGCTTCAGTTTGCGTTTCTGTGATGGCCGGTTGTGTTGAACGTTGTTTTGTGTGCTTGTTTGCCATCTGCTTGTCCTCTTTGGTGATGTGTCCTGTTGACAGTCTCGGAGCAAAAGCATTCCGCCTTGATGTATAATGCTAGCTGCAGCTTGTTCAGGGAGTCTCTGTCAGGGTGAGGAAGTTCTTTCTAGTCTTAGTTTGCTGAGAGGTTTTATCATGAATGGGTGTTAGATTTTTCCAAAGCTTTTCTGTATCTGTAGGGATGATCATATGGATTTTCTCCTTTATCTATTAATATGATGGTATGTGGACTGATTTCATATGTGTTACACCAGCCTTGTATTACTGGCATAAACCTCACCTAGTAGTCATACTGCATGTCTTTTTATTATGTCACGGTATTTGATATGCTGATATTTTGTTAAGGATGTTTTGTGCTGATGTTCATGAAACATATGGATCTGTATTGCTTTTGTTTAATGTCTTTAGTTTGATATCTGGGGGTAGGCTGGCCTTATAATGAGTTGGGGAGTCTTTTTGCCTCCTGTAATTTTTAAAATAGTTGGCATAAAATTGGCGTTATTTATTTTTTAAATGTTGAACAAATTCACTTTTGGAACTATCTGATCCAAGAGATTACTTTTTGGGAAAACACTTGATTGTGAATTGAATTTCTTTGGTATAGAGTTAATCAGATTTTCTCTTCATTGGAAATTTGTGTTTTTCAGAGAATTGGTTCATTTCACGTAAGTTGACAACATTAATGGCATAAAGTTCATAATATTCCATTATTTTTTTAGCCATTTTAGGATTCCTTCTTTCACTCCCAATATTGGTAGTTTATATCCTGTCTCTTTTATCGATCATTTCAAAGAACTTGTTTTTGGTTTCATTGATTATCTTCATTGTTTGTTCATTTTCTGTGTTATTAATTTCTGCTCTTTATTTCCTTCATTCTACATAGTTTATAATTTTTTTTGTTTCTTCCTCCTTAAGGTGGAAGTTAGACCTTTGATTTTATAACTTATTATTTTCTATTTATAAACTTTCAGAGCTGTAAACCTGTTTCCAAGCATTGTTTACCTGTGTCACACAAATTTTGATTTATTTAGTTAAAAATAATTAATAATTTAGTTAAAAAATCATTTTCATTTAGTTAAAAATATTTTCTAATTCCTTCATGATTCTTCTTTTCATCCTTGATTATTTGGAAATACACTGTTATTTGCTAAACAGTTGGGGATTTTCCCAATGTCTGGTAATTTATTGTTATTTAATTCTCTTATGGTCATAGAACATATTCTGTTCTATTTCAGTCCTTTCATATGTATTGAAACTTGTGATATGGCCCAGCATATGAACTCTCTGGGTCAGTATTCCATGTAAGCTTTAAAATAATGTTTGTTCTGCTATTGCCTGGATGTTCTGTAAATGTTCATTAGGTCAAGCTAATGGAAAGTGTTGTTTAAAAAAGTTTTATAGTTGTTTTCTACCATTCGTTCTCTGAATTACTGAAGAAGACTTTTAAGATCCCATACCTTTTGTAGATGGAACTATTTCTCCTTTTGGCTCTGTTACCTGTTTCCTGATCTATATTGAAGCACTGTTACTGGGTTCATACACTTTCAGAATTACTATATTTTGTTGAATTTGCCCTTTCATTATTCCTGGTAATATTCTTTGTTGAGACATCTATTTTGTTCTTTACTATTATAGTAATTTCAGCTTTTTTTAAATTAGTATTTACATGGTTTATCTTCCATTAGTGTGTGTTTTATATATCTTTTTCTTTGAATTTAAAGTGTTTTTTAATGTAATAAAAGTAGGTACTGCTTTTTTTATTCTGAGAATTGCTGCATTTTTATTGTGTACATTTACAGTAATCGTTAATGTGGTTGAGCGGAAGTCAGTCATTTGACTCTGTAGGTTCTACTTATCCCATTTGTTTCTTTTCTTCATCTTTTGGTGTTGTGTTATATTTCCATTTGGCTAATTAGCTATGTACGTTAGTTCTGTTTTGTGTCATTATCATGTTTCCAATGGGTGTTTTTAACTTACCGCAATATTTCTCCATGTCACTTACAGTGTAAGAGTTGTGCACAGTAGATGCCCATGGCTTCCTTCCCATCCTTTGTATTCATGTCAGCTGTCGTACTTCTACATATTATCAGCTGCACCGTGCATTACTGTTTTTTTTTGTTCAAAGTTGTCAAGCATATTTTAAAGATAGTAAAAAATGAAAACAGTCTTTTCTGTTTACCCATGTGTTTGTTTACCTGTTCTGAGACTTCTCTTTCCTGTGTGTTGATCCAGGTTTCCATTTACTGCCAATTTCCTTTAGCCCTAAGAACTTCTTTCAACGTATCTTGTAGTGAAATCTGCTAGAGATTGTCAGTTTTTGTTTGTTTGAAAATTGTCTTTATTTTGCCTTTTTCTTTTCTCATTTTTTTTTTTGAGACAGAGTCTCGCTCTGTCACAGAGGCTTAAGTGCAGTAGTGCAATCTCGACTCACTGCAGTCTCCACCTCCTGGGTTTAAGCAATTCTCCTGTCTCAGCTCCTAGGTAGCTGGGATTACAGGCATGTGCCACCACCACGCCCGGCTAATTTTTGTTTTTTTGTTTTTTTTTTTTTTAAGTGGAGACGGGGTTTCACCATGTTGGCCAAGCTGGTCTTGAACTCCTGACCTCAGATGATCCGCCCACCTTGGCCTCCCAAAGTGGGGGATTAAGGGTGTGAGCCATCACGCTGGGCCTATTTTGCCTTCACTTTTGAAGGATGTCTTGAAGTTTTCATTTATCTTTGCCTTTCAGAGCTTTGATTTCATCTGATGGCATCCATAGTCCTGAAAAGATGCTTACAGGCATTCTTACCCTGACTCCACTTTATCCTCTGTGCCTTTTTCTGTGGGCGTTTGGAAAGTCTTTCCTGTTTTGACTGGCTTTCAGGAATTTAAGTGTGTTGATGCATTTTCATTTGTCTTGCTTGGGTTTGTTGGGCTTCTTGTATCTGGAGTTTCATGGTTTTTATCCAGTTTCAAGATTTTCAGCCTTTATTTTTCTTATCTTTCCTTCTGTCCAAACCCCTCTGAGACATGACCAACAGAATTAGTCTAACTACTAATATCAAGTAAATTAGTCTAACTACTCATATTAAAAAAGAGTAAGAACTTCAATGACATGGGAATATCAAGTGGTTAGATTCCCACATGCCATTGATGCTCTCTTACTCTTCTTTTTCTCAGCCTTTTTTTTCCTTCTGTAACTCAATTTTGATAGTATCTGTTGCTCTGTCATTAAATTCACTAACATTTATCTTTTTCAGTATCTAGTCTTCTGTTAAGCCCACCCAATGAATTTTGTTATTCTGAGTGTTGTAATCTCTGGATGTTTCATACGTTTCTCTCATTTTTGTTGTTTAAATACCTTTTCTATTCTTTCCTAATATGTATATGGCTTCATTGGACTATTTCAACGGTTTGTAATGCTTAATTCCATGTATGTTAAAACTCCTTTATCTCTGTCACTTTTGGGTATGTTTCTATTTAAATTTTTTGGCCCTCGTTATAGGCCCATACTTTCCTGCTTCTTTCCGTGTCTGGTAATTTTTTATTGTATGCTGAGTATATAAGTGTTACATTTAATGTCTGAGATTTTCATTTCTATCTTTAAAGCATCTCGATCTTTATTAAATTAGTTAAACAACTTGTGGGTCAACTTGATGTCTTCAAGGCTTGTCCTTAAACTTTGTTACAGGCCTAGAGGCTCCTTTATTGGAATGCTAATTAATCCTGTTGCTAGAGCATGATCCTGCTGGGATCCTGCTGATGTCTACTGAAATCCTTGCTGGTTCACAGGTGCCTCTGAACTCTGGCTAGTCAAAACTCAGCTCTCCAACTCTGTGGTCTCTGCAGGTGGTTGGGGCTGGAGCTCCGTGGTTCTCCTCCGGCCGGACATACTCTTACCCTGTATGCTGTGTGTACTCACTTTCAGTAACACTCAGGTGGAACACTTTGCATATTTCTGCAATTCTGTTTCTTCCTTGCCTCTTTTCAGTATTTTGCAAATGCTAGCTGTCAGTTTCCTTGAATTCTGGTCTCAGTCTCCTAAATTCAGAACAGCTGCCTCCCTCTGCCTGGCTTCTGCTGTCTAAAGTGGTAAATCTCTTTACCTGGGCTTATGTGGGGCACATGGCTTTGTTTCTCCTCTCCCTGGGGCACTGTATCTAGTGTCTGAAAATAGATACTTTATAAATATTGTCCATTTTCCAGTTGTTTTCATGGGAGGACAAGTCTCATATTAGTTACCACAACATGACTTGTAGAAGCCCTTGATTAATTTTTAATGAAAAATATTAAGTTCCTTGTGGATGAAACAAACTGCATGACATTTCAAATTATAATTAAACTAAAACAAACAGTTATTTGTTTATTGAGAATTTGCTTGTTGGTAGGGATCTACCTGCTGGGAGGCCTGTGACTGCCCTGCAGAGCCTGGATGCCGGCCCTTCTGCCACCTTTAGATGTTCCTGCCCTCTCTTCAGGGGCATTCCTTTAAAAAAGAAGTGGATGTCAATTTTGAGTCCTGATTCTAATAGTAATGTGTGCATTGAAAATAATACACAAATCACAAAATAGAAAAAAACCTGCCAGTCTGCATTGGCCATCAGAGCATTTTGGTATAAATCCTTTCTGACAGTACCTTCCCCTAGCCACATTCTTGCATGGTTGGATAATGCTGTATATTACTGTTTTTACTAGTAGAATATTTATTCAACAATATGCTATGGGTCATCCTTTCATGTTAGGAATTGTGTATCCTTGCAAGTGTTTTATTAGCTGCATAGTTTCTGACAAATTATAGCTTCCATAGCTGACCTGATATTGGTAAATTTAAAAGATATCATTTTGAAATTCTAGATTTAAAAAAAAGCATATTTCAAGAATTTTGATTATTTGGCCAAAATGCTTTTCAGAAGACTATGCAACTTATCTACTGTGTATTAATTAATCAATTAATCTTTCACTGTTTTCCAATCTGATAACTGTAACAATGGTATCCCATTTAAATTTACATTTGTTTAGTTTTTTAATGTGTGAGATTGAAGATAATTCTTACCTAAGAAAATGTATTTCTCATATTTTTATTTTCTAAGTCTGTTCATGTTATCTGCTAAAGTTTGTTAATAATTTTTTATTTTCCAATGTTTCTAAATACTTCGTTTATAGTTTCTGTTGCCCATATAAAAGTTCAGTGTATTTAGATAATGTGACCTACCAATATTTTTTTCAATGATTTCTGCTTTTTGGTTTTATGCTTTGACTATTTCTACTCATGATTATATTTTAAATAATTAGTTTTAAAATAATTCCTGCTTTCCATACAAAATCTGATTATCTACCATTTTTGGGGGGAGTATTTTTTTTTTAGTTTAAAGTTAAAAAAAAAAAAAGAAAAACAGTAAGTTGCACCAGTACCATTCACTGAAGAACTTTTTTGTTAGATTTTTATTTTTGCACAAATTTAATATTGTCCCCATATGTTTATACAATTCTAATTTCTCAACATCAGGGTATCAGCGTATCTGTTTCTCCATAACTTTACCCAGTACACATTGCAAATATATTCTCCAATCTGTTTCTTAACTTCTGGCCTTATAATATCTTCGCTATGTAAATATTTCAAATTTTATTTAGGTAAATATTTATATGTTTTCTTTTATTGTTTATATGTTTTTCTTTATGCATTTATAGGCTTTGTCTTGTACCAGGAGGCTGTTTGCCCACCAGTATTCATTTATCATTTTAACCACTTTTAAATGTTTGTCAGTAGGTGGAATCGAAAAGTGAGAGCCAAGTAATTTGCATTTACACTATTATAATTATTAAAATAGTTCCTATAGTTCCAGCTGATGCACAAAGACCTAGCAGAGGGAAGTTGAATCTTTCACTTAGTATGTGTGGCTAAAGAATTGTTTGAGAGTTAAGGTTAAGTAGGTTTTTTTGTTTGTTTGTTTGTTTTTTTAATTTCATGTTATGAGCTGAGCAGAATCGTGCGTCACTCCAGCCTGCATCTTCTGTGTCATCATTTCCCTCCTCAGCCCTTTCTCATCCTCGCTCTGCTTCCCAGGGTTTTCGACTTGCTTTTGGTTTTTTTTTATGTTGTGAAATAAGTCTGTTCTATTATCTTATTACTTGACATCTAGCTTATTGTTCTCATACTATTTATTAAGGTAAGTTTTATCATAGAGACATTCTTGCAGCCTATTGACTTTCTAATGTAATTGGAACTGATTGCTGGGTTAGTGCTACTGTTTCATGGTTACATATTTCCTCCTTGTGTCCTTCTTTTTCTTGTGTACATACTCAAGTAATCTCTGCAGAACTAAAGGGATAATATGAGTCCTTAAATGACTGGAGGGGATTTTGGTTGGCTGTAACACTTGGACAAAAGCCCCACCCTCTGCATCCTCCTCCTGAAGAACCTTCCAAGAATTCTAGGGTCCCTGGCAGTAAGCAGCTTGGGAGCAAGTCACACTAAATGATAATTTTCTAACAGATTTAATTTTGCTAAGTGTAGTAGAAAAGAAAGTACAGAATCAAAACACTATATTAGAAAAAATTTGTCTGAAAAAAAAAAACCCAAAAAATCCAGCCAAGCAAGGATGTCGGTACATGTTTCCATTAACATACAATTCTGTACAAGCGATCAGCAGGTGACAGAGGTTAGCAGTGCAGGGATAGGCGGGTTGCATGGGGGCACGGGGATACTTTTGTGAGTAATGAAAATGTTCAGTATCTTGAGGTGGTGGTGGTCACAGGCATACACATATATCAAAACAAAATGGTACACTTTAAACGTGCAGTTATTGCATGGAAATCACACCTTATGAAGTAGTTACAGATTTTCATACTGTTATCTATAACTTTGAGTAATGCTCTTTGCCATGATTATAGGAAGTGACATTTTATTATCTTCAATATTATAAGGATACTTTCTTTATTTTTATTAGTGACAGATATATACACATATAAATTCAAAAATATGTACAGAATTAAAATAAATAATTCGTACAATGCAACTTTAACATTTTCGTGGCCAGTACACTTTGATACAGAGTCTGATTAAGGATTTTAGTGACATAACTATATGGTAAATGAAAACATTTTAATTTTTGCTGTTACCACACCACCAAAAAGCAGTATATCCTAGGAAAAAAGGAAGTTCAACTGAATATCTGATTCATTAATCAATTTTATATTTTAGCTTCACATAACTTGGCATATTAGGTATAGATCTTTTTTCTATAGAGAAGAAAGCTCTGATTTCATTATGGATATGGGCAAGGCAATTGAGTTTTTCATGTAATAGCTTATGCCCGTAATCATCCCTCATTCTGACATTCGTGTCTCTCGTGGTGTAGATCTGAGGGTCTTCTGTGTTGTGAGCTGTTTGTTGTATCACAGTTGTGTCACATCAGACTGTGTCCATGGTGACAGCCAGGCTGAGTAAACTTAGAGACCTAAGAACTCATCTGGAAGAGCTGAGGACACAGCCAAGAATAACCTTTGTCCATTCTGTTATATTCTCAGAGAATTAAAATTTCAGAGTCATGTAATAATAACTGTGCTGCAGAGCCTGTAATGGCAGGTGCAGTTTCTTGTGGCTTCATAGCTGTCTGGAGGCACAGTTTTCAGGCGTTGTAGACATTTGGGAAATATGTTTCTGGCTTTTGTGATCAAACAAATTTATTAACAACCACAAGGCCACAGTAACTTTCAATAAATCATGACATGCTGATTTATTTCAAAAGATCCGTATAGCAGTAAACAATACCATTTACATTTAATTAGTTTTATTGAACGAAAGGCAATTTTATTTGTAATGAACCACATGTTATGATTAAGGATGTATTTTAATGACCTTTAAGTAATGCGAACAAGTGTTGGCCTTGACCTCACAGCAGAGGCTTTCCTCCGTTATTGAAAACTTCAGAATGATTTTTAAATTATCGTGAAAAGCTTCGAATGACATTCTCATTATTGTGCCATTTATTCAGTCATTTGATGTCTACTATACTAGATGAAATGCATTACTCTAAATGCTGATGTGTGTGTAGAAATGAGCTTGCCAGCCTGTTTTTTATTTTCATGTATCAAAAAGTAGTTTGAGGTATGAAAGTTTCATGTTTTGAAAATTACTGTGACAGTGTCATATTTAAATGATGAGTGATTCTCAGACTTGCCTTATCCCTGGAATCACTTGACTGCTTATTAAACATTCTAGTAGAAGTTTCATAATTCTCAAGTTACTAGAGAATATTTCTTTTCATGTAAACTAGCTTAATTTAAATAAATTTTTGCTATTAATAGTACATAGTCTAAGCTACTATAACAGTTGCACTGTGGTAAACTAGTATGTTCAACCTTCAGTCCACCCTTCCTGCAGCCTCTGTTCTTTAGAAATTTGGAAACTAGCCTGCACGTATTTTTCACAGTTTCTTGAAAGGTGTGTGAATTTGCTTTCACATTGAATGTACTTTCACAGAGCTTGTAAGGCAGGAGTGAGGAGGAGGTATCTTTTTGCCTGTGTGTTCTCTGCTGACAGGTGTCCTCATGGGTCTGAGTTCCTGCTCCCGCTCTCCAGCTTTAGGGCTTGGGTGGGAGTGCACTATGTGCATGGTGGTCTCCAAACCACGTGTCTCAGATGTGATCCTTGCCATAGTGCTTTCCTTGGATGGATATTTTGGTAACATTCTGAGAGTAGCTTTGGAGCTTCAGTCCTGAACTTCATCCTTTCACTGATTTGGGAAGCATCTTGTTCTGTGTATGAAATCACTTTCTGCTACACTGTCTAGGGTGGCTTCTGTTTCCTGTACTGAAATGTGACT
Source organism: Homo sapiens (assembly GCF_000001405.40). Taxonomy (NCBI): domain Eukaryota; kingdom Metazoa; phylum Chordata; class Mammalia; order Primates; family Hominidae; genus Homo; species Homo sapiens. The sequence continues at coordinate 79,187,244 of NC_000018.10, forward strand.
GACGCACCTTAAATCAAAACAGATTTTCACCCTCACAGTAGCCCAGGTGGGTGGTCAAAGGGTGATAGGGCAACTTTGTCATCTCTGATACGTGGGTTCCAGTGACTGCCCCACCTCCACACTGTCCCACAGGGGAGGTTCGGAAGGAAAGGCCTGGTGAGTACTTGGACTCAAAGGGGCACATGTCCTTTCGCATGCTCTGCTGGCCAGAATCAGTTACCTGGTCCTAACCAGCTGCAAAGAATGCTGAGAAATGCATTCTTTAAGTGAGAACCACCTACACATCTACAGCTCCGAAGTTCTATTTTTCAAAGGAAATGGGAAGAAATATGGAAGGTGGTCTCTGCCGAGCCATTTCTTCATTTTGTTTCCCGTTGAGTGTCTGATTCCCCCTGTGCTGCTGCTGAATGGAGTGCACAAAACCATTCCAGCAGTTCTCAGAGGACTGTGCTGCCCTGAGAACAGGATGCTCCCTTTAGCATTGCTGTTATAATTCCCTGTTTCATTAGCATCAGTTGTTTCCCATGCATTCTTCAAGGAACTCAGAGCAATTTACAAATTTGTATGGTAATGACTCACATAGATTAAAATAGAAAAATGAATGAAATATCAACAGAAAAATAGTAAATATGTCTTCTAGAAATGAAATATGCCATATCAATTTTAGGTGATCGAATCTTCTCTGTTAAAGATTTTTTTTTTAAGTGATTGAGCATGACTTACAACTCTCCAGTCCCTTTAAGAAGAGATCTGGCAGGCAAGAGTCCTGTGTAGAAAACATGAGGACGCCCTTTAGCTGTGCTACCCCTTTTCTGAAAGGATTATTGGAATGCGTGTGTAGAATCAACAGGAAAGAGAAAGCCCGGTGCAAATGTAAAAGCCCAGCCCAGAGGAAGTAGGTGTTCCAGGAACAGAAAAGAATAAATTCAGATGTCTAATGTACTTGAAGAAATATGAGAGGATGTTACTAACAACCTAAATAAAACAAGCTATGAAAAAGGATCATGTGGAAAATAAGAGCTCTTAGAAATATATATGGTTGCTGAAATTTTAAAAAAGTAAATAAGAGTGGAAAATGAATTGTTCTACGTCCCTCAGAATACAGGCCAAGGTTGGGAAATACAAATTGATGGTTACCAGTTTTAGCTCGGCCCTCGGTGCTCCCTGTAATCCTTGTTAGAAGTTATAATCAACTGTGGTTCCTCTTACTGATGACAGTGCTTTCAGACTTTTCCACTCTCCTTTGATTTCTGATCCACCTGTCTTTTCCTTCACCGGTAAGACCAGTTTGTCTTACCTTACATGGAAAAAGCATTCTATCAAATGGAAATTCCTTCAATATCCCATTAATAAATAAAGAACATTACCTCTATTCTCCCATTTTGCTATAATTGCAATAAAGAATCCTTCTAAGAATAATTATTTTATAGTTTTCAACTGAGCTTATCAAATTGTGCTTTTTAGAGACCTTGGTAGATGAGTAGTTTCTTCTCTCTTTTTCTAATCTTTCTCTGTTGGTTTCTTTCTGTTATCTCTTAAGGCCTTCAAGTGTACCTCGGCTTCTCAAGTCTTCCTTTAGATCTTTCTTCAATTTTACTGTAATTGAATATTTTTAGAATACTATTTTATCTCTTGGCTTTTTAGCATTTTTTTTTTTTTTAGTTTGCAGTATTCTGTTAACTAAAATATGCCTTTAACTAGAGTTTTTTAACTAGTTACAGTATGCCTTTAACTAGAGTTTGCAATATGCCTTTAACTAAAAGTGTATTGTGAAAAGTAAAAATTGTACCATTTCACATAAAATACAAGAATTTTGTCCTTGAGGCCAGGCACGGTGGATCACGCCTGTAATCCCAGCACTTTGGGAGGCTGAGGCAGGTGGATCACAAGGTCAGGAGTTCAAGACCAGTCTGACCAATATGGTAAAACCCCATCTCTAATAAAAATATAAAAATCATCCGGGCGTGGTGGTGTGCACCTGTAATCCCAGCTATTCAGGAGACTGAGGCCAGAGAATCGCTTGAACCTGGGAGGCGGAGGTTGCAGTGAGCCGAGATCTTGCCGCTGCACTCCAGCCTGGGCGACAGAGCGAGACTCCATCAAAAAAAAAAGATAATTTTGTCCTTGAATAGACCTGTTTCCCCCACCCACCCTTTGTACTATACATTCCCCTTGAACAACACAGGGGTCAATTGTATCAATCCCCCACGCAGTCAAACATTTATGTGTAAACTTTTAACTCCCCCCAAATTTAACTGTTAATAGCCTACTGTTCACTGGAAACCTTGCCGATAACCTAAACAGTTGATTAACACATATTTTGGATGTCATATGTATTATATACTGTGTCCTTACAATAAGGTAAGCTAGAGAAAAATTATTAAGAAAATCATACGGAAGAGAAAATACACTTATATAGTACAGTACTGTATTTTTTGATAGCACAAGTTGACATCACCTGTTTACAAGGTGAACTGTCTGTCTGAAATGGTGGGCAGCCACAGCTGCAGACTTTAATCCACCACACATACTTAGCAGCTCAGTTTTTTCTTGTAGTGTGATGACTTTTGTCTACTTTTTGAGAACATTTCCAGCATCACTAGAAGCACTTCTTATTGGTCCCGTGGTATTATTCAAGGTTCACGCCATGGTATTACGCCAAACACGATGGAAAACATGTGAGCACCATGAGCGAGCACTCGGAACTGTGATGCACAGGGTCCTGGAGCGGAGACGGCTCACACAGAGGTCAGTGGTGCCGCACCGCATTTCCAGCAGACCCTTGCACGCACTCCCCGCAGCAGCAGCAGGAGGGGCTGCGACACGATTCCGGGAGCACAGTGTGTACTGCACTTAGTTCTGTGCAGTTAGGGTTTGATACTGCATCTTCAGGATCATTAGCAAGTCACTCGGCTGCAGATGGTGTCATGACCTGTGTGTTTAGGTTTTATTTTAACTTTTTGTAATAGATTTGTGTATATTTTATTGTAGTAAGTGATATAATAGACTATGTCTACATACATTTTATGTTCTCATGTTATACCTAACTTTAAACATTTAAAAAAAAATTCTAGGGTATGTGGTGTATCTTCAAGGTTTTTCAAATTATCAACAAATCTCCAAAAGTTTTCTAACAGATTTATTGAAGAAAATTCATGTATAAGTGGACCTGCACAGTTCCAACCCATGTTGCTCAGGAGCTCAATGTACTTTTTAATATGTAGTATATCTACACATATCATAAACTGTTCCAGCCCTTTTTATTTATACACACACACACACACACACACACACACACACACATATACATATATTTTTGGCACAGAGTTTTGCTCTGTCACCCAGGCTGGAGTGCAGTGGTGCGATCTCGGCTCACTGCAACCTCTGCCTCCCGGGTTCAACCAGTTTTCTCCTGCTTTAGGCTCGTGAATAGCTGGGACTACAGACGTGCAGCAGCTTGTGTGGTTAATTTTTGTATTTTTAGTAGAGACGGAGTTTCTCCATGAGGGCCAGGCTGCTCTCAAACTCCTGGCCTCATGTGATCCACCTGCCACGGCCTCCCAAAGTGCTGGGATTACAGGCATGAGCCACCGTGCCTGGCCCATTTTATTTATATTTTAAAGGAATTAAGATTAAAAACAGGATTTGGGGGTTTTTTTTAAATATTTACTTAGATATTTACTACTTTTGTTCCTTACCATTCCTTCTTGAAGATATGAGTTTCTGCCTGATATTGTTTCCCTCTGCTGATATTCCTCTGGTGGATGTCTGCTGGAATGGAGTTCTCATTTTATTTATTTGACAGTGTCTTTATTTCACCTGTATTCTTAAAGAATATTTTTGCTGGATATTGAATTCTGGCTTGACAAGTCTGCCTTCCACACCCTCCACCCCTCACTTTAAATATTTTGTTCCATTGTCTTCTGACTCCATTATTTATAATGAGAAATCAGTGGTATTTTGATAGTTCTTCTCTTGTGTATAATGTGTTATTTTTCTTTAGGTATTTTTGAGATTTTTTTTATTTTTGGTTTTTAGCAATTTGATTTTGATATTTTTAAATTTTATTTATGTGTTTAGGGGTTTTCTGGACATCCTGAATCTGTACATTTCTGGCTGACAGTAAATTTGGCATATTTTTAGTCATTATTTCTTCAAGTAGTTTTTGTTTTTTCATCCTCTCTCTGTCCACTCATTCTGAACCCCAGTTACATGCATGTTAGACTCCGCGATATTCCCTTCATGGTTCTATGACTGTATTCATGTTCAAAATAATTTTTTCCTGTGTCTTTTTGAATCATTATCTCTTGACCCGCATTTAGATTCACCATCATCTGTAATCTGTTAATCCCATCTAAAGAATTTATTGCAGACATTGCATTTTTTCAATTTTGGAATTTCCATGTGCTTCTCTGTTCTTAAATACACTTTCTCTTTCTTTGTTGTGATTTCCTACTTGCTTACTCGTTAGGAGCATGTTTTTCTTTAAGATGTGCTAAAGCTGCTTTGAAATTCTCATTTCTTAATGCTGAAGTTTGACCATCTCAGGGCCAGTCTTCACTGATCATGTTCTTTCTTGATTATGGACCTTGTGTTTTTGTTTCTTCATATGTTTAGAAATTTGGATCATCTCTTCATTTTTTTAAATGATTCATTGTAGAGAGGCAGGATTCAGGATTCTGTTAGGTTCTCCTGAAGAGTACTGGTTTTTTGTTTGGTTCTGTTTTAACTGGTAGCTAACTTGACTGAAGTCAAACTGCAGACTCTACCTTTCTGGCATTAGGGAGCTGCTGTGGTGTTCTCGGTTCCATTCGTTTAGTGGATATAGTTTAGGGCATGATAGGTTAGGTGTCAGAATGAGATCATACACAGATTCGGCCCCTTCTGAGGCACTCTCCTTTCTGAGCTTCCATTTCTTTCTCACTTTGCAGCTGCTGTGGTCACCCTAATCTCTCACCTCTGCTTCTTCATGTCTGGGAGTCTGGGAGGTTTCTGTTTGAGTTTTAGCAGCCATGACAGAACTTTATACACTCACACGTACAGAATGGAAATCAAAATTATAGAAATGGCAAACTCTGTGTGTTAAAGGGTCATGGGTTGGGGGGCGGGTCACAAGACCACCCGAAATTAGATGGTTTATTAGGAGGACTCCCAGGACTCAGCATATGATCCTCCCCCTGGCTGTGATTTATGACAGCAAAAGCATACAGCAGAGTCAGCAGCGAGAAGAGGCACTGGGGTGGCGTCCATTGGAGACCAGGCTCAGCCTTGCCTCTGGAGACTTTCTGATTTAACCTTTATGTGTAGCCAATGAATGAAGCAACCTAAACCCTATGTCTTTTCTGCTCTAAAATTAATGGTATGAAAGTAGCCATGATGTGTGTTTCGTGAAAGCTTTCCCATGTGATTGTATAAGTATGTGTCATGAGCATGTGATTCAGACACACAGGACAAGCATGTCTTCATGGCTGTAAGGAAGGCCACCCTTAGCTTATAGTGACCAGTGCCTGCTTGAATGAAAGCATGTAAACAGATCTAGGAATTTATTAAACTGTTTTATAAAACTTGTGAGGAATTGCGATGGTTCCTTATTTCCCCCTGAATACTTTGATACCCAGGTGACTTCAAGATACTCCTAAACAGGCTCCACCTCTACCATTGGAGCCCCCTGGACAGGCCCCGGGGCTGCCTGTTTTGAGTGTCTCCTGCATGATTTTGACTCACACCTGCTGTTCAAAAGCACACCCTGTCAAGCTTAAAAATGGTTTCTTTCTTTATCTGACATTCTAATTTATAGTGTTGGCACACAAAAATCTAAGAAAATCAATGATTGCTTTTGGTAAATAATATATGAACAATATTAATCAGCAAATGAGAAATTTCCAAGTAATTTTACTAAACTATAACATTCTAATCGATTCAAATGTTCTGTATTCCAGGACCTTTTTTCTATCAGTGCTTATGTTTATGCTCAGAAACCACAAATGGACATTCACAGTTTCGAAGGCACATTTACCAGGGTAAGTTAAACCTGTTGTTCAATACAAATAGAGTTATTGTGTAAGTTAAAAGTAGCAAACCTTTGAGACAGTAATTCAATCAAGAATAAATTCAAACAGAAGTTTCAAACTAGGAAGGGAAAACCTATATAATGTTTGAAGTTCTTAAGTGTACCCATATTAAATATGTCTTTGGGATACATTTAGTACAGTTTTTGGAATTTTTTTTAGCATATTTACTAATAAGATCTTTATCTCCTAAAATATTGTGAATCAGTTAAATGAAGTAATTTATTTTCATTCTGACTGAATAGTTGGTATACTATCTTATCCACATCATGTCTAGCTTTTTACTGTCTGAGTTGGGTGGGTATTTATATATATGTGAGTCTGTACATGCATGTTGTGTTTCTTTATACACATATGTATATTTCATGCCACACACTTTATATTATTACAGAGTTTTGTTAAAGCTGGAAGCACCTTGCCCCTGACTAACAGGGCTTGAGAGACTCAATAACTCTTTATTTTAACAGCTTATAACTGATATTATAAATGCTTTATAGTAAGGGATTTTAGTACATGACTATAGGTTATTTGTAATTGCTGCAGTTATTTTAAAAATACTTTTGTTGGTGAATTCACCTTTATTTCACTCTTGGTCACTTGCAGGGATTGGCAAGCAGTTGTCATCACTTGAAAAAGCATTTACAGAGCTTATATAATGTGACAGTTAGTGTGCAGACTATGGGAATGTGAAGCACGGGCACCTGTGAGGTCGTTAAAGTCCCTTGGGGCACTGGGCCTTTTGTAGCTGCCTATTTCCATAGGTGCTGCACACAAGCATGCATAAGATGTTCATGGAGGGACAGAGGAGGAAGCATGACCTGGTGATAAATATCATGGAGTGAATTCTGAAATAAACTCACATCTTTTTTTTTTAAACAAAAGTAGTTACTATGAAAACAACATGTTCTTATTAAAGACAACATATGAGAATAAATGTTACAAAAAGGTACCCTTGGTAAGATAAATGAAAAGGTATTTATGTAACCACTATTAAGAATTTGAAATATTATTTGCTTTCTTCCTTTCCTTTTCTTGCTGTTTCCTCTAATTTATATTGCTCATGACTTTGAAAAGTCGGAAATGTTCGCTAGACAATGTGTGGAAGTACAAGGAAGTCGGAGAGCAAGTGCAGGTTGGCTGAAAAACCTGGTTCAAACGGGAGCGTATGGCTCAGTCTGCAGGTGTGACAAGGGCTGGGGCGTATTGGACTAGAAAGGTATCAGTGGCTTGACCGGAGGAAGCCATTGAAGGATCTTTAGCTTAGAAGAGAAATGATAAATACAGATGTTTTAAAAAGATGCATTCATAAATTCTGATTCCCTTAAGATAATGGTGGCCACTTAACTTTGTTACATACCACACAGGCTTCCAAAATCATACAGGCTAACTATGAGAGTAGAGAGTTTAATCTGTAGCTCATGTTTAGCAGAAATGTGAGACAGAAAATACTGTGAACTTCAATTTACTGTAAGTGGGGAAAATATCCAAAATAACACAGTTAGCTCCAGAGCCAGGATGGTGCAGCAGAAGGAGATTGTCTTGGGATGCTGATATCATCCAGGTTTTGCACACAGAAGAAAATAATGCATCCTGTGAATGACTTGGGTAAGTAAAGCTTTGGGACATTGAAGGGACTTGTGGAGAAAGTACAGGTTGGAAGTGACGTTGGGGGAATGTATAGGGGCAAGGGGCACTGGTAAAGAGTTGGTGGCTCTAGGAGGCTTGGTTAGGAAGAAAAAGACAAAGTTGACCTTCCTGAAACATTATAATAACCATCAGAAGAGTCAGCCCACACCATCCCAAAAGGATGCTTTTCATTGAAGACATAGAACTTCATTGTGCCTGTAGAAGAAGGGACTCTTGGACTAAGAAACAAATTCCACCTCCCATCCTTGGAATAGGATTTCCTATTTGTACAGATTCAAGAAAAATAGCTCTTATTATTATGAATAGAAGAAACTCATCTTGCTGTCTCGCCCAGGCTAGAGTGCAGTGGTGTGATCATAGCTCATTGCAACCTCAAACTCCTAGGCTCACACAGTCCTCCTGCCTCAGCCTTCTAAAGGGTCGGGATCATAGACATGAGAGCCATCGTGCCTGGGCCAATGTAGTTATTAACAGAAGAAAACATAAGTGGGAAGCAAATTTTCAATTAATAAAAAATTTCTAAAAGCAAGGAAAGAAAAAACCTCAATGCAAAGTAATTCTATAACAGTGCAACAAGCCTGATTTAAATGTTACTAACCAAACAATGGTACTTAGGAAAGAACACCATAAATCAGACATTTAAAAACACAAGAATCAAAATGGAATAAATTTCTCAAGAATGTAAGAATAAAAGCTCAAGAATAAAACAGGATAACGTGAATGAGAAGGCTAACTGAACTCAGGAGAACACTGAACGTGAGCATCTGAGAAGGGAGGACCGAATCACAGCGTGCCTGTGGGGGATGCACAGTAAGAGATAGGGAGGTTGTAAAGAAGAGAGTCAAGGAAACGAGATAATCAAAGAGGTGAAAAGGACTAGAAGTTGATGGATGTGGAAGATTGGCAAGAAATACTCAACATGAGAGTCTTGAAACAAAATCATGAAATGGTTTGAAACATTGACAGCTCAAGTGTGTGTTATTAAATACAAGGATGTCTGAAGGTACACACTAAAAGGGCCCAGCATGCACGTGAGAAAACTCCAAGACGTGTAACTGCTGTCATATTTTACATATACAGGGAAAAATCCTTTGATCTCCCTGGGAAAATGACCAGCTCCCCACAGTTGGAAGGGGCCAGGTTGGTGTCAGTGTTCTCAGCATACGGAGCCATACAAGAGCAGCACAGCCTTTCCAGGAGGCTCAGGGGAAGAATGTGTGAGTGGAGTGTTTTGCTCCTTCAAAACTGTCCTGCAAGTGCCAATTCTGTGGAGAGCAGTCTCAAGCATACAGAGTTCAGGTGTGTTGTACACATGAGCCTTTTGTGAATAATCTTACAGAGGATTAGCTCTGCCTGGCTGATAGATGACCTGGGTGGAAGTTTTATGGTGAGCACTGAAGATCTAACAGACGTAAGAATAAAACAGTGGAGGGAGGATGGGTGGAAGATGGTACAGTGTATATGAATTTTATACGCTTCCTCTAATAATCAGCTGAAAAGCAGGAAGAGGAGGAGAAAATAGAAGGAGCTCATTGGTTGCTACGTGGGTGTTAAGGCAGTCAGAGACTATTGAAAGCTGACGAGCTCAATAGTAGCTGTCAAAGCAAGGAGAGTAGGATGAAGGCAGGCTACTGGGACAGTGGCAAAATGGTAGTGACCAGAAAATACACACCTCACCAAAAAATAAATTTGGTTTTAAAAATTAGACAACAGTTGATCAATTCATATGGCTAAAGATGCATAGTATGCAGGCTCTTTCACACAGAAAATTAATTGGATCAGAAAGCCTAAAGGAAAGATATATCAAGCAAATACAAATAAAAAGGAAACAGGAGTTGCAGTCTTGGTACTTAACAAGAATACCAGTATAGAATCGAGAAAGCATTTAGAATGAGGTGAAGAAAGATGCTATAAGATAATAAAGTCCGTCATAGGAAACTTTAACATCTACCTGCAGTTCCCAGTGGGTCAGGTGGACAGAAAGGTAGGAGAGGCATAGAAGAGAGAGCTCAGAACATGAGCAGTAAAATATATCATTTTAAATTTTTATTGAACTTTGTTCCCCAGTAATTTTTATTTGAGCATATATAGGGTGTCACCAAAAGTTGAACATACATTTGCTTGTAAAGAAATTTTTATTTCTATAACATAGAACTCATACAGACAATATTCTCTGATCACAATGCAATAAAATTGGTAAGCAGTAACAAAATCAGTGAATGAAACGACTTTCTGCCTGTAAATGTAAATATATTAATCAATTTTTGTATCATAGGAGAAATATAAACTGAAATTGGAGAATTTCTATAAAATATTGGTAATGGAGACACTGCATATCAGAATCTGAATCTGTTTGATATGTTTGGAAATAGGAAAATTTATAATCTTTATATATATATAGCAATAAAAATAAAAATGAAAATTAATGAATTAAATAAGTATATGACAAAGTGAACAAAAAGAGTGCAGAGGGAAGGAAGAACATATAAAGGTTAAGGTCATATAACTAAAAAATAGAACCTTAAAGCCATTCTGTTAGGGTGGGGATTTCAGAGGCCAGGTAATAAAAGGAGGTAAGTTTTTTAAAAAATACTGTGTGTTAAGTGATACAATATTGATTCAGAGTAAACTGTGATAAGTAAAGGTTGCATATAATAATTCTCAGAGCAACCACTAAAAAAAGAAAGAGGTCAGTAGAGGTGATGAAGTTAGATGCTAAAGTGGGATCAACTGGTTTCTTTCCCCTGAAAAAAGACAGGTGCAGGAAACCCAATACCAGGTGTGACAAGTAGAAAACAAAGAGCAGCAAAGAGCAAGATGGTTGACTCAGTAATTAAACGTCTCTGCAGTTAAAAGGCAGAGACTGTCAGACTGGAGAAAAACATAGTACCCCCGAATTCATAGAACTAATAGGCAACATAAAATCTACGAGAACGGATTTTTTCCTTCTAATCTATAGAATAAGGACATGTAGTTTATTAAGACTATAGAATATTAAAATAACATTAGGAAGGCACTTCAGCATATTGACAGATATTATTAAATGCAACAGCTACATAATACACATTTTTCAAAATCTCATGGAACAATCCCAACTATAGTTGAATATAAAACAAGTCTTAGTATATTTTTTTAAAATTGCAATTGTATATTCACTAATTACAATATGGAATTAGAAATAAATAAAAAATCTTTAAAATCCTCAGGTATTTGGAAATTAAACTCAAAAACCTAAGTTTAAAATTAGATGGTTTAAATCCCCAATTAAATGGACAGGAGTGTCAAGTTGTATAAAAAAGCAAGATTCAAATATATGGTGCCTATAAGAAAACACATTAAAAACACAGGTAAAAAGTAAAAAATAGATACCGTACCAACACTAATCAAAGCTGGAGTTACTTATAGTAATATCACACAAAGTACATTTCAGAACATAATGAGAAAAGGGTTTATTATGGAGACAAGTAAGCCCTAAACATTTATGCACTAATAACAGAGCTGCAAAATACGGTCATGAGTTGCTTAATAGTAGAGTTACATTCTGAGAAGTAAGTTAGACCATTTCGTCATTGTGCAAACATGATGGAGTGCACTTACACAAACCTAGATCGTGTAGCCTACTACACACCTAGGTTATATGGTGTAGCCTGTTGCTCCTGTACTTCAAACTTGTACAACATGTTACTGTGTTTAATAATGTGGGCAGTTGTCACACAATGATAAGTATCTGTGTATCTAACCATAGAAAAGGTACAGTAAAAAATGCTGTATAAAAGATTAAGAAATGATACACCTGTATAGAGTACTAACGACAAATGGAGTTTCCAGAACTAGAAGTTGGTCTGGGTGAGTCAGTGAGTGAGTGGTGAGTGAATGTGAAGGCCTGGACATGACTGCACACTACTGTAAACTTTTTAAACACTGTACATGTAAGCTACACTCAACCTATTTAAAAATGTTTTTCTTAAATAGTAAATTAATCTCAGCTTCCTATAACTTTAATTTTTTTTTTTGAGACAGTCTCACTCTGTTGCCCAGGATGGAGTGCAGTGGCGCAATCTCAGCTCACTGCAACCTCTGCCTCCCAGGTTCAAGTGGCTCTTCTGCCTCAGCCTCCTGAGTAGCTGGGATTAGAGTCACGCACTGCCACGCCGGGCTAATTTTTTGTATTTTTAGTAGAGATGGGGTTTCACCGTGTTGGTCAGGCTGGTCTCGAACTCCTGACCTCGTGATCCATCTGCCTTGGCCTCCCAAAGTGCTGGGATTACAGGCATGAGCCTGTAAACTCATTTTTACATACCTATAACTTTACACAAAGTAAATTACACAAAGTAATTTGTGCCCGGCCCTATAACTTTAATTTTTAAAAAATCTTTTTACTCTATTAATAACACTTAGCTTAAAACACAAACACATTGTACACCTGTACAAAAATATTTTCTTTATATACCTAGTCTGTAGTCTTTTTTAGTTTTTAAAAATTTTACTTTTTAAACTTTTTTTTGTTAAAAACAAAGACACAGCTGGGCGTGGTGGCTCACGCCTGTAATCCCAGCAATTTGGGAGGCCGAGGCTGGTGGATCACGAGGTCAAGAGATTGAGGAGACCATCCTGGCCCATATGGTGAAACCCCATCTCTACTAAAAATACAAAAATTAGCTGGGCGTGGTGGCACATGCCTGTAGTCCCAGCTATTCAGGAGGCTGAGGCAGGAGAATCACTTGAACCCAGGAGGGTAGAGGTTGCAGTGAGCTGAGATTGTGCCACTGCACTCCAGCCTGGTGACAGAACAAGACTACATCTGAAAAAAAAAAAAAAAAGAAAAATGCAGACACACACACACACACATTAGCCTAGGCCTACTCGGATCATCAGTATCACTGTCTCCTCCTACACATTTTGTCCTGCTGGAAGATCTCCACGTGTAATAACAGGCAGGGATTTGTCCCAGGATAACAATGTGTTTTTCTGGCAGAACCCTGGAAGGACCTGCCGGAGGCTGTTTTACAATTAAGTTTGTCTTTTTATAAGTAGAAGGAGTACACTCTCAAACAGTGATAAAAAGTATAGTAACACATAAACTAGTAACATAGTTGTTTGTTATTTAATATTATGTACTGTACATAATTGTATGCACTAGACTTTCATGACTGGCGGCCCAGTAGTTTTGTTTTCACCACCGTCACCACAAACACGTGAGTAATGTCTAATGCTATGACATTCTGATGGCTGCAGCATGACCATGTGGTAGGAATGCTTCATCTCTGTTATACTTTGATGGGGCTACTGTGGTTTGTGCCATCCACTGTCTACTGAAATGTTGTTATGTTGTACACGATTGTACCTGAAGCAGAAACTGTTAGAACTTCAAGGAGAAACTGACAAATCCATTATGATAGTTGGAGATTTTAATACCCACTTCTCAATAATTGAACAAATGAGTAGGGAGAAAATCAGTAAGGATATAGTAGAACACTATAGTGTTGAAGAACACTATTCATGAAGTTGACCCCATTGATAGATACAGGGACTTAAGGCAGCAGGATGGGTAGCTTACCCAGTGCACACAGAACATTTATTAAGGTATGCCAGAAAAAAGCTTAGGAAAAAAAAGGCAACTCATAAAATATGCTCTCTGACCAAGTGGGCTTCATTAAGAAATTATAATAAAGGTTTCTCGGAAATTGCCAAATATCAGATAATAAAGGATACATTTCTGAATATCTTGTGAGTAAATGTGTTTATGTCAGAGCAGAGGTGGAGGTGGGGACTGTCGGGGTCAGAGCAGAGGTGGAGGTGGGAACGTTGGGGTCAGAGCAGAAGTAGTGGTGGAATTGTTTTCATCAGAATAGACTTGGGTGGGGCCCTGGATTTCCAGGCCACAATGCTCAGTTGCCATTGAGGTTCTAGAGCCTGAGGCTCCCACACCCTTTTAGGAGCTGGTGCTGGCTGTTGCCCTGGCTGCTTTAGGACGGTCGGTTGGCCTCTCAGGTGCAAGTGCCAAGTGTTGAGCACAAACTGAATTTAGGAACGGGAATGGCTTCACCCCATGAGGCACAAGACGTGTGCTGATGGCCTGGTGATGGTGACCACTTGTGGGAGGCTGTGCCACTCAAAGAGAGAAACTTATTTGTGGTTTTCAAGCTAATTAAAGATACATTTACTTTGTGTAAATTACTTCAAGTTCATTCACACAGATAGCCTTTCATTGCCTTTGATGTTTTCTAACAGTTTTTTTCTCATTTTAGATATATCCATTCTGAAATCTGAATTATTTTGATGATAGTTCTTGATTTTTCTGTGTATTTTTCAAAAAGGAAGAGAATAAAGACATGATAAATAACTTGTTTATAATGAGAAAATGGAATTCAGTTAAATTCAAATTTATCAACTGGGCATTGTTAAGGAGTGGTATCCACTTATCTTCCTTTTTTATAGTGTAATATACATAAGACAAAATATCTTTTGTGTCAGCTTAAATACTTAAATAAGAATTAGAACAAATTGGCTGGGCATGGTGGCTCATGCTTGTAACCCTAGCACTTTGGGAGGCTGAGGTGGGAGTTGAGCCCAGGAGTTCGAGACCAGCCTGGGCAACATTGGGAGACCTAATTTACTTCTTTATTTTTTGAGATGGAGTCTTGCTGTGTTGCCCAGGCTGGAGTGCAGTGGCGTGATCTCGGCTCACTGTAGCCTGTGCCTCCTTGTTCAAGCAATTCTCCTGCCTCAGCCTCCCGAGCAGTTGGGACTACGGGTGTGCGCCACCAAGCCCAGCTAATTTTTGTATTTTTAGTAGAGACGGGGTTTCACCATATTGGTCTCGAACTCCTGACCTAGTGATCCACCCACCTCGGCCTCCCAAAGTGCTGGGATTACAGGCGTGAGTCACTGTGCCCAGCCCCTGATTTCTGATTTAAAAAAATTTTTTTTTTAATTAGCCTAGTGGGGTGGCTACAGCTGGAGCACGCCTGTAGCCTCAGCTATGTGGGAGGCGGATGTGGGAGGATTGCTGGAGCCTGCCAGGTTGAGGTGGAGCCTGCCCTGAGCTGTGATTGTACCACTGCACTGCAGCCTGGGTGACAGAGTGAGACCCTGTCCTAAAATATATATATATACGGAATTAGAGAAAATTAATTCAAGGTCCCTGTGGCAGTATACCCAGTATGCATGCTGATGCCTGTGCAGAATCTAATGGAGATGTGGCGCTGTGATGGTGTCTGCTTCCTCTTTCCTCAGATAATGTGAGAACAACCTAAATTACTGATTGTATAACCTTTTTCATTATGTGAATGATTGATATCGCTAATTTCACTTATTGTTCAAAATCTGTATGTATTGTCTTGGAAGTTTGGAGTTGTAAATTGTAGCCAGTTTTGAAGTATTAGCAGTATTTATAGTCCTTTAACATCACATTCCCAGTTAGTCATTTTGAGAATGTATTTTCTGCTGTAATTTCTTTTGCAAACCATAGCACACTTACATTGTTCATGTCTTCTTCAGCCAAAATACTCTCCTTCAAAAAAGCAAACCTCTGCTGTTTGTTAAGTAGGGTATGCTGTTGAGAGAACAGCATGAAATGGTAACATTTTGCATCCTCCCCCAAGCAGATTTTATCTGTTCACACTTATAGACCATTAAAGAGAAGGAAAGTGAAATAGAACATTTTAGAGATAATTTATTTTCAGTCTTCCCAGTCTTTATTCTGTGCTTCATGAGACTGGTAAAAAACTATCTTTTGGAATAATTTTCTCCATGTTAGAAAAATGTTTATAGTCAATCATCGCCATTCCAGAACTGAAAGAAAGATGCATAGATATTGTGTTTTCTTCAACATAAAATTGTGTTAGAGACAGAAACATTCATATGGAAAAATGGTCATAGAAAAGTAACAGGAAACCAGCTAAAATTTCTAAAATGAAATTATATAGAACCTTTTGTTTACATTTGAGAAACCCTTCTAAAATTTTTATGTTTTTTAATGCCCTTATTCTCTTGGACTTTGACATTAGGAGAAAATATAGTACTAAAAGATTGACATGCATCAATAATTAAACTTTCATATCAAGTGAATCATTAGGAAGAGTTTAAAGGGAATACAATTGTGTGAATTTCTACTTGGGTGGTGAAGTCACGATGGGCATCTTCAGGCAGGAGAACCGGGAGGAGCAGGTGCCTGATGCCTCATACAGGTGGAAGGCTTAGAGTAACAGCAGGCAGGAGGCCCTGGAGGAGCAGGTACCTGATGCATCATGGAGGCAGTAGGACGTGGAGGAGCAGGTACCTGATGAGCGATAGAGGCAGGAAGCTTAGAGTAACAGCAGGCAGGAGGCCCTGGAGGAGCAGGTACCCGATGCTTCTTAGAGGCAGGAGGGCGTAGAGGAGCAGGCACCCGATACTTCGTAGAGGTAGGAGGCTTAGAGTAACAGCAGGCAGGAGGCCCTGGAGGAGCAAGTACCTGATGCTTCATAAAAGGAGACTCAGAGTAACCACAGGCAGGTGACTCATTATAGCATCATGCTTGTGGGCACTGCAGGTGAAAGACATCTTGATTCCTGTGGATATTAGAAAAAGAATTTCATGAGTGTTCTTTTGTTTATTGGACAATGTTCATTGCCTATTCTGTGCTAGGTGCTAGGAAGGTAATACCCATAAAATATGGGATTAGAAACATGTCAATTGCTCTGATACAATAAAATTCTGAATTTATGGTAGATAAAAATTTTATTGCTTCAAGTTTTAAAATGATAAATAGGGAATTCAGTATTTGGCTTCTTAATGCCAACTGTATGCTCAATTGGCTGTGCCAACGCTGGAACCTCTAGACCCCCAGCAGGTAAAGGATATACCGTGTCAACCGTATCTGGGAAGTAGGAATGAGGATGTCTATCTTTTTTGTTTCTTCAACAGTGTTAGAGGATATATATCTTTTTTTTGTTTCTTCAATAGTGTTAAGCTGAGTTAGACTGTAACACCATTTGTTTGAATGAATCAGAAATTGCCCATTTCAGTGCAATCCTAAATTCAATTACAAAGTAGTCTAATCCATAGAGGCTACTTGCTTTTTCTTTAAAGTTGATATTTTGGTTGTTCTATCAAATCATAAAAGTCATAGGGATAACTCAGTTTTTCTGGATTGTTTATCTTAGCATTGAATAAATTGTATGCCTTTACTCTGAGCAGCTACTTTAGTTATAAACAAAGTAAACAAAAGGCAGTTTCCATCTGGTATTTTCTGTGGAAAAAACAAGAACAGTGTTGGAAAATTAAGTACTTGAATGTTCTTCTGTGTTTTAAAGCCCGTAATAGTGGTGTGTTAGCTACTGTGCAGGAGCTTAATTTCATTCCAGTGTATTTTGACATTGGTAAACATATTACCATTAGTATGAAACTATATAAAAAATAAAGCAGTTAAAGGTATAAACCACTTTTACAGCCCTCCTCCCTTCCTGATACAAATACTAGTATTACTCTTTTGACTCTTCCTTTTAAGTTCTTTTCCCTTGTAAACATGCAAATTTATATTGGGATAATATAATTCTCAGGTTTTCCACTTAAAAATATATATCCTTAGTATTTTGCATATGAATACAGGTTAATTATCAGATTTTTATAAGTTGTAACTGCTAAGTTCAGGAAAGCATGCAACATGTTGTACTTGATAAAGTGGAATTAATTGAAGGAAGTAATTCCTAAGGGACTGTAGAGTTAAAGGTATTTGTGTATCTGCAGAAATAGTAATTGGTCCATGCTGGAGTCAGCACATACTGTAGACAGATTGTTTCCATCCAGGCTGTGTCTGCAGGGCGCCTGCTCCTTAAGACCATTGACATCACTGAGAAGACCTCTTTGTGTCCTTTGTTGTGGCTGGCATTGCACTTGTGCCTACTGAGATCATATTGTAGATGACGTAACCAAGGTACTGTTTATTTAAATGCCAGTGTATATTTTTGAAATGATTTTTTTTTTCAAAGAAACAGCACTCCAGCTGTGTTGTAAACAATTCCCAGCATCATAGCCTTCATTCTCCCAAAGGCTCAGACGCTAAGGTCAGTCTTCAGGTCAGGCGGTCGCCTTCTTGTGAAGGGACGTGGTGGAAGGTTCATGATCCCCAGGGCCCTGAGAGTCTGACCCTGAGCTGCACCTGCATTGCAGGACACTTCCTAACTACTGGGCTTGCTATTTTGGGCATACAAGGCAACTGGAGGCCAAACGCCTTCCTCAAATTGAATGTAATTGAAAATACTTTAGTTACTAAATAATTGCCATATTAGGGGAAATATTTTGGAAACTGTTAGGATTGGTTTAGATTCTGTGCTTCACAAATAAACAAATCAAGTATATGAGAGAATCAGATATCTAGCAAATATCTTCCAAGTAATGAGCAAAACGGCCAAAATTACATCATCTGAAAGTGGTTTGATAAGTAACTAGAAGGAAAACACCAGTTACATAAACGTATTTTGTACATGCAGATTATTTTGGAAAATATGTTTTCAATTTCTTTCCTTTTCAAATTTGATTTCTTTTTTTTTTTCTTAAGGTATATCCTGATAGCAAATTATCATTTCATAACAAAATACAGTTTGTGGAGGGGGCATTATTTTACGGGAGACGCCCAACAGTCAGGACAGTGTGTGGCTTTTACCCTATCCAGATGTCGAGGTCACTGCCTCCCACACGGGACGTCTTCCCTGTGTTACTTCTAGATGCAGGGCTGTGGATGCATTCCTTTATTCTAGTAAGGCTTCCATTACCGAAATGTAGGCCATGACTTTACATTAAGATGAAAAATTCCCAGATTTTAAATTGTAATTTTCTTCTCTGAATATGAACATTGAAAGTGTAAATGTAAAACTAGACTGTACATATTGCTGTCGTGATACTGATGTGTGGCCATATTGGTTTGCTATCTGTTAAGGTAGTTAGCATCATATAACGTACTTGAATTTTGTTTAAGAATATTTCGTGTAATAACAGCATACTTTTTTTTTTTTTTCTTTGAGACAGAGTCTCGCTCTGTCGCCCAGGCTGGAGTGAAGTGGCGTGATCTTGGCTCACTGCAAGCTCTGCCTCCCGGGTTCACGCCATTCTCCTGCCTCAGCCTCCCAAGCAGCTGGGACTACAGGTGCCCGCCACCATGCCCAGCTAATTTTTTGTATTTTTAGTAAAGATGGGGTTTCACTGTGTTAGCCAGGATGGTCTCAATCTCCTGACCTCATGATCCACCCACCTCGGCCTCCCAAAGTGCTGGGATTACAGGCGTGAGCCACCGCGCCCGGCCAATAATAGCATACTTCTAAAGAGGAATTTAAGAGAAATACATTTTTAAAATATATGTTTATTTTTTAACAATATTCACAGAAGCATTTTCTCTGTCGTGAATACATGCACACTTAAAAAGCATTGCCCTTGTCCTTCACAAGAGATAGAGAGAGGAAATTATGCTATGCACGCAAAAGAAATGTTGAAGAGTTGACTTGTGGTTATTTCTGTGCTAATATTTTCTACTTTTCCAGGAGTGTTGTTAAATGATGTGTTAAAGATGTAGTTGAATACGCTAGGCATGCTGGATGCACCTGTAAACCTAGCTACTTGGGAGTCTGAGATGGGACGATTGCTTGAGCCCAGGAATTTGAGACCAGCCTGGGCAGCATAATAACACCTCATAAATAAATAAATAAATAAATAAATAAATAAATAAATATTAGAAGGTATAGTACTTTCATGAAAATTTAGAATTATTTCGTTTGTGTATTAATGTTAAGCATTGCAAGCAATTAATTGATTACAGGAGTTCTTTGAACTTGTACTTTCAATTTTTTATAGTCCCTTTTTTCTAACGTCTGTTTTGCAGTGCCTTTGCACTGCTGTTCACTTGGATTGAGCTTGTGGACCTGTTTCTAATACTGAGGTTATATAAGGTGTGAATAATGAACAATCATTTGACGGTTTTGTTTTCTTTTTGTCTCCCTGCACAGGAAGACAGTGACCCGCCCATTCATGAAAGTCTCAGCATAGAAAATACATTGTGGGCAAGCACCATTGTTGCATCAGGTAAGGAAAACATTCTCCTCTGAGTGTGATTGCTCCCGGATAGATGATGCTTTGTTTTGTCCAGGGACTCCAAACAAGGGTTTCTCACAGTGCCCTGAAATATTTAGGGACCTTGCTAAACGCAGACTCCAGCTCAGTGGGTCTGAGACAGTCCTGGGAGCTTGTGGTGAGGCTTGTGCTGCTCCTCAGACACTGCACGTGGTTCGCAAGGCCTGAGACAGGGAGAGGTGCTGCAGCCTTCGTGCAGGAGTACAGGGATATTCTGTTCGTCTTTGACCTGTTTCTTGACAAACTTGTCAGTGTTCCTTAATGAGAGGCACCACAGAAGAGCTTGGGAAGCCAGTGGTGATTTTAGCGCTTCTCAGTCATCCGACAAGGGTTGGCAGGAGGAGAGTGGCTGAAGTGACTGTGGAACGGAAAAGTATTAGAAGAGGCCAGGCGTGCTGTGAGAGGTAGACGATGTCAGATGATTACCATGTTATCAGGTATGAGTTGACATTGATGATGATGTTTGGAAGGAAGCTGATGAGAAATTAGGTGATGCTGAGGTTGATGCCAGGGAGGAAGTTTACCAGGAATGGGTTGGTATCGATGCTGGTGCCAGTAATGGGGCTTAGCAGCAGGGAGCTCTGGAAGAGAGTGCCCGAAAGGTGATGGCAGCCTGGAATGAGAGGCTAGATTGTTGGAGCTGTGTCTTCTCGGTGCTGCCCAGTGCTGGGTGCCCTTCTCTCCTGGATGCCACTCACTCCCCCATGCATGTGCATGGAGCACCTGTTCTCCACCAGGCACGGTGATTCAGTCTGGGGCAAGGCGGTTCCATATCCTGTCCTCAGGGAGCTTATGGCTTTGTGGACAGAGGTTAAGCAAGTGTTCTAGGTAATGTTGCTGTGCTAAGTATCACCAACACGTACAGAGAGTGCTGTGGACGGTTTGTAATTAAAGAAGCTTATAGGCCGGGCGCGGGGGCTCACGCCTGGAATCCCAGCACTGTGGGAGGCCGAGGCGGGCGGATCACAAGGTCAGGAGATGGAGACCATCCTGGCTAACACTGTGAAACCCCGTCTCTACTAAAAATACAAAAAATTAGCCGGGCGTGGTGGCGGGCGCCTGTAGTCCCAGCTACTCGGGGGGCTGAGGCAGGAGAATGGCGGGAACCCGGGAGCCGGAGCTTGCAGTGAACCGAGATCGCGCCACTGCACTCTAGCCTGGGCGACAGAGCGAGATGCCATCTCAAAAAAAGAAAAATGAAGTTTATATAGACCAGGTCTAGGAGCAGCTTTTCTGAAGAAGAAACATTTAACTTGGATTTAAAGAATATGCAGATGTGGCAGGATGAGGCAGGTGGCAGAAACAGTGTGAGGAGCATTCCTGCTAGCAGCCTAGTACTGAGAGACAGTACCTTGAAGAAAAGGATCCAAGGGCCAGTGTGCTAGGCCCATGGAGAAGGCAGGTGTCACACAACAGGGCAGCTTTGTGTGCTTGTGTTTAACTGTTGGCCTGCAGTATGCAAAACTAACTATACAACGAACTCCAGGAGGAGGACACATGTTAGCTTTTTGGATGATAGAATTTGAAAGAGGATTCATCTTATCCTAGTGTTTTGTGTCTTTAAAAAATGCTTGATGGGTATATGACAGTTTTAATAGGTGACAATTTTTGTGGGTGTTTCATGATGTTATTTATATATAAATTACATCTATATATAAATGTTACATACATATAAATGTTATGTGTGTGTGTGTATATATATATAAACATACGTATATAAATTTCTTAACATACAAAGAAAGAGAACAAGACAGTTTTCCATGAAGAGACTTCAGAGGTGAGCAGGACAGTTTCTGGGCTCTGTAGGCCTCGAGAGGGACCTCATGCCAGGAGGACTCTTCTGGGGTGGACAAGTGGGCCCTGAGCTCTGTAAGGGTCTTCACACCATGGGCAGGCACATTTAGCCAGGGAAACCTGCCCTCCAGCCTTCTTCATGCTGCTGCCTTGGCATTGCTGAGAGGCATGAGTGTTGCCAGCCTCTCCGCCAGGTGGTGAGTGTGGTCAGTGCTGGCCTGGCCTCACGCTGAATGGCTGCACTCGGGAGGTGTGTTCCCCCTGCCAGTTACCATAGAGCCAGGCTGCACAGGGACCAGAATGGAGTCCAGCTGTGCATTCCCTGAAAGCCAGTGTCCTTGAGTGCTCGGCCTTCAGTAGTTACACGAAAGCATTTATGATACAGGACTCAGAAGCTGACACATGGGGAGAAGACTTACATTTTCCATACATAGTTATTGCAGCCTGTTTCTTCCATCTCACTGATATTTGTTAATTAAGAATCATTCGTGAAGATAGTAATGCTTCCCTTTTTAAAAATAAATTTCATCTTTTTTTCCTGGTGCTGCATAAACATATATTAAATGTTGTTACTGATCCCTAGTACTGTTGATTTGTGACCCTTCTCCTGAGGGAGACTAAAGCTGCTTGAGCTAAAGGCTTTTGAGACATCCCATACGGTTCCCTGAACAAAGTTTTCTCTCCTGACCTCAGTTCTCTTGATGACCTTGGCAAGTGGGCCCGACTAGTTGGACACTAATGAGGCATCGTAACATGCCGGCCCCATCCTGTCCATTCTGTTCTCTTTGCCATCTAGCATTCAGTGTTGTGTCTTCCTAGTGGGCATGAAGACGGCTTTAAAACCATCCACTCGAGAAGCTTAATTAAGGTACCTTTAATGTTAGTTTGTATTCGAACATCTTTAAATGTAAGCTTTAATTTCAGCTCTTTTAGTACATACATATCTTTATTTAAAAGCCTTGTTAATGTGAACAGTTACACATTCTATATACCACACTGCTATATCCTAAGGAATGTTTGAAAGATTTTAAGATTTCCAGAGTAACCTAGGCACTCTTGTATTCTTTGTAATTGATTACAAGTTGAGAATTCCTTTTACTCTTATACTTTAAAAGTCGTATCTCAGTTGAATTCAAGTTGACTCTGGAGGGGAAGTGAACTCAGTGCTTCCTCCCCATCCCTAGAGTTCTGAATGCATGGGAACCGGGACTCAGGTTAGACACAGACAGGCAGATGCAGCAGACGAGAGGTGAGCCAAGGCAGGACACAGAGAGCCTGCTGTGCTGCCGGAGGTTTCACTTCCCATGTGGATCCAGAAAACTTGCTCTCTAAAATGCAGAACTGGGTCCTGGAGAACCATCGTGTTTATTATACTGATGAGCATACAAAGGAGTGTTCCTGATACTCAGCTGTCACAAAACTGGAAGGAAAGCTGGGCTCTCTAAGGCAAGGTTGACAAAAGTGTGACGGGGCTGTCAGAGGGCAATCCCTGGCCATGTGGACCCACGCCTGGGTGCGGGTCTCCTTGTCACTCAGTGGGCCAGCCGTGTGGTGTCTAGACCTGGGTGAGGGTCTTCTGTGTCTCTGTGTCTCAGCCATGTGGACTCTAGACCTGGGTGTGGGTCACCTGTGTCTCTGTGTCCTGGCTGTGTGGACTCTAGACCTTGGTTGGGGGTCTCCTTTGTAGTCTGTGCACCAGTTTTGGTCTAGGTTGTTTACATCCTGGGGCTCAGTTCACGGTCTTCATCAGTTTTCCTGCACTTGGTGCGTGGTTGGAGTTGTACGTGCAGTGCTCAGTGTCTGCCTTGCTATCATCGGGTCCAGCCCGGGAGCGCCTGCCCCAGGGAGCAGTGCACACTGGGGTTCTGTGGAAATTGGCTCCTGGAGGGCATCTGCGAGTTGGAGTGTGTTCCAGAGGCTGGTGTATGTGGCCCTGCCTGCTTTTGCTAACGGTATCTAGCAGGTTTTGGGTGTATAATTGAGAGTCAACAAATACATTGATTTGTTAATACCTCTGTCTCTCATTAGACACACATGAAATACATATTTACTTTTAGTAAGCATTTCACATCATTTTGATTTGATAACTTAAGGCCATTAATTGTTTTGTTAAAGTGGTCTAGGTTTTATATTTTGTGTTTTTAAATAATTTTCTATGAATCATCTTAATTAATTTGAATTTGTGAGGATTGGTTATCTGCAAATTAAACATATCAGTGGTTAGAAATAGCAACTAAAAGTATTGCAATAGGCCTATCATTTGAAATATTGAGTGGACTACTTGTTTGGAAGTGCTGGATTATGATTTCTGGTATAAACTAGAAATGTTTAAATAAAGGAGAGTATATTTTTCTACAAAATTTGACCTTGTTAGCATTCTTTGTCTTGCTTTGCAACATGGAAGTTGTTTGCTTAAAATACAACTGTAGTCAATTAGAAGGTGGTATAATTTTGCATGAAATTTTCTATATAGCCTGTAGCAAGGAAGGCACATAGTAACTAACAGAGTAATTATTATCCCACTCACATGAAATTGTGATTGAACAGAAGTTGGACATGATAGGGTTGGACTATAGAATGACTTGCAGACCATCCACATAGCAGCCTCTTTGAAGTAGGCTAAGTCTCGAGGGCCCTAGTCATGGGGTCTGTGGAGTGTAGGAGTAAATGTGGTCATATTTTATGCCTCCCTTTTTGGACCCAAAGCATCTGAATATTTAATATTAATTTTTACCTGTAGTCAATTTGAAGTGTGCAGTTATGGATCAGGCAAATGTAATCACTGGCTTTGAAGATTAAGTGCTCCTAAATCTTTTAAAATGTTGTCTTGGGATAAATGAAGTTAAATTTTTGATTTAATGATGAATACTGGACCACCATCATTTTTAGGGTCCTGTTAAGAACTGGTTTGTTGTTGTGGTTGTGGTTTTAATCTACCAACATGGTCCTGAACTCAGGTCTTTCTGATGTAGAAGTTTCTCCAGTTGGAGCGCGTTGTGAGGGAGGTGGATCTTGATTTTACACTGAAAATATGGGTTAAAGTTTTGGAATTCTTCTGTTTAAGTATTTCATTGAGTGAGAAATCTTTGTGACATTTATATTTGTCACATTCAGTCTCCTGTTATCTTATACGACACAAAATGAGTTTATCATACTTTGTTGCCCTCTCATGTCTCATTTCGCAATCCACAGTTAATCCCTTTCCTCTGTTTTGCCTTGTATACTCAGGTTTTACTCAGTCTTTTAGCCTATTGTACTTCATAAGTACATACCCTTTGTGAAAGAGAATGGAAAATGTCCCAAATATTTCTGCACTGATTCTAGTTACGTTAGATATTAAAAAGCATGACACTCAGAAAAATTCATTTAATCTAATTCTAGTAAGTGTTGATTTTTCATGAGAATCAAGTGAGAGAATACTTACGAGAGCCTTTAGCAAACTTTAACAGATTATACAAATATTGTACCAGGACCTCTGTTAAAAATGTATAACATATGCCTTGTTATGTATCACATTGAATTGAGGTACTGTGCATTGTAAGGCCACTCTAGAGTCCACTTTGCTCATCAGTCAACCTGCTTTCAGCTCAACGGTTTCTAGCTTGATTAATTCTTGCAAAGCCTTTTCTGAGATTTGCTCATTCTGCTAATGTTAAAAAATAAGTTAATTTTGCAGTTTGCCTTCTTACATCATTGTGATAATTTAACATTAGTGGGATGTTTATATTTTGATTTAAACTAGATTGGCAAAACAGAAAATACTGATCAGATGATATTTAATATTTAGCTTCACTGATGTGAAGTAATTCTATGATCTCCTTTTGAAAGCTTTTTATAGTATTGTATTATATATTTAATATTTCTCTGCGTAGTAAGTATAGTCATCTAATCTCAGAAGTTTATGTGGATAATAGTAATAAAGACGGCATTTGTGCATCGGGGAGCTTATATTCTAAGTGTGAGCTGGCCTTGCCTTTCATGAACTTTTACAAACTGAAGCCTCACACTTCTCAGTGACACTCAATTAAAAGAGAAATATATATAATCTCCACACATATCCCTGCTGGGGAATACTTCACATCTTCCACCTTCCTAGATTTTCTAGAGAGGAAGGTGTAAGCCATGTGATATGTATAATATGTAACATATCAAGGTTCACGAAAAGCCGGGAGTTCATATCAATCATCTTTACTTCAAAGAGCCTGTCTTATGATGCTCTGCATTTTACATGTTAAGTTAATGTGACATCAGAGTTTTCATATAATTATTATAGTTAATTCTGTAATGGTTGGTAATTGCACATTATGTGTATATACTTTCTCACCTTAATTGTGTTTCTCACCTTCAAAATTTACAAAAAATTAAGGATGAAAATTAGGAATATAAATTATATATGGCTGTAGTTTCAGAAAGAGATTTCCATGGTTTTTAATACTGACATTCTAGAGATAAGTGCCCTTTAGCCTTTGAAATCTATCGGTCATACCAAGGATATTTTATTATTCTTTTCTCTTAAATTTAAAAATTATTATATCTTTTTGACGTGTAAAAGAGAGTAATAGCTTCTAAATGCAAAGTCAAATACCGTTTTTTATAATATTTCTATTATTTTAATTGTACACATTTTGAAATATTAGCAAAGGCTGTCACTGATATTTAGTAATACTTTGATCTTTACAGTGGAAATACACTAAAAGAAAGTGGTTCATCTGGTACCATCTTTATTTGAAGGTCAAAGGACAAGTTTGATTAGTTAAGGATATAGCCTCTTAATTGACCTTCAGTGATAGAACCACCATTTTAGTAGACAGTAGTGAAAGGCCATTGTCATTATCTCTATTGTCAGTGAAAAGAATATTAGTACGTTTCCTAATGTTATATGTGGGTACATTTGTATTGCTTAACAAATCATTTGACTTTTTCAAAGTCCATTTTTAAAGTTGAGATTAGATTTTCTTGAATTAGCCAAATTAAATACACTGTTGGATAAATTTATATAAAATCAAATAGTGTGATAATACTTTCCATCAAAACAATTAATTAGAAAGTGTTATCTTTTACTCATCTTTAAAGTATTTCTACAAGGACCACTTTCATGTTTTTGCAGGTACTGTAATAGGTGTTGTCATTTATACCGGAAAAGAGACTCGAAGTGTAATGAACACATCCAATCCAAAAAATAAGGTAGGCTAGATTGAGGAGCAACTGCTTTAATGAACTTATTTTTCCTTTCAGTAAGAAAGTCTGCATAGTTCTGAATAGCTCATTCTTTTGGCTTAACATATATCTTAAAGTAGACTTTCAAAAATGTTGGTGACTTACAATATGAATTCTCCGTATTTATATAACAACATTCTCATACTGGCGAATTTCCAAAAGTATCATTGCTTGGCTAATCAGTTTTATATGTGTCTTAAATTTTCATTGTCAGATATATAATTTGCCCGTAATTTGACAGTTAATTGTGGCTAATTTCTTATCTTCAGTCTACTTATTTTACAATTTGCACTCTTTTATGTTGATGGTTCATTTTAAAATAAAGCAATCTGTATTAATGTTTTTATACTATTTAATTTGATGTTACAGTATTAAGCCAGTTTTATTTATTTCCATGTCAGAAGAAGCATATTGAAGCCAAAGATTAGTTTTAAAGACCGCTTGATTATATCCTGAATTGATTATATTTCTAAAATTGTTATTTATGCATCCAACATGTGTGTAAAATCATAACAAAAAGTCTGAATCCTCAGTAGTTGCTATCATCATGATACCATATGTGAGATGAATTCACAGTATGTGCTAATGTACAGTTAATGAGAAGCTCTTCCTAAGTATTGATTTTACTCATTTTTATTTAAAATGTAATTTATGTGCATTTAGATGAAACAAAAAATCCTCACATGGATTTATGCCTCACTCTGTGGGTAATTAATAGTGAAGGTTATCTTTTGCTGTCTTTTTCTGGAAGTCTTATTAACGCAGTGGAAATCAAATAATTCTTTGAAAAGATAGGCCAAGCGTGGTGGCTCACGCCTCTAATTACAGCACTTTGGGAGGCTGAGGCAGGTGGGTCACTTGGGGCCAGAAGTTTGAGACCAGCCTGGCCAACATGGTGAAACCCTGTCTCTACCAGAAATACAAAAATTAGCTGGGCATGATGACGGGTGCCTGTAGTCCCCACTACTCAGGAGGCTGAGGCAGGAGGATAGCTCAAACCCGGGAGGTGGCGGTTGCAGTGAGCCAAGATCGCACCATTGCACTCCAGCCTGGGCAACAGGGTGAGATTCTGTCTCAAAAAAAAAAAAAAAAAAGATATATTTGAGCAAGATGTATTCCATTTTTTCAGGTAAATGTTATTTTAAAAATGGTTAACTCTTCAAAAATTAGTAACATATCACCAACCCTATAAAGTCCTAGGCCGTTTGCAGCAGTAAGTAGAGTGAGGCCTTCTGTGTCGATTGTTTGCTTGTTCACTGGGGCATGCCTTGAGAACGCCCTTAGCTGTGCACACGGAGAATCCAGTGTGCATCTCCTGTACCTGATAGAACCCCAGATATCTGTGTGTTACATGTTTGCTAAAGTCAAAGAAGAATGCTGCGTTACTATTGAGTATAAATCCTAATTGTGATAATGGGGAAAGTTATCTCTTTAGACTTACATTGCAGTTTGACTCTAATTTGCATTTCAAATATATGCAAGTCAGTAGTTCTACAATAGTGTTACAATTATTTAAAAATAAATTATTAAAGTAATCATATATAGAGTTAGAATCACATACGTATTTATATGTGTTTTCTGATAAGTGCTATGTTATTTTTTTCATGTGAGCAAAACTAGAACATCTTTTTTTTTTGAGACGGAGTCTCACTGTGTCACCCAGGCTGGAGTACAGTGGTGCCATCTTGGCTCACTGCAGCCTCCAGCTCCTGGGTTCAAGCGATTCTCCTGCCTCAGCCTTGCGAGTAGCTGGGATTACAGATGAGCACCACCCCACCTGGCTAATTTTCATATTTTTAGTAGAGATGGGGTTTCACCATGTTGGCCAGGCTGGTTTCAAACTCCTGACCTCAAGTGATCTGCTCGCCTCAGCCTCCCAAAGTGCTAGGATTACAGGCGTGAGCCACCGCACCCGACCACAAAACTAGAACATTCTAATGTATGTACAGTTCTAGGATTTTTTTCCTAAATGTTACTTTTGCATTTATGATGATATTTGAGGGTAAATTAATTTTAAATATGAATTTAAAATCTTTAAAGCTACACTGCCTTTTACTGTGATTCCTTTTTTAGCCCACCTTTTTCTTCAGTTCAACTTATTTTCTGTCATTTTTTCATTTCAGTCTCCACTTTATTATTTCTTCCCATCTATACACCTGTTACTTTTGGCTCGTCAAGCTCTTTACTCAGGGTCTTGGTTCTGCGTTGGAGCGGCCTCCTAGTTTTGCAAGCATGGTTTGGAATGTAGCCCTGAAGCCTCGCTGCTGGGTCTGTGTCCAGGCCTTGGTGCACACTCGTGTGTCCCTCAGCCTCTTCACCCTCTCCACCCTCCCCTCTCTGAAGTGGGCTTGCCAGGAACAAGGTCATGCTCATGCACACGTTGCTCTTAGGAAAGTACTTGCTACATGACAGATGCTCAGTAAATGTTAGCTGTAATTTTTATTTTTCTATAAAAGGAAAGGTTTTCAGTGTGGTAATTTTTCAGCCCTACCCTGATTGCTAGTCAAGAAATGGTCATTTTGTAACTAGTTTGTGCAAGGCAGGAGGTTCTGTACTGTCAGCTACCACGTGGCCTAGAAATTCTTCCAGTTTCCGCTGTGTGGGCATTCCTTCTCTCCCTCTTCTTTTCTTTTCCCTGTTCCTCTCTTCCTCTTCTCCTTTCTTAAAAAATAGTCTTCTAAATTTGCTTATTGTTGGCAGAATATATCTCATAATTGAAAGGGTGTCTTTGGAGTTTTACAGAATTGGATTTACTTCTTGCTGCTTACCATGTTAGCTTTTCAACCTGATGTAAAAGTGTTCTTTCAGTGGCTGGTATTTTCCTGGTGATTAATACATGCTGAGTCCTCCCCTCCCAATAGGGATTCACGATAGCGGTTCTAGCTCCAGCTTGGAGAACATTGACCACATGGTAGGCACTTGTCTAAAACTCTACGTGTATTATGTCTTGAATCCACACGATGGCTCCCGGGGAGAAGAGTGCGTTCCCGACTGTAGAGCCGGGGAGATCACAAGGCATGGAGCCGTGACACGTCTCAAGACAAAGCGCTGCTGATAGTGAAGCTCCTGAGGACGTTTTCCTTAGATTTGGTATTTATTTCTTTGTTTGTTTATTTATTTATTTATTTTTTGAGACAGAGTCTTGCTGTGTTGCCCAGGCTGGAGTGCGGTGGCGCAATCTCGGCTCACTGCAAACTCCGCCTCCCGAGTTCACGCCATTCTCCTGCCTCAGCCTCCCAAGTAGCTGGGACTACAGGCGTCCACCGCCACGCCTGGCTAATTTTTTGTATTTTTATTAGAGACAGGGTTTCACCTTGTTAGCCAGGATTGTCTCATTCTCCTGACCTCGTGATCCGCCCGCCTCTGCCTCCCAAAGTGCTGGGATTACAGGCGTGAGCCACTGCGCCCCGCCAGATTTGGTATTTAAACATCCAATTAAGACATAACATAACAGGGAAATGAAATATATACTTAAATATTTCTGAGTGTTAAATGCTAGTTTTACAAGAATAAAATTCAGGAGAAGGTTTTGAGCAAGCTACACTGGGCGAAAGGTAACATGTAATTTATCCAGGGGAAGCCTCGGTATTGATACATGTTGAATGGAAGAGAATTGTGACATTGGTCTCTGAACAGAGACGGAAAGGTGGAAATTATTGTTTATTGCTGGTAAGACTGTTTTCTGACGGTGACATCACAGTGTTCTTCTGTTGCTTAGTAAACCAACAAACTTTTGGGCTTCAAAGAAGGCTGGTGCAAACAAAACGGTAAACATGTACAGGGGAAATCTCATCTCATCCTTTACCTGAGCTTTGTTGGATTTCTTCAGGTAGCAAAAATGTTTCTAACACTCAATTCTGACAGCTCTCTGAGTAGAAGCCATATTGGGACATTGATACATTGGAGTTCGTCGTCAGCAGAGAAATTGAGCTGCAAATACATATTTTTGAATGAGTAGTGGTTATCGGTCAGGATAGGCTGAGTCATGCTCTGATAATAAAGTGCCTCATACTCCGCAGTGGCTTCCCCAGCGTTGTGTTTCTCATGTTCCAGGTCCGGCCAGGCTGGCAGCTCCTGCTGGTCATGTTTTCCTCATGTTCTGTATCTGGCACAGGCTGGCAGCTCCTGCTTCTTGTCATGTTTTCCTCGTGTTCCATGTCCGGCACAGGCTGGCAGCTCCTGCTTCTTGTCATATTTTCCTCGTGTTCCGTGTCTGACGCAGGCTGGCAGCTCCTGCTGGTCATGTTTTCCTTGTGTTCCAGGTCTGGCCAGGCTGGCAGCTCCTGCTTCTTGTCATGTTTTCCTGGTGTTCCATGCCTGGCACAGGCTGGCAGCTCCTGCTTCTTGTCATGTTTTCCTTGTGTTCCTTGTCTCACGCAGGCTGGCAGCTCCTGCTGGTCATATTTTCCTCGTGTTCCGTGTCCGGCACAGGCTGGCAGCTCCTGTTTCTTGTCGTATTTTCCTTGTGTTCCTTGTCTGATGCAGGCTGGCAGCTCCTGTTGGTCATGTTTTCCTCGTGTTCCGGGTCCGGCACTGACTGGCAGCTCCTGCTTCTTGTCATATTTTCTTCGTATTCTGGGTCCAGCGCAGGCTGACAGCTCCTGTTGGTCATGGTCACTCAGGGCCTGTCTTGGAAACACATTTCCATGACCACTGGGATAAGAAAATACTGATGTGGCCAATTACATACTGACTGATTCTTAAGGCTTTGCGAGCGAGTGATATGGGTCACATTTCATTGGCCAGAACAATTAAAAGGCCTTGGCCAAGTTCAAGGAGTCAGGGAGTTGCACTTCTAGCTCGTGTGCAGAAGGAGGGAGAATTGGAAATACTTCATGAGCAGCAACAGCCACGAACAAGATTTCCCAGGGCTTTTACACAGTGTACGAAAAAGAGGAACCTTGCAGAACCCGGAAGAATACCAATATTTAAGGGATAAGGAGAGGAAGAGAAACCAGGATAAGAATAATGAATGAGGAAAGCATTTTAGGGAGTGGCCAGTAGTCAACAGTGTGCTGGGGACAGAGAAGATCATTTGGAGTGAAAAGTAGAAAAGAGGTTGGTAATTTTAGCAACGAGGAAATCTTGGTAAAATTAAAACTGACAGTACGTTTATTAGGGTGGGACTCAGGTGCAATCACAGCTGGAGGACTCTTCCAAGGGTTTGGGGGAAGGAGAGAGTGCTGTGTTGAGGGAGCCGGGTCCAGGGTGAGGGAGAGGGAATTCTGAGCATATTTACCAGGCAGCCCAGAGCATGGCGGTGGCAGTGCTGATGAGAAGTGGACTGATTGTGCTGTAAGGGAAGAGATTTTATTGATTTTGGTTTTTTTTTTATGGTGAGAAAAATCCATATCACAAACCTATTAATGTTTTTAGTAAAAGAATAGGGGGTCTTACAAATAAAAATATTAATCATATGGAAGAATAAGTTTAGTGGGCATCCAGTAGTAACTTAAACAGGATAAGATTACTGAAAAGAAAATCATATAGAATTACATGGCCACCACAGGAACTATGGCATTACTTCTTTCATTTGTAGAAAATATTTCAAGTCTATCAGTATGTCACTCTTTCTGTCTCCCTCCCCTCTTCTCTTTCTTTCTCCTCCCTCTCCTTCCGTCCTTTTTTCTCTTTATATTTATTTCCTTTCTTCATTACAGTGTGTATAGCAGGACCCTGACAATTCACAAAATTGCTTTACGTTCCTGAGGTTAAAAAATGCTTCAGTAAAATCTGATATAAGAAAGAAGTTAATCACAACAACACTTTCGGTAGTGAAATTGATGCAACATGGTAAGACTTTGAGACAGTTCTTGAAGGGCTCAAGAAGACGAGAGCCTAACAATTTAGGCTCATACATTGTTGGCAATGTGAAGGATCCAGCTGTTGTTGGGAATCTTAAATTTAAAATGGTGCCAGTAACCAGGATATGGCTGTTCTGAGGCTGATGTTCAGGAGCCCCAACGCAGAAGCAGAGATAGGCTGCTGGGCTGGTGCAGAGGTTTGCATGTGGACATGTAAGCAGAGAAGGCAGGGACAGCCGGTCGTGATGGTGGATGGCAGTGAGAGGGCTCCTTATGGACAAGGAGTTTTGGAAGCAAAGTAGTTATTGGTGGTAAGACTTCGAGTACAGTGATGAAAATGAGTTGTTGAAGTTTGGAGGCTGTTACAGACACTGGATTATCTAAAATTATAAGCTTTTATATAATATTTTGGAGAGCATCCTTTCCTTCTTACAAATATTTTCTGCCAGGTGCAGTGGCTCACTCCTGTAATCCTAACATTTAGGGAGGCTGAGGCGGCCGGATTTCTTGAGCCCAGGAGTTCGAGACCAGCCTGGGCAACATGGCAAAACCTGTCCCTACCAAAAAATACAAAGATTCCCTGGGCGTGGTGGCATGTGCCTGTAGTACCAGCTACTCAGGAGGCTGAGGTGGGTGGATCGCCTGAGCCTAGGAGTTTGAGGCTACACTGAGCCATGATTGCACCACTGCACTCCAGCCTGGGCAGCAGAGTGAGACCCTGTCTCATTAAGAAAAAATAGATTAATTAAAAAAAATACAGCCACTATTGTAGATTGTATGTCAAGGCAAATTGAGCATCATTTCACATTTTCTAGGTTTATCCAGTAATTGATCTTCTAGGGAGACAAGTCTTATATTCGGTTGCTTGTAGATCTCTTATGTAAATTCAATTTAATAAATACCACATTTATAGAGTTATCTTCTTTATTCCATGATGCAGCAGTAAGAAAGAAGAGAGTGCCCTTTTCTTTTCAGCTGGAGCTGTAGGATGTCACGCCCTCTTGCTGGGCCCTGCTGCCTCTGACTTGCTCTCTTCAGCCTTTGGGCCTCTTGTGCTTTTGCCTCAGTATCTGCAGCGTCCTCTCCCGTTGCCCTCTACTGTAGGTGTGGCCTAGACTAGGAAGTTCCTGGGATATAATTGCCTTAAAAATCATCCACATAATCCCTGCTACATAGAATGGTTAAGCAATTGACATTTTCCAATGTGTTGCTGTTCCCTGACTCTAGCAGAGGGTGTAAAGCCCATAAGACTGTGTGGCCGAGACCAGGCCTTGAGTCCTTGGTACCTGTTGTTAACCATGTGCAAGTCCCAGTGCTCCCTGTTGGTCTTCAGCCCCTGATGGGCCCTCACCACCTCCACCACCGACTACCCCCGAGTCATCCCAGCCCCACCAGAGGCTTCATGTCCTCCTGCAGGACATGAAGGAGCATCCTCAGCTCCTGGAAGAGCGCCAGCCTCCTGCAGCCATCTGCTTCCACAGATTCAGCTGATAAGGAGGACTTGCCCCATCTCAGCTGCAGGTTCATTGAGGAACAGTGTGTGTTAGTACTTTCAAAACTATCAGGCTGGGCACAGTGGCTCGTGCCTGTAATCCCAGCACTTTGGAGCTCAAGGCAGGCAGATCACTTGAGCCCAGGAGTTCGAGGCCAGCCTGGGCAACATGGCAAAATGCCCTCTTTACAAAAAATACAAAAATTAGCCGGGCGTGGTGGCGTGTGCCTGTATTCCCAGCTACGCAAGAGGCTGACGTGGGAGGATCACCTGAGCCCAGGAGGCATAGCTTGCAGTGAGCTGAGATTATGCCACTGCACTGCAGCCTGGGTTACAGAGCCAGACCCTGTCTCAGAACAAACAAACAAAACTCCACCTATCCTCCCAGAGTTAAGTTGATGTATGTTAGGTATTTAACTAGTTTTATTAATTGCATTATAAAGGCTTTTTTTTTTTTTAAACTTCTAGTTCTCCTCAGCTAACATCCCCAAACTTCTTTGGCCAATTTTTTTTTTTTTTTTGCCTTTATTTTGGCCAATTTTGTTCTTTTTTAGCTGCTTTAAAAAAAAAAAAAGAAAGAAAAACTTATGAAAAATTTTAAACATACAGAAAACTAAGGAGAAAAGCATAACTCATATCCCTAGACCCTGAGTTCAACAGACATTTCCCACTTGCCTATCCTGTAGTTACAGGTACCATGCTGCATTATCCTAAATATGTACTTTTTCCAAAAAATAATTTATATTTATCTCTTAGTCTTTATCTTTTATTTTTTTAGACAGGCAGAGACCACCAGCCTGCCCAATATGGTGAAACCCCGTCTCTACTAAAAATGCAAAGAATTAGCCGGGCGTGGTGGCAGGCGCCTGTAAACCCAGTTACTCAGGAGGCTGAGGCAAGAGAGTTGCTCGAACCCAGGAAGTGGAGGTTGCAGTGAGCCGAGACCGCACCACTGCACTCCAGCCTGGGCAACAGAGTGAGACTCCATCTCAAAAAAAAAAAAGACACTTTGGCTGCTGCCTTAACTCTCTTTCTTGTTTCTGTGACGCCTGGTTGTCCCCACACTCTAGGTGAAGTGGTGTGTAGAGGGTGGCCCCACGTAGGCAACATCAGCAGCAGAGCTACCTGTATTGATCCCACCCCCTGGAATGGGACCTGAGGACGCAACTTCCTGGTTCTCCTCCCTGGACTTTCAAAAAATGCAGCATGTTTTATCCAGACATGAAGATAAGAATAAATCCTTCCATTTTGTTAGATAGAGGAAAATTCTGAGATTAAAAAGAATTCTTGAAGGTGAGGATTAGAATATTTTCCCGCCTCCTAGTGCTTATGACAGAGAGATTTAAAAGAAGATGGAGTCTACTCAAAGTTTGAAAATTTTAAGACTAAACAAAAGTTTTTATTACTAAGGAATTACTATTATATTAGTATTTGGTGAAAGTTCAAATTACAAGGACTACAGTTTGAGTAATGGACTCGTTTATAAAAGCCAGCCTCAGACATATTTAATGATATGAGACTTGATTACATTTAAGGGAGAAAAATTCTTGTGGAGGTTAAGGAAAAATCAATTGTGACAGGTTGCCATTTTCATGCCATTCATAATAATCAGTTACTCAGAGCAAGAACATCAAGGATGAAATGATAATACAAATTGCTTCAAGCAGTTATTGTAATCCCTTGGGTATATTGATTTGTGTATCTAATAAAAAGATGCTTTCAGATGTCTCATTGGCAGAGAGATAGGTGACATGAGCCATTATGAGAATTAGAGCTGGTGCTTGTTATCTGAATAGTTGTTGAGAAATTTTGAGATCATGGAACAAAATAGAGTCCAGCTGTGGTGTACTTTGCAACTTGAAATATCAAAGCAGTTTTGGAGACTAGCTTTCTTGTTTTAAAAAAGATAATTTATTAATATTTTAAAAGTTATATTGATTTATATTAAAATATTACAATAAAATAACTTATTTTTATCTTTTCTTGTAGTTGCATACAATCATAGAATGCCTTAATTTTTCTAACAGTTGCTTTCTTGTAATAAAATACCGTAGAGTTTAAATACTTATTTTAAAATGTGCCCATGTGCTTCACCAAAGAGCTACATATTGTAGAACATATTAGTAGTATTGCAGTAAATCAACAGAGATAGAAAGACTCTTGGGATGCTTTTTTTGGGATAACTGTTGTTAATATTCACAAATCATAGTGTTTCAGTTCCTCATCAGGAAAAGATTAACTAGAAAACAAACCCACCATGACATAATTCTGTAGCTTCTAGACTAGACCCAGGGTGGCTCTTTGGGGTACATTAGCACAGCCTTCACTTGCATACCCGGCACACTTTGATATGACAGCTGCTCACAATTAGAAGTTGTAGTTCTTCATCTGCAGTGTGAACATAAATAAACTTATAATTTCAGGAAAGTAGTAAAGAAACAAAATGCTAAGTGTTGAAAAAACAATCCTACTGATAGCATCTGGGGCATAATGCTCTATCAGAGTGTATAGCAAATATCTAAACTAGAAAACTTAGATTTTGTCCCTAAATTCCTTTTAAATATGAATTTAATTAGAAAACAGGTGCTCCAAATAAAAAATGCAAGCATTTTTATTATTGTAATTGATTTCTATCACAGAAAAGACTTAGTTAGCTTTACATAAAGTTCTGAATAAGAAGGGCTTACTAATTATTTGTTGCATATTAAATAAGAACTATATTTGACAGTATCTCATCATTTCTAAGCGGTATAGCTAAATTCTCTGTAATCAAAATTCCTAACAGAGAAGTGTAATTTATTCAAGAAGCAAGTATTTTCATAATTGTCTTTATTTTTTGAACTCCTTGATTCCTTACCCCTGTGCCATAAAAGCTGTTAGAAATGTATGGACCTTGTGATAATGATTGACTTATGACATTTCCTGCAAAACTAAGCATGTCTCCCTACCAGATCATGCCCCGTGATTTCTGACGAGGCGATCTGGAATGTCTCGTGAGACTGAGAATGGGAAAGTGCTGGAACCTCTGTGGGGTGGAAAGCAAGTGGGCATGTGGATGGTGGTTATGTAGTTGCTGAAGATGGAGAAGGGAGAGTCGGTATCACCTTCCCCAGGAGGATTTCTGTGGGCTGCCAGACTAGGGAGGGTCTGGGGTTCATGGACATGCCCTGTCTCATGCAAATGGATTCCCTTTGTGGCTACCATACATCAAAAACAGGTCACGTGTGTGCTGTGTGTTCAGAAGCCAACTTCACCAGGGACACCTTCAAGCCAGCAGCCAGCTAGCAGGGCAGGTCCCTTGGTTTTCTAATTGTCGCTGCCAATGTCTGTTGGAACAAGGCTCTCTGCTGAGCATGTGTGCCATCTCCTCTGCACCCTCCTGTTATCCTCCCTCCTTAGGCAGAGAGAAACCCTCAGTGTCTACTCAGGAAAGCACCAGCTGCTCCACCCTGGGCAGGCCGTGTAGGGTGCTTGTCCTTGGGGGGTTATGGCTGCAGCTAGGAAACACCAGTGGAGAAGGAAGCCCAGGCCAAGTGCAGCCTTCCCACTGGGAGAAAAGGGCGACCTGTCTCCAGCAGCTCCCAGGAACCACGACCACAGTAACACAAGCACTGCTTCTTGTCAGACAGGAAAGTCTGCCAGTAGGGACTGTGTTATCCTGGTCTACATTGTATCTTAAGCCTCTGACACAGTGTCTGAATGATTTTCCTTAAGGCATAGTTTGTGTTTTATTTCTCTCTACAGTTATCTTTATCTAGTGATAATTTAAAACCTTGACAAATCTGATTTTGACTTATTCATCTTTTCATACAGCTGATGGGATATTCTGGATGCTAATATTTTGTTTAATTTTATTTTATTGACATTAGAGTAGAAACTGTACCAAACGCTCTCTTTTACAATTGCATTAACTAAAACATGTATATAATAAGCTAAACATGAAATTAGATAGTTTTTCATTTCCTTTATGCAGTTAGTATTGTCAGCTGATAATTACCTGTTGCAAAACTTTAAAATATATCATCTAAGAGTTTTTACACTATAATGAGATATTAACTCCAAAAGATTAAGTAAACTGCAGTAATCAACATTCATGCAGCACTCCCTATCCCTCTAGGCTTCCTCTACCATGTCTTCATCATGGGGACGTCCTTTCGAAACCATGTTTTGGCCCCGCAGTTGTAGGACGGCCACTGTCTTCAGCGTCTGAGTGACTGCTGGGTCCCGCAGTCGCAGGGCGGCCACTGTCTTCAGCGTCTGAGTGACTGTTGGGTCCCGCAGTCGCAGGGCGGCCACTGTCTTCAGCGTCTGAGTGACTGTTGGGTCCCGCAGTTGCAGGGCGGCCACTGTCTTCAGCGTCTGAGTGACTCTTGGGTCCCGCAGTCGCAGGGCGGCCACTGTCTTCAGCGTCTGAGTGACTCTTGGGTCCCGCAGTCGCAGGGCGGCCACTGTCTTCAGCGTCTGAGTGACTGTTGGGTCCCGCAGTCGCAGGGCGGCCACTGTCTTCAGCGTCTGAGTGACTGTTGGGTCCCGCAGTTGCAGGGCGGCCACTGTCTTCAGCGTCTGAGTGACTCTTTGTTCCCAGGGCATCTTTCTATTCTTGGCTCCCCCATTGTCATCACTGCCTCCTCCTATGGCAGCATGAATTCTACAAGGGCTCTCAGGCCCTTCAGCTTCCCTCCTTTCTGGCAGCCTCATTCAGAGTCCATAGTGCAGAGTTCAAGCTCCTGTCATTTCTCACCCAGTTCACGACAGTGGCCGCTCTGCCGCCCTCTCTTCCTGCTCCCTCCATCATGTTTTGGGTGTCACAGCCTGAGTCATGTTTATGAAATGTAGGTTTGATATGGTTCGTTCTTTGGCTAAAACTTCAAAAGATTCCCATTGCTCTGTGGCGAGCCCCAGCATCTTCCTTGTGTTCCACGGGTGCTTTGCTCCTCATGCGTTTTTCTCAGACTGCTGTCTTCTGCACTCTTGGTGCTTGGCCACAAAGACTTGTCAGCCATCTGTGGCCACCACAGCGCATCCTGCCTTTCTGTCTCAACTCTTAGGAGAGATGTAACAAAATGTGCAGGTAGATGTCGCCTCTTCCACTGAAATGTTAGCTTCTTGGCTTTGAGGACTCTGTTTACCTTGGTATTCTGGTGCCCTGCACAGGGTCCCTGCTCAGTGAACACTGGTGAGCACATGAGTCAAGCCATGATAACCGTTTGCTTAGGTGCCTCATCTTCCACGAGACTTCCCACGCCCTGGAGGCAGGAGCTGTGCCTTCCCCCTTCCTTTGCCCCATGCTGCTCACCCGCAGTAGATGGGGGACAGCCTACACAAGAAGCCAGGAGGATCTGAAGAGGACTCAAATGAAAATAACACACAGTTTGTGTGGGGGAGGTGGACTTATCTTTAATAAAAATGGAAAGTTTGCAGTGCTCTACGGGATAAGTGCTCTGGTAGCGTAGAGACTGTAGCAGGCTATGAAAGGAGTGCACATTGACTGACACCCGCTGTGTGTTGGGCCCTATGTACTAGGCACTGACTGAACACCTGCTGTGTGTTGGGCCCTGTGTACTAGGCACTGACTGAACACCCACTGTGTGTTGGGCACCATATACTAGGCACTGACTGAACACCTGCTGTGTGTCGGGCACCATATACTAGGCACTTCTTGCATTGTCGTATTGTGACTTGTGGTTTTCTCTTTTTTTGGTGGGCTATAACCTGTTACTTTCCTTGATTGACCTTTACATTGTCTCCTCTCTGTCTTTAAGCTTTAAGCTGGCCTCTCTGTCGTACTATCATGAACCCATCATTTTTTTAGTATTTTTTGTTTTTACTTCCACAGACAGATGTTCCAGACTCATCTTGTACTTTCTTTGCTCCAGCCCTGGGCTTGGCTCTGGGTTCCTTTTAGCAAAAAATGCTGTTTAGAAGTCAGGTTCTGGGAGCTGGGCTTGCTCATGTGTATTGCCATACGCTGTTTCCAAATCCCTGCAGTGAACAGAGTCAGGCCGCGTGTGTGTGTGAATTGCATGGATGGGTGGATGGATGGGTGGGCGGGTGGGTGGATGAGTGGGTGAATCGGATGGATGGGTGGGTGGGTGAGTGAGTGGGTAGATGAGTAGGTAAGTATATAGGTGGATGGGTAGATGGATGGGTGGTGGATGGGTGGATGGATGATGAGTCCAGGGGTTTCTTCTAGTTTTTTGTTTCCACATTGTAACTCCTTCCCTGACAGTGAGAAACGGATTTATCATTACACTGAATATGTTTACTGATTTGAGCAACCCCTTACCTTACCAGCCTGTGGCCCTCTTTACATCCCTCAGCATCTCACCTCCCCCCGACTGTTCTCCTTCCTCACTGCATGTGGGCTCCAGCCCAGCACTTGTTTCTGTGCCTTCCCGGGAGGTTCTAACTGTTCTCCTTCCTCAGTGCACGTGGGCTCCAGCCCAGCACTTGGGTCTGTGCCTTTTCAGGAAGTTTTATCTGCTCTGCCCAGGCATGTGTGTGCACTGTGTTGAGAAAGCAGGACAGCAACACATTGAACTGCCCATTCTCTAGTTTTTAAAAATGGTTTCCTTTCATGAGGGTTGAAAATCTCATATTTGTTCACTTTGTATACATTAGCCAAAGCTCATAGTGTGATAAGACAAAAACATTAGGCATTTGATAAATGCTGATTAACTGAACACATGAATTCATCATTGAGTGAATCAATGCAGGACATATTAGAGCTACTTAAATCTTTAGCCCAAAAAATAGCCTTTTAGATGAGTATGGAATAGTATTTGGCTTTAATTGATTTAAGAGAAATTATCATCAGAATATCTCAAATTCTCCACTAGTGATAAATTTTGCTTGATGAGCAGAATTTTTGCACATCTGTTGTACCAGACTCCTCTGCCCGTAGAACAGACTGAATTCACTGTGAGAGAGCCTTTATCTTTCCATAGAAAATACTGGATAAATACAGGGGCTGACACAACATTCTTTACATGGACTTCCATCTCCTCAAATTCCGCTAGTACCAAACTCCTCTTACTGTGAAGCCAAGGGAAGAAACCACTGAAGGGTGCATTGCCTTCCTTTCTAAATCTGTTGTTCAGTAAACAAAATAATCCCTGTTTAAGGTGATCGCCTGTTGCATCTGTCATTGGTTGGGGATTAGAAATAAACACAGTCTTTAAAGAGATTATAATCAGAAGTGGGAAGTCATAGATACATTTGTCTTCTGTCTCTTTCCCTATATTTTGCACGTAGTAAATAATAAATAATGATTTACTCAAGATGTGACTTGCTGTTCTGGTATCAGAGATACTATTTTTGGTTTTTAAAAATTAATTTTTCTAAAGTAACCTCAAAGTTAATGAACAGATTTAAGAAGCTGGCTGGACATGGTTCGCCTGTAATCCCACCACTTTGGGAAGTCGTGGCAGGCAGATCACTTGAGGCAAGGAGTTTGAGACCAGCGTGGGCAACATGGCGAAACCCTGTCTCTACTAAAAATAAAAAAAATTAGGTGGGTGTGGTAGGGCACACCTGTGGTACAAACTACCTGGGAGACTCAGGTGGGAGGATCATTTGATCTTCAACCAGGAGGTTGAGGCTGCAGTGAGCTGAGATTGTGCCACTACACTCCAGCCTGGGCGACAGTATAAGACCCTGTCTCAATACAAGCAAACAAAAAAAGGTAGCAGCTCAGGCTACAGTTCACACTTATGACTTCTAAGTTATATAACCAGATTTGTGCTAATGTTACTGTTGGTGCTGATGTGAAATATAATGCTTTTTTAGTACAATACTGTTGATAACTCACACTAGCATGTTATGTAGAATTATGTAATTACTAAAACTGCACCCTGGGCACTCTCCCACCCCAACAAAAAGCAAATCAAATATAACGGTACCACATAAGGTTCATTAACCTGTGGAAATGAGCAGCTTGTGTATGATACAATTTAGGGAGGGATCTGTTTTGGTTGAATATTCAGTCATTCAGGCAACAGTTTTCTTAAGTTAAAGTCAATAATTTGTTTTGTTATTACAATTACAAAAATTGTTTCATAGCCTTAAGACAGAGACATGGTCTGAAACACACAGTATAGAGAGCAGAATTTTCATAATGGATCAATTTAATATGTTTTTAATTCCAAACAATATAAAGAAAAATGACTGCTTCTGAGGCTTAATTTCCATCTCACATGAGGCGTCTCCCCCGTCCTTTGGAGAGAGGCAGATGATGGTGTGTTTCCAGAGGCGCAGGCGCTCTGCTGTCTTCACAGACACGTCAGGTTACTGCTGCGTGTTTCTAGATGCAAGAAGAAAACCAGATTGCCAAGTTTCCTTGCATTCTTTAATCAGTCATCATTTCTCTTTCAAGTTACATTCTTAAACCTTAGCTTTCTGGATAAAAAATCATAACAATTTTAAAGATAATTTATGGATGCTAATAAGCTGAAACAAAATTAAATGGATTCTTGAACATTTTAAAGTATCTGTGTTACTTGTATTTGCATAATTTCATTTAATATACACTTTGAATCATTTTAAGGATGTTTGACATGCTAGGTTGTAACTACATGTCCTGTTTTTGTCTTAAAACTGAGTTTAGTGCATTAAAAAAAAAAGGAACTCAATATCTGAATCTACTTTTTATAAAATGAAATTTATAGATATGTCAGGGAAGATCTTTGTGTAAGTGCTAAGACTGAATAAAGTGTAGTTTAATTATTTTCCCCCTTAAAATGATACAAGTAGTTCAGAGAATATAAAAATATATAAATTTAGTATTAACACCGTAATATTAGTTTTCAATAATAAAATGGAAGTTTCCTTGGCTGGAAGTCCTAGCCACAGCAATCGGACAAGAGAAAGAAATAAAGCACATCCGGATTGGTAAAGAGGAAGTCACACTGTCACTGTTTGCTGATGACATGATCGTATGCCTAGAAAACACTAAAGACTCATCCAAAAAGCTCCTAGAACTAGTGAATGAATTCAGCAAAGTTTCAGGATACAAAATTAATGTACACAAATCAGTAGCCCTGCTGTATACCAAACAGTGACCAAGCTGAGAATCAAATCACAAACTCAACCCCTTTTATAAAAGCTGCAAATAAATAAATAAATAATACTTAGGAATGTACTTAACCAAGGAGGTGAAAGTCCTCTGCAAGGAAAACTACAAAATACTGCTGAA
The DNA here is from genome assembly GCF_000001405.40 of Homo sapiens. NCBI lineage: Eukaryota > Metazoa > Chordata > Mammalia > Primates > Hominidae > Homo > Homo sapiens. The sequence goes on from NC_000018.10 coordinate 79,230,561, forward strand.
AGAAATCATAGATGACACAGACAAATGGAAACACATCCCATGCTCATGGATGGGTAGAATCAATATTATTAAAATGACCATGCTGCCAAAAGTAATCTACAAATTCAATACAATTCTCCTCAGAATACACCATTATTCTTCACAGAACTAGAAAAAAAAAATCCTAAAATTCATATGGAACCAAAAAAGAGCTCGCATAGCCAAAGCAAGACTAAGCAAAAAGGACAAATTGCACGGTACTGGTATAAAAACAGGCATATAGACCAATGGAACAGAATAGAGAACCCAGAAATAAAGCCAAATACTTATAGTCAACTGATATACAACAACGCAAACAAAAACATAAAGCGAGTAAAGGACACCCTATTCAACAAATGGTGGTGGGTTAATTGGCAAGCCACATGTAGAAGCCTCATCTCTCACTTTATACAAAAATCAACTCAAGATGGATCAAAGACTTAAGTCTAAGACCTGAAACCATACAAATTCTAGAAGATAACATTGGAAAATCTCTTCTAGACATTGGCTTAGGCAAAGACTTCGTGACCAAGAACCCAAAAGCAAATGCAACAAAGACAGATAGATAGACGCGACATAAACTAAAAAGCTTCTGCACAGCAAAAGAAATAATCAGCAGAGTAAATAGACAACCCACAGAGTGGAAGAAAATCTTCACAACCTATACATCTGACAAAGGACTAATATTCAGAATCTACAAGGAACACAAGTCATCAAGAAAAAAAAACAAACAGTCCCATGAAAAAGTGGGCTAAGGACATGAATGGACAATTCTGAAAAGAAGGTATACAAATGGCCAACAAATATATGAAAAAATGTGCAACATCACGAATTATCAGGGAAATGCAAATCAAAACCACAGTGCAATACCATCTTACTCCTGCAAGAATGGCCATAATCAAAAAATAGTAGATGCTGGTGTGGATGTGGTGATCAGGGAACACTTCTACACTGCTGGTGGGAATGTAAACTAGTACAACCACTATGGAAAACAGTGTGGAGATTCCTTAAAGAACTAAAAGTAGAACTACCATTTGATCCAGCAGTCCCACTACTGGGTATCTACCCAGAGGAAAAGTCATTGTGCAAAAAAGACACTTGCACACACGTTTATAGCAGCACAATTCACGATTGCAAAAATATAAAACCAGCTCAAATGCCCATCAATCAACGAGTAGATAAAGAAAATGTGTGTGTGTGTATATATATATATATATATATATATACACACACACACCATGGAATACTGCTCAGCCATAAGAAGGAGCAAAATAATGGCATTTAAAACAACTTGGATGGAATTGGAGACCATTATTCTAAGTGAAGTAACTCAAGAATAGAAAAGCAAACATCATCTGTTCTCATAAGTGGGAGCTAAGCTATGAATATGCAAAGGCATAAGAATAACACAATGGACTTTGGGGACTTGGGGGAAAGGGTGGGAGGTGGGCGAGGGATGAAAGACTACACACTGGATACAGTGTACACTACTCTGGTGATGACCTTCTGTAAAGAGGGTCATTGCTCAGGGGAAAAGACCTTACCAGGTCTGTCCCACCTGGGGGAAGGAATTCTTTCACTCCAACCCCCTCTAGTCTTCCTGTCTCACTAATGGCATGGGATATCATGGGGGGAGCTGAGAAACACTTGTGAAGGGTAGAGTGCAGGGGCACAGACCCATTAAAAAACTGAGATTTAATCATAAGATTGTAGCATGCTCCTCCTTCCCCACACCTTGTCTGCACACCATCAGGGCTCAGTGTGATAAACATGAGTTCTCTGTGAAAGAGCAGCAAGGTGTAGAATCTCTGAGGAAAGCCCAAAGTCAGGGGCATAGGCAAAACCAAGGACATGAGAGGAATTGGCAGCCCCTAACACCTACAGCTGCAGCAGACATTGAACACAGACCAGCTCCTGGCAAGATGAACATAAAGCCCCACACTAAAGGCTTGTTTACTTCAGCTCCTATTATCTCATACATCATATCCAGCTTTCAACAGACATTCCAAGATATGCTAAAAGGTGGGAAATAAGCAGTCTGAAGAAACAAAGCAAGCATCATAGCCAGACTCAGGTATGACGCAGATTTTTGGAATGACCAGATAGGGAATCTAAAAGAACTGTGATGCACATGTTAAGGGCTGGAATAGAAGAAGTAGACAACTCGCGAAAACGGAGAGATAACTGTAATCAGAGATGGAAACCCAAAGAATCAAAAGGCAATGCGAGAAACCAAAATGATGGTAACAGAAATGAAGAATGTCCTTGAAGGGCTTATTTGTAGACAGATGTGGCCAAGGAGCGAATCAGTGAGCCCAAAGACAGGCTAGTGAAAAGTTCCCAAACTAAGAAGCAAGAAGAGTCAAAATGGAAAAATAAAAAGAACAAAACATCCAGAACTGTGGGACAATTTCAGAAGATAAAAATATGTGGCCGGGCACGGTGGCTCACGCCTATAATCTCAGCACTTTGGGAGTTCAAGGTGGGCAGATTGCTTGAGCCCACGAGATCAAGACCAGCCTGGGCAGCGTGGTGAAACCCCATCTCTACTAAAAATACAAAAATTAGCCAGGTGAAGTGGCGCACACCTGTAATCCCAGCTACTCTGGAGGCTGAAGCAGGAGAATCACTTGAACCCGGAAGGCAGAGCTTTCAGTGAGCCGAGATCATGCCACTGCACTCCACCTGGGCAACAGAGGTGTTGTCTCAAGAAAAAAAAAAGATACAACTATGTATAATGGGGATACCTGGAGGAGAAGAAAGAATAGAGCAGAGTAATTTGAAGTAATAAGTCTGAGATCTTTCCAAGACACTAGACCACAAATCCATGAAGCTCAGAGGACACCAAGCTGGTTAAATGCCATAAAATGTACACCCTGGTGTATAATATTCAAACTACAAAAACACTGAAGGCAAAGAGAGAATCTTGAAAAGAGCCAGAGAAAATAAAAGCATTGGCCTGGGAAAGGCACACGCATGACACTTCCTGTCACAGTGAATTACCCAGACCCCACACATGAGGCCACCCTCACGAGAGGTGGGGCTTAGGTGTGTCGTTACAGATGTTGATGAACAGGAGGAATAGGGTACAAGGAAATACAGTTGACCAATGAGCAGCAGAGGGGTTAGAAGTGCTGACCCCTGTGCAGTCAACAATCCACGCATAAGTTTTGACTCTCCCCAAATTTAACTACTAATCACCTACTGTTGACTGGAAGCCTTACCAGTAACACAGACCGTCAATTCACCCACATTTTGTATGTAAAATATATACTGTATTCTTACAATAAAGTAAACTACAGAAAAGAATGCTATTAAGAAAATCATAAGAGGGAAAAGTTATATTCACGCTTCATTCAGTGGACGTGATCATCATAAAGGTCTTCATCCTCATCGTCTTCCAATTGAGTAGGCTGAGGAGGAGGAGGAAGGAGGATTGGTCTTGCTCCCTCCTTGGACTCTTGCAGTTCAAACCCTTGTTGTTCAAGGGTCAACTACAGGTAAGTGCTGGTGAAAACAAGAGTGGATACATCAATCTTGGAACAGGGTTACAGGAAGAGTGGGAGGGAGCGAGTAGGGAAGGTTCTGATTAGACTGGGGGAATATAGAGGGCAGTTTATTTAGACGAGGCTAGAGGCCTTCAGAATCCAGAAATAAATGGTAAACATGGGTTTTTTTAACTTTATGAAAGGAAAAACTTCTGGATTTAACACATTCAAATAATTTAGAAATTTAGAATGTGAAATTCCTCTCACCGTTGACCTTTTTCCCATTCCGAGTTCCATGAGCAGTGAGGTGTGTGTCAGCGTGTGCTCCTGCACACACATTTACACCCGTGCAGGTGCAGCCACACCTTTTCTTTGCATTCATCTGTCATGTTGAAGGTAGATCGCTGCCTTTGCTCCACGAGACTTCTTCCTGCGTGTTCTGCAGGGACATCCACGGCCAGCTCCGCCACTACAGGGCATGCTTGCTGCGGGCGTGCTGCTGTGGGCTTGCTTGCTGTGGGTGTGCTTGCTGTGGGCCTGCTTGCTGTGGGCCTGCTTGCTGTGGGTGTGCTGCTGTGGGCGTGCTTCGTGTGGGTGTGCTCCTGTGGGTGTGCTGCTGTGGGTGTGCTGCTGTAAGCATGCTTGCTGTGGGCTTGCTGCTGTGGCTGCGGTTTCGACCATGGGTTTGTGTGGCTTAGGGAGATAATCAACGGACGGTATTTGGTTTATTGTCACGTTCAGCTCTATGTATAAGATTTCCTTGGTTCAGCTTTTATAAAAATGTTTGTATTATAAGCTTATTGCATATTATTTATTTATTTTTTGAGATGGAGTCTCACTCTGTCACCCAGGCTGGAGTTCAGTGGCGCAGTCTAGGCTCACCGCAACCTCCGCCTCCTGGGTTCAAGCAATTCTCCTGTCTCAGCCTCCCGAGTAGCTGGGACTACAGGTGCCCATGACCATGCCTGGCTAATTTTTATATTTTTAATAGAGATGGGGTTTCACCATATTGGTCGGGCTGGTCTCGAACTCCTAACCTCAGATGATCTGCCCACCTCAGCTTCCCAAAGTGCTGGGTTGGATTACAGGTGTGAGCCACTGTGCCTGGCCTTATTGTATATAACTTCATCAGTCTCTCATTTTCTGAAGTTTCAGAAATGTTCTTTATTTTGTAGCTTATAAGACATTAAGTCCAGTTTTACTCCAATTTAATTCTCTTGTAAAATAACCTTCCTCCACATATCATATTACTAACACTTTCTATCGTAAGCCATAGAGCAATATAAACTAGACTCCCATTCAGCTGTGAAGCTTTTGGTCAGTATTTGAATTTTACATAATAACAATTATAATACTTGTTTTCTGTGACACTTTTTGGTTTTTGTTTTTTATATTATTGACGGTCAGTATTTGAATTTTGCGTAATAACAATTATAATACTTGTTTTCTGTGACACTTTTTGGTTTTTGTTTTTTATATTATTGACAACAGTGATGAACAAAAGTGCACACGTTTTAAAACTTGTACTGCTCAGTTAAACATCATAAAACGAGCACCCACTCATGGTGCGTCACACTTGTCAAGAAGTAGAATTCTCCCAGCTCCCGGGAGTGTCCCCTCCTCACCAAGGTGACCACCATCTTATCTAGTGAAGTAGAATTCTCCCAGCTCCCGGGAGTGTCCCTTCCTCACCAAGGTGACCACCGTCTTCTTATCTAGTGTGTAGTCATAGGCATATGTGAAGTTTCCCATCGTTGTGTGTCACAGCACATTTTTATATCGTCTTCTGTTATATGAGGAAGCCATAATTGTATGCAGCCACGGATTTCTACATCTTTGATCTCTGGGTTCTTTGGGCTTTTTGCTCTTAGGAATTCCTCTGCTCTGAATGGTGTATACAGATCTCTTGGTGCAGTCTGCATGCCTCCTGTAAGGTGTGTACCGAGCGAGTGGTATTCCTGGGTCGTATAGCGTGTCTGTATTCATTTCACATAATTCCGGTCTTCTAAAATTGTTGTACTGGTTTTTACTCTTCCCAGCCAAGCAAGAGAACTCAAGTTTCTCTATAATCTTGTCCACACTTGTAGTGTCTATCTTACGTTATTTTAATTTTAGCATTCTAGTGAGTATGTGGTGATATCTCATTGGGTTTTTAGTTTTCATTTTCTGGATGAATTATGAGGTTTGTTCCTGTGTTTATCGGCATGGGTGTCTGGACGTCTTGGTTTGGGAATTTCCTATGAAAGTCGTAGCTCATTTTCCCATTGGATTGTTAGTCTTTCTGGCTGTTGTATAGGAGCTCTTTGTATATCCGGGTTATTTTCTCCCACTCTGCTGGTTGCCTTCTCACTTTGTTCATAGTGTTTTGATGAGTAGCAACTCTCAGTTGTAACATTGTTTATCAACCTTTTTTTTTTATGGTTTAAGAACTATTTCTGCACTGTAGGTCATGAAGATACTCTCTCATATTGTCTTCTGAAGTTTTATTGTTTCCTTTCTGTTACATTTCTAAACATCTAGAATTGGTTTTTGTATATAAGAAGAAGTAGGGACCCAGTTTTCTGTTTTTCCCCTATGTGGATTTCCAGTTGACCCAGAAGTGATTGTCGAAAGGCTGCCCCTTCCCCACTGTGTGCACGGTCTGTGCAGGAGTCAGTGTCCACACCTGCCCCTTCCCCACTGTGTGCACGGTCCGTGCACGAGTCAGTGTCCACACCTGCCCCTTCCCCACTGTGTACACGGTCCGTGCACGAGTCAGTGTCCACACCTGCCCCTTCCCCACTGTGTACACGGTCCGTGCACGAGTCAGTGTCCACACCTGCCCCTTCCCCCTTCCCCACTGTGTACACAGTCCGTGCACGAGTCAGTGTCCACACCTGCCCCTTCCCCACTGTGTACACAGTCCGTGCATGAATCAGTGTCCACACCTGCCCCTTCCCCACTGTGTACACGGTCCGTGCACGAGTCAGTGTCCACACCTGCCCCTTCCCCCTTCCCCACTGTGTACACAGTCCGTGCACGAGTCAGTGTCCACACCTGCCCCTTCCCCACTGTGTACACGGTCCGTGCACGAGTCAGTGTCCACACCTGCCCCTTCCCCCTTCCCCACTGTGTACACAGTCCGTGCACGAGTCAGTGTCCACACCTGCCCCTTCCCCCTTCCCCACTGTGTACACGGTCCGTGCACGAGTCAGTGTCCACACCTGCCCCTTCCCCACTGTGTACACGGTCCGTGCACGAGTCAGTGTCCACTCCTGCTCCTTCCCCACTGTGTGCACGGTCCGTGCACGAGTCAGTGTCCACACCTGCCCCTTCCCCACTGTGTACACGGTCTGTGCATGAGTCAGTGTCCACGCACAGTGGGTGCACATCTGGGCCCTTTCCTGTGATTGGTCTGCTGATCCCTTTCTTTGCTAATAATTTTTAATTGCTGTAGGGAGTTAGGGATTGCATTTAAATGTCTATAGATCTTCAGAGATAATTAATTTTTATAATATTAAGTCTTTTAGTCAACGAATATTGTGTATTCCTTTATTTTTCAATAATGTCTTATGATTGTTCTCTGTAGAGGTTGGTATACCTTTTGTTGGATTTATTTCTAAGTATTTGACTTTTTTTTTTTTGGGGGGGGGTGGGGGAAGACAAGGTCTTACTGTGTCACCTGGGCTGGATTTCAGTGGCATGATCACTGCTCACTGCAGCCTCAACCTCCTGGGCCAAAGCCATCCTCACACCTCCGCTTCCTGAGTAACTGGGAGGGACTACAGGCACATGCCATCATGCCTGGCTAATTTTTTATTTTTTTGTAGAGACTGGGCCTCCTGTATTCCCTAGGCTGGTCTCAGAGTCCTGGCCTCAAGTGATCCTCCAGCCATGGCTTCTCAAAGTATTGGAATTACAGATGTGAGCCACTGTGCCTGGCTTTGACATTTTTTGATGCTATTTCAATTATTATCTTTTAGAAAATTTTATATTCTGTTTGCTGCTATTTAAAAATAAAAAAAAAATTTTGGTGATGTATTTTTATTTTTAAAAGTAGGAAAGCATTTTATTTCCAAATTGATTGCCTACAATAAAAATGTTGAGTTCATATACTCTGCATTTTAAGTACAGATCCTAATCAGATGTTGAGTACTGTCATGTTGAAATTTACCATGACTGGATAAGTGATCCTTTTTTTTTTTTTTTGAATGAGAACATTGGCAACTAATTCCACAATAATCTCGTGACTGCTGTTGTCCGAATGCTGCTGTCATCTCAAGGCTGTGGGGAGGTCAGTTCCGGGGCTTACGTGAGGTGGTGATTGTGGGCATCACGTCTCCGGTGCAGGCCAGGAACACATCAGGAGCATGTGCAGGGCCCCTGCCTGGGAGCAGCGTGGGCTGCTGCTGTTCCGGCCGGGCTGTAGCTGGACTCTGAGGACCAGGTTGCTTCTCCATTTCTGTGCCCCCTCCGTGTACTCCCTGGTCTTGGGAGGGTGATGGCTCTTAAGGTGGTCATCGCGATTCAGACCCTACTCCAGCCCCGTTCTGCGCTCTCCTCAATTCGCCATGGTGGGCCCTGCTGTCTCGGCAGCTGTGGACACAGCCTGTGGCGCCCCGGCCTGTCCTGGGCCCTGGATTTCACGCTTCCTGTCTCTACCCTAACTCGAGCTATGGACAGGCAGCGAGTATGATTTTCCTCCTCCTCCTGCTGTTGGGGTGGTGATCTGTGGTGATCATGGAGGAACCGCTAATAGATTTCCAAAGAGGGAAATATCTGCAGTGGCCACATGGGCAGTGACGCGGACGCAGTGAAGCGGATGCAGTGACGCAGACGCACTGCTTAGATTTCAGAGTAAGTGGGAGAATCAGAAAGAACCAAGTCAGGTCAAAGGAGAAATAGGTATATTTTTATCACGTCAGTAAGAACGAGAAGACGGTCACAACTGGCACTGAAATTAGCAGTTACTGTTTCTCTGCTTCATGCCTCAGGTAGGCAGGCTCAAGGAGAGCCTCCAGCCACTGAGCCCCAACCCCCAGTCATCAAAACAACGGGGTCAACTGGGAAGGAAGGATGGCGTCTCAGGCAGAGAACAGATGTGCCCAGATCCAAGGTGGGATGGTGTGAAAGAGCTGCAGAAAGCATGCAGGGAGGTGTCTGGGGCGAGACAGGGCCTGGCCCTGGTGGACTGTGGACTGTGGACCACCGCGTGTGCCCCTTCAGCCCTCTTATTTCCACCGCTCCACAATTCATGACAAGTGCTGCATCTTGAAACCAAAACAGAGAGGTTGGGAATTTACAACAAACCAAATTAAATGATGGTGTTTCTTGCAGACACTGTGAGCCCACCCATGGAGGTACACAAACCATCCTCATAAAACCAAGCCCCAGAGTGGGTTGTGGTATGAGCACCGCCAGCCAAGTCTGCTGTGGCAGGGACAGGGACGTAGGACGATGGTGTCACGGCACTTAAAATTGTCTTCAGAGGATGATTTCCTTCAACCTGGAGTCATTGTGCCGCCATTGTCTAGCATTGTGCCATGCTGCTTGTAAAAAGAAATGGAAGAAAAATCAGCTTCCCTGCATGCATCATTGTGCAAGAGGTAGCTGAGGACCAGGGCTTATTTCAGGCACTTGACTGCAGTTTCTTTTATCATGTAAATTTCTTTCATGTAAGTTACATGATAGTCCTTTAGGAGTAATGTGTTTTCTCACCTTGCTGTTTTCTCGAGAGCATTGTTTTGTGAGGGCGGTTGATCATCAGTTAATTATTACACGGAGGCGTTACTGAAGAGGCATCTGAATGTGGCTGGGAGAGCATGGTTCCTGAGGGCTAAGCGTTCCCAAAGGATGAGCGGAGAGGCTTGCTCTGCCTGCGTCCCCATCAGCGGTGACCAGCAGATCACCACGCCTCAGGGGCCCCACACCCGCGGTCTCTTCCTAGAGCTGCAGTCCCAAGCTTGCCTGCGCTCTCTGGAACCCTCCAGAGTGTTCTCAGCGCAGCCCACTTTGGTAGCACAGGAGGAGAGCCCTCCAGCTAGAAAGCTCCAGTAGAAGCTGGCGAAGTGAGGTGAGGGCATTGTCCTCAGTGACTTTGCTGGACTCAATATTCCCCTCTGTTAAGGGCCTACTGCCTTGGTAGGTCATTTGGATTACAACATTAAATTATTTCATGTAGTCTCTTCTCCTTTTCTCGAAGGGCAGTAATTGATACCAGTTGAGCAGGAAGTTTTATCACATCCAAATGAAAATGGTAGAAGAAAAAAATTTTAATATAGAAAATTCAGCCTGTTTTATTTCATGAGCTTTACCACATCCAAATAAAAATAGTAAAAGAGAAACATTTTGATAAAGAAAATTCAACCTGTTTTTATTTCATGAGCCTAATGGAAGTTTGAGTAGTTAATGGAAAGTTCTGGCCGGACACAGGCTCACGCCTGTAATGCCAGCACTTTGGGAGGCTGAGGCAGGCGGATCACCTGAGGGCAGGAGTTCGAGACCAGTCTGACCAACATGGACAAACCCCGTCTCTACTAAAAATACAAAATTAGCTGGGTGTGGTGGTGCATGCCTGTAATCCCAGCTACTCCAGAGGCTGAGGCAGGAGAATCGCTTGAACCTGGGAGGTGGAGGTTGCGGTGAAGCCGAGATCGTGCCATTTTACTGCAACCTGGGCAACAAGAGCGAAACTCCGCCTCAAAAAACAACAGAAAAAGAAGGTTCAACCAGAGACATCCAATTTTGAGAATAAAAATAATGTCACTTCTAAAGCATACTAGTGGGCCCTGGGAACCTTGGCATTTGGCAGTGTCGGGCCAAGGATGCAGAACTGAAGTTGGGGACGGGGAGCTGCTCGGTCTCCAAGCTGCCATGAGCTGTGTGTTCTTGACCAAACACCTAACCTCCTTAGAAGTGGAATAGACATAGTAAGACCTGGCAGAGTTAGGAAGGCTGAATAACAGACATTACACAGCAGCACTTGTTAATTGTAAAGGGCTATTGGGTTGTAAGCTGCTTGTGGTCATGAGGGTGGAAAAATGAATCACTTATAATTTGTTAATAAATTTAAACCAAAACTTAAGCTGTTTTATGTATTAGTTATTAGTGTGGAGTTAGTCTCATCAAGGTAAATCAGTTATGCATTGATTTTTTTGGTTGTCTCAAGCATTTTGACTGCGTTTTTTTCTCTGTGTAGAACATGGACAGATGGGTTTGTCCCGTGTGAGAATTCCGCAGCCTTTCCATTCTCTTGCTGCCCCTCCTCTGTTATGGCCTCGCTACCTAGGGTGATACTTAACATTTGAGCAGGAAGTCTTGACAAACGACTCTGAGATTTTCAAGCTTTTCTTAGATCCCCCGTAGTGTGAGGACCCACAGCTTCTCTATCGTCTGTCTTGAGAGATGTCGTTCTTTCTCTGTGGTTCTTCTGGCCTCCGTCGTCAGCCAGGGTGCTGATCAGGTTCCATACAGAGTCTCACTTAGAAAGTGGCTGTTTCTAGCTCTAACTACAAGCAGCATTCATCCAAAGTTAGAACCTGTTGACTGTATTTTGCCACAAGACAATTCACTAATTACTAGAATTTTAGCTCCTTGAGTTTAGGGCAACCTTTTCGTCATTATGCAGCATGCCTGTTTTTATCAGCTAATATGTGTAATTACATTTAGAATAAGTGCACTCTAAGTGCTTTAATGGTATTCTGATATTAGTGTTGTGACCTAGCAGTTGTCTTCTGCTGGCTGAATAATTAGTTTGTTTCTAAGAGCTTTAGAGTTTGATAGTCGCCAAACACAAGGGCTTCCTTGTGGAAGGTTGATGGCTCCCAGTGACCCTTCGCTGCCATCTGGCACAGATTCAAGGGCTGCTGTCATCTGCTGCTAATTGCTGTCACCTGCACTTTGGAGTCCCTCAGCACTGGGATGCTGCTGCCTTTAGAGCGGGCCCCTCCTTGGGCCCACCTGTGTGTGCAGGAGAGGGAGCACCGCCGTGGGCCTGTGGTCTCATGCAGGAGCATTTTCAGCCAGTTTTTATTTTAATGCCTGAGGTATGAAAAATGGTGACCATTTTGCGAGGGTTATTAATTCGCTAAATCCAAGCGTTTTGTCTGTTTTATGATTTGTTTTAATGGTTCTCATTCTTAGTAGCCTGTTTAGGCTGGCAAGATTGTTTCCACAACATTTTACGGAAGACTTCTTTAATCCTCTTTCGTAAACTGATAAGCCATAGTCAGGGCACTAGCCTATAGCACCATATTATATTAATGTATTTTACTTGTAATTTAGAGAACAAGAAGAATATCCTGATTTGAAGTCTAAACTGTCCCCCGTGGCACTGCACAGCTGATAACCGCAAACGAGAAAGATGTGTATATCAAATAGTTTACAAAATGAAGCCAGCTGTGTTTCCCTACATACTGTGGCTTCCTGACATGCATCATTAAACCTTATTAGCTACTTCCTTTTACAAAGATTCTTGTAGTCTTGAACATTGCATATTAACATTTTCTGCCCCTCCAACTGGAAATTATTTGCTTTATTGTAGAGTGTCAACTTGCTCTAGTTTCTGATGCGTTCTAATTGGTACTTTGGAGTATAATCATCGTGTGATACCACGCCATGCATTTCTTTATTTGGAAATTAATACAGACCTTTTCACTTTATCTGTCAATCTGAGCAACTTTTTACACAATTCTCAACTCTTGGGATTGCTTACAAGCCATTAAGTATGAAATGGCTCATAAAGTGTCTCTGAAGACATAAAGTAACACAAAAATTTTAGATGGTTTAAAATAATGTTGCATTTTGCCAAGATACCAGTAATAAACCTCTTAGACAGTTTTAATAATAAAAGGGTGATTATGCAAGATGAAAAGTTTATTTAACCATATTACCTTTATCATTTAAAATTCTCAGCAAATCTGCCAGTTCATTTTCCTTACAAAAGAATACAAATCCTAACAACCATGGATTTTTGAAAACGATGTAATTCAAAGTTAGCTATTAGACTGCTATAACTATCCTTCATTCTTCTTTCTCTTTCTTTGCTATTCTATGTCTGCAATTCTGCTATTCTGCCTTAAAAATTAAAACGTTTACCTATTATTAGCTTCTGGTTAATAGCTAGTTAAGCAGATGTGTGGGCGGAACAGAAAATGTACAGAACCTAGTGACTTTGTTCACGATGATAGTAATTCTGAGGTGTTTCAGACATTGGTCAGCATTTTATATATCCTCATGTTTTTAATATAATTATAAATAGGTGAATATGCATTTAATTGCAAGGGGAATGAAATAGAATACTGATTGTAGTTCTGATCAGCAAATATTTTAGTCATACGTCTTGTCAAGACAGCTAATGGCTCTTGATTTAAAAATAGTGTTGAGTAGTTTTACATAGTGGTAGGTGCCAGATATCTGGAGAATGGGATGGAGATCTTCCAGTGGCTTATAAATCCCCACATATTTACACAATAAGCCAAGAAACACAGAAGGAGAGTGTGACATGTTACTTGACAGTGACAGCCTTGTGTCCTTGACTAGGTCCTGTAACATCTCTTCTGTGCTGATTCTGATACACCTGTATGTAGGTTATCAAGGTGGTGGAAACATGCTGAAGTCAGCTGGACCACAGTTGAGCACTTAAGCATTAAGGAATTTTCCTGATCATTGTCATTTTGTGGTGGTTTCTAAGATACTGTTAGAAGAACAATTAGCAACTTCAAATGCTATGTTTAGTGTTTCAAGTAGCCTTAATGAAACCAGACTTTCTGGAATCTCACATAAAAATGTTTTTCACTGATACTGTTTAGTAAATTCCCTTGCACAAACCATTAAATATGTTATACTTGTTGGCATGCCAAAGCAAGAATTCGGATGCCAACATTTTGAAATTAATTACTGAAGAAATTTCTCACTTTACTGTAGAAACTAATCTGTATCATTACCTCTTAATAAAGATAATCTAAGTTGGAAATTAAAGTTTTAATTATAAAATTAGTGATCTTGTTTACTAATAATCATTTAACCATTCTCTTTTCTAAAATTTTATAAGAGAAATAAGCAGGTGGAAAGTAGTCTCCCCACTACCCCCCCTCCGCCCCCTCTATTCTCCGCAGTTTCTTTAAAAACACAGTTTTCATGGCCATGTTCCAGGCAGGCTCCATGGAAGGAGGGCTAGGCTGGTGCCTGTCTGCTGGGCCACCCCCCTGCCCTCCTGTGCACCTACATTTGCAAGGACTCACTTTGCTTGTGGAAAGGAATGGTCCCATCTATTTTTCTCTTCTGAATCACAGCCTTTTCCCACCATCTATGGCCCAACATTTCCAAGGTACTTACTGGAATAATTTCTTCAATATCTCACATTCTGAACACTAGAAACGCATCAACTAATTTTTTTTTTAAGCTCCTTGAAAAGAGTTCAAAGCTCTTTGAAGGAAAGACAGACCTTGTGCTTGGGAATTTCGGAATACTGTGACATTAGAAGCCCTGACCACATATTTAGTAACTTTCTTCATGAGTTTTTAATAGAATCTGATGACATTTTAGTACTACACAAGATTTTTTGTTCAGCAACATATTTTGTAAATTATACTGTAATGAATATTTAAAAGTATATTTTAAGAGTGTTTCTACCCTACCCTGAGATATTTAAAATAAAGACTTGCTACATTCAGGGTAAAATAAAAAGGCAGATACCTCCCAGAAGAAAGATTTGTAAGGAGCATAGTCTCTTCAGTGTGTACTATTAGAAACAGACTGAGAAAATGAAAGGAGATGCGTGCTCTGTATTTTAAATCATTTTAAAGAAAGCCATGGTCTTCCCTTTCTTACCATGTCTCTTAAAGTTTTATGACTCCTAGTAAGAGACTTTCTTTTACAATATCAGTACCACTTAGAGTTATTATTAGAATAGAATCTATTTTTTATATGCTTTGGGGCAAGAAGTATTTGAGTGTGTGCCTTGTAAAGAAGCATGAAGCAGTCAGAACTCCTGGGCTCCTAGGGACCCTGAGGTCCAGTGACCTCCCACCCCCCACTGTCAGGATCTGCTCTTCTTGGAGTTCCTGCAGAGCTTGCTGGCTTGTTTGTAAAATACAATGAGAGCTTTATAACCCCCCTAAAGTCCTGGGTATTGTGTGTTTAGATAGTAAGGGTTAGAGAATAGGTTCATGCTCTTTGTAAAATACTTGTTAAAATAAATATAAAATTACCCAAATAAACTGTGTATTAGACTGAAAACCAAATGCCACTTCTATGAATGATGTTGCATGTTGAGGTTTCTGGTGTTAGTGGGTAGCTTACGTTATTGAAGGAATTATTTTAAATTGGTGGCTGGTCTTGGCAAAACCATTTAAAATTGATGCCTTCCTACATTAAGACAAAAAAAACAGTAAATCTGTTCAGGATCTTGAAATCATTAAGGAAGCTGTTGTTACAATGTTATCAACTTAGTTTTTAGCTCTGAAACTTCGAAAAGCCTTAGGAGGGCACCACCCTACTGACTGAGGAGGGCACCGCCCTACTGACTGTGCGGAGGGCACCGCCCTAATGACTGTGCGGAGGGTACCACCCTACTGACTGGGGAGGGTACCGCCCTACTGACTGAGGAGGGTACCGCCCTAGTGACTGTGCGGAGGGCACCGCCCTACTGACTGTGCGGAGGGTACCGCCCTACTGACTGTGTGGAGGACACCGCCCTGCTGACTGAGGAGGGCACCGCCCTACTGACTGAGGAGGGCACCACCCTACTGACTGAGGAGGGTACCACCCTACTGACTGAGGAGGGCACCACCCTACTGACTGCGGAGGGCACCGCCCTACTGTCTGTGCGGAGGGCACCGCTCTACTGACTGAGGAGGGCACCGCCCTACTGACTGTGCGGAGGGCACCACCCTACTGACTGCGCGGAGGGCACCACCCTACTGACTGCGGAGGGCACCGCCCTACTGTCTGTGCGGAGGGCACCGCCCTACTGACTGAGGAGGGCACCGCCCTACTGACTGTGCGGAGGGCACCACCCTACTGACTGAGGAGGGCACCACCCTGACTGTGTGGAGGGCACCACCCTACTGACTGCGGAGGGCACCGCCCTACTGTCTGTGCGGAGGGCACCGCCCTACTGACTGAGGAGGGCACCGCCCTACTGACTGTGCGGAGGGCACCACCCTACTGACTGAGGAGGGCACCACCCTGACTGTGTGGAGGGCACCACCCTACTGACTGCGGAGGGCACCGCCCTACTGTCTGTGCGGAGGGCACCGCCCTACTGACTGAGGAGGGCACCGCCCTACTGACTGTGCGGAGGGCACCGCCCTACTGACTGAGGAGGGCACCGCCCTACTGACTGTGAGGAGGACACCGCCCTACTGACTGTGCACAGCATTTCCGAGGTCCTGTCTTGAAATTAGGGCATCTTACGAGATGCCAGATTTTTATTCAGGGCCCCCTTCCTACCCCCCATAATCCAGGATGTTCAAGTATGTAGATTCTGGCCAGCATTCTGCGTGACAAAACATAAATTTAGGGTAACGCTTTTTGTCAGAAATAAATAAATGAGTGAGTGTATGTGATGTGCTGGACTGGTTGGGTTAGAAATGGCTGGCGCTTTCCAGAGAGCGGGACTGCAGGGATCAGGACGCGCGCCGGCCTCGCGCTCCCCCTGCTGGCCGCGCCCCGCGCTCCCCGCGCTCCCTGGCTTCCCCTCCCAGCCGCCTATGGGAGGTGTGAGTACGACTCTGAGACAGATGACTCTGAGACAGACGTGAGCACCGCAGCGGTGATCGGCAGTGTAGTGACTCCTACACTTCAGCCTCCTCCTCCTCCTGATTTTCAGTTAAACAATGTGGTGATTGTAAAATAAGATTAGGAATGATGTACATTAGAAAATGGATAGGCTTATCTTAATATTCAGTGCTGGATTTTTAACGTAATTTCTATACGTAGAGCAAAAATTAAATTTCCAGATAGTTTCTGGATCATTTTGCATGTTATCACATGCATATTTTTGTTTTAAATATGGCTTTGATGTATCACAAGTTGAGAACATTTGAAAGAATTTATAATACTAAAAATAAAAGTTTTAACTTACTACTTACCTTCCAGCCACTGTGTTGCTTTGCATGTGCTGACCTTTCATATATTGATTTACTTTGCGAAGGTTCTAATATATCAGTAAAGGCTGCCACACACTAACAGATGGAATCCAGTTGTCCTGTATGAACGTAGACAGTCAGCATGAGTTTTGTAAGGGCGAGCATGAGATGTGTATATGTGTATACATGTGTTCAGAGATGATGCTACTTTCTGACATTATGGACAATTATAAAAAATTCTGGTGAGTGGATACGTGTCCTAGGAAATGCTAGAGCCAGTATTGACATTTCTCAAGCGATCTAGGAGTCCAGCAGTTTGAGAAGATAACCTCATTCTGCACTCATGAAGCCCCCTTCAAACTTAGCAGGTAATATGCTTGCAAATTTTAGTAATAATTTTATCCTTAAAAACATGTTTATATAGGTCGGCGGACAGAGTGACAATCAATATGCATAGTCTGTAACATCAAAAGTTGGGTAGCTCCAGTTTGTGTAAACTAGGTGTGAGGGTTTACTTTGAACTCCCTTGTCTCTTAATTACGTGTCATATGTTGGTTTCAAACGTGGTTTTGCTTCCCTGTTTAGTAGCTGATTCTTGCATTAATACTTTTCTTATTTATACAAAAAATATAGTACTTTTTTATGTTAATGTTCAAGGGAAAACATTTTATATAATAACTATATAGCAAGCAAGGGAAAAAGCTTAAATTCTGAGTATAGAATAGGCAAAATGTTAAATTTCTTGGTAGGCAAACATGTAGGTTATGAAATAATTCTTTCAGAATAGACTTTAAATTGTCTATTGTGTAAATACAGGTTTTGATTTTTAAGAACTAAGGTGATAAATTGTAACATTAAGAATTGTTGTGCTGATACTTATTTAGGGAATTCTTAAAGCACAGATTATTGAGCCAACAGACTATAATGGCCAAAAGAAACCCTTCTTATTTCGCAGATCACTGAGGCGATAAACGATAATGGCTCAGCCACATCTATAGTGTGCGGTCAGCCTGCATGTACTACACACACTTAAGGCTTAGTAGTTCATATCCAAAAAAGAATAATAAACTTCAGAAGGAAAAAGACTATGTAGCATCACTTTTTAAAAACTAATACTTTTAATTTAAACTTCGTAATGGAAAAGTTGTTGCTCTAAAATTTAGTACTTAGATTTAGTGCATGAGTTTCATTTATTTGAAATGCAGAAACACAAATGAAGGTCTGAAAATTACTTATTTTTTTCTTGTCTCTTAAGATTCTACTAGCAGTGGAAAATATAGGGCTTATTTGTTTCAAAGATACTTAAAAGAATATGCTTTTTATAGGAATTTCAGTTAGGTTAATGCATAGCCCTATATCAGTTTTGTAGTCAGGGTCCAAATTCGAAATGAAGAACTGATCCACAAATAGTTCAGCTGATGAAAGACAAGCAGTGTTAACAGTTGTGTTTTTCTGTACGTAGTCAGCCATGTACAAAGCTGTTCTTCTCTGCTAGTGCAGAGTAGCATGAATGAATTGGGTGTCAGAGTCGAGGCTTTTCAAATTGTCCTATATTCACAGGGAAACTACAGGACAAACTAAAATAATTTAGTTTTCTGCAAGAGTTTAAATTGGCTATTTGAAGTTTTGCATTTTACTATTCTAAACTACTTCTTTGTAAGGGGTAAGTACGCGTGAGTTTTAAAAGATGGGTGAGAGTGTTTGGATGCCGACATCCTGTTCACCCAGGGTGACATCATCAGCAGTAAGTGTTGCACAGGCACTTTGTTGAATCATGGATAGGGCCTGAGACTTTACAGCATTCGACGTCTGCTCCAATTTGCCGTGTACATTGATTGCTTAGGAACTTAGTAGTATGATGTGAGTTTTAATTTTGAGATGGTTTGAAGTGTTGCTGTGTCATGGAGATAAGGTCTGATTCTCACTCGTCCGAGCATTCATTTAAAAAAAAAAAAAAGCCTGATCTTTTCTTGATTAAGCAGGAGAATACCGTATTTACCCTTTATTGTTGGTATAAACCATTATTTTACTGAGAACCATTAGCTATTTAAAACTTGGTACATAAATTAAAGAGGAGCTAAATGGATTTGTGATCGTTGCCATTAGTAGCATTTTAGATTATACAGGCAATTATTGTGTTCATTATCCTAGAACAGCCCCTTTGCAGAATCATTGTGGTTGTCTTAGACATTATGCACAAATTTTCCCTTGGAGATTAAAATTTGCAGTAGCATATTTAATTTTGTTATTGCAGTTGTTTCAAATAAATATTATGACAAGTAGAAGAAAATTTGCTTTACTAATATAGGAGATGACAATGAATGTTGAAAATAACTTCTAAGTGTATTTACATTACCTTTTCTTAAATAGTCGTAATTACTTCAAGTGATTAATATATTTTATGGGTGAAAAGTTTACAGTCATGGCAAAAGTTATCTGGTCTGTCCAGGTATTTAAGACATTTTTTAAAGAAGGAAGAGATCCACATCAAAACTAAAGTTACCACCTTCTTTATAGAATCTGTAACTTTATAAGTTAACTGGTTTTTATTTTAAATAGTTTATAAGAGTTCAGATTGTATTTTAGATCAGTTGAAGAAAAGCATGTTTCAGAGAAATTGAATATTAAAAGATTATTAATTGAAGTGGGTTAAAAAAATGCAAGTGTTGAAATGTGTCTTTTCTTCTGTTTTGTTAGAATTGAAAAAATAAAATAAAATAAAAGCAACCTACAAGCTTTACACTATATGCTGTAGTTTGGTTACAAGTTATATTCCAGGAACAACAGTCATAGTTCAGAAAATGCCACCTGCAAGGCACAGCCCATCCTTGAAAAGTTATATTTTATTCCACTAAATGTTTTATTGCTCTTAAGTTTAAAGGGGTTGGGAGAAGACAACATATACTTGGCTTCAAAGTGATTACATTCACTAGTCAAGCATCTGACCACATCTGTCTTCATCAATGAGAAAGGTAATAATGCTTTGATGATCTGCATATCGGTGTGCAGTGGGCGGCTTTGAATGTTTCCATCCAATACGTGGCATTTTTTGAAAGGAAACTTTGTATTCATTTCTGAATGTTTTTGTCCTGGCTTTTACAGTTCCTCACTGCTATGTTGCAGGGGAAAGTGTGAGGTGGTGGTTATGCATTTTGCAAGACAGTGATTCTTTATTTTATTACAAAAAAAGACCAACTCTGGAAGGCCAGATTAAATCATTCCTTTCACTTTTTAATGGGATTTGGATGAATAGAGTAAAATATGCACTTTGCATTCATTGATAGCATCTTTAGGTTGAGGTAATTGAGTCTTTTTTCCCTGAGTGAATGAATAATGACTTCATCTGATCCTCAGTGAGGCCTGAAACTTAGACCGCCTTTGTCACAGCAAAAGGATCTGGGCTTTGAAACATGCTCTACTTCCCTGGCTTAATTTTTCTTCATTTTAATCCAAAAACCTATTTTTCTCAATAATTCAAGCATAAACTATGTAGTAGTTGAAGTAGCGGAAATTGCACGATATTTGTCCTGGTTGTGCTGCTTTTTAAATAGAGCTGATAAATCAGCCGCTGTGGTCTTCAGCTGCCCCATTCTCAAGGGAAGGCACAGCCCATACCCGCAGCAGCGTTGGGAACTTCAGAACTGGTTGAGTACCGCTCCCTTTCCGACCATTTGTGATCTGGGGGAGCGGCGCTGTTACTGGTACTGTGGCTGACCCAGAGAAGAGAAAGCCCCATGCTGGAGCTCCGAGATGCTGCTGTGGACGTTTTACTTGGCTAGAAGGGGATCTGCTGCTGTGAATTAGAGGGCAGTGTGCTTTCTTGGGAGAATATAGAGCTGGGAATGTGCAGTCTTTGAAGAGTTTCTGTTGAAAATGAGCTGCTGTCTGTGTTGCTGTATTGCAACATGGAGAAGAGTTTTTGTGGCAGGCCAAGTGTCTCATTAATTGTTACATTAGAATCAAGTCACTATTTCATATAAAACTGACACTTTGTGTTTGAAGTGTCCTCAGGAGTCTTACACAGTGAAGTGGCCAAGTGAGCCCTGTGGCAGTGTGCGCAGGACAGATCACAGGAGGGGCCGCCCCACCCCGCTGAATGCGGCATCCCGTCTGTGTTGGTCATGGAACCCACACTCGGCACACCAGTCCCATGGCTTTAGGGTCCTTGTCATCGCTACTGTTGTGAAAGGCCATGAAGTATTTATTAACCGATGGTAGTGCTGACTGTCGGCCACAGGAAGTGATTTAAAACAAGCCTGGTTAGAAAAGAAAACTTACTATTTTATGATTCTGTTTTATAACATAGATCACTGGTGTTCATCTTATTTCTCCTACTAGATTAGCTTGTAGGTAAAATCTTATAGTTAGCTTATTTTCATAACCTTAGAGTTTAGCACAAAATGTAGTAGACATTTCAATTTATTTGTTTAATTAGTTGACTTTTCTTCGCAGCTGCACTTAATGGACTTTCTGACAAAGTTTTATTTTTGCTTGATAACTGCAGGTTCTGATGATCTCATGAGAGTTTGTGGAAAATATTAATCAAAACCAGATATAAACTAAATATATGAGTTGTGGGAAAAGGCTAGCTTTCTATTGGGCAAAGTTGCAGATTTTTCAAAAGGCACTACAAAATAAACCAAGTTATTTATTAGCTCAGTAATTCTCAAACTTTATTTTTTTTAATCAGGTTTTTTGCAGTCATGTTTTCTTTGTGTACTCCTTTTCAAAAGTTGTTCCAGATTCAGGAGAAATTGAGATGGCAGATAGATAACTAACCTGATAGAATTTAGTCTTCCGCTAATGTCACATAGATCAGAAATAAGTAGGTAAGTTAAGTACATGCTGTTCCCTGACCTAGTGATGCCAAAGGCAGTGGCCTCTCACCCTGGCACCTCTGCCCTGTGGGTACCACCACTTACAGATGAGGAAAACGAGGTCTAACAAAGAGTTTAAGGGTGTTCCTCAAGTCACACATTTAGTAAACAGAGGAAGTGGATTCCAATCCAAGTGTGTAGTAAGAGCAGTAGCAGCACACATGGGGGGCGTACTGCCCAGTAGGAACCGTGGCCACTGTGCCATGCGCTCCCTCTTCGCATCCCCTGGGGGCTGTAAGGAAAACATCCCAGAATCCCTATTTTACAGATAAGAAAACCAAAGCCCAGCTTGCCCAAGGTTATGCCGCTAAGTGGCAGGGCCAGCATCTAAATTAGCCTAAATCCAGAGTCCCGAGGAATCCTAGTTGCTGTGCTGTGTCACTTCTCCCACCCTTCCTGCAGCGCCGAGTTCCCTCTCATTCCCCCAGCCCTACTCACTGGACTGCCTTGTGGTCTTTCAGGGCTGAAAGCAAGCAAGGAGAAACAGTCCATAGCGATTGCTAGAGCTCGAAATTGAAGCTACATGCTTCAGAAGAGCTGTATTCTCTTAACTTGTGCAGTGAGAGCTGCTTGGGTTGCTAGTTCTCTCTGTTTCCAAGATCCTATACAGAATGCAGCCAAAAAATTGAACTGATGCTTATTGACATAATTTGCCCTCACAGTTTGCTCAGCTGGTAAACGATCCATAGAATGGACTTGCATGTAGCGTGCCTTACTGGGAGAACACACAATGTAAGATCTGTGCAAATTAAAAAGGTTTTATTTTAAGCTAGCTAACTATTGCTTTTTTTTTTTTTTTTTCTGTAAGACAAGTTCTTTCAGAGAGACTGCTGGTAGATCGGAAAGACATACATACTGTCCTGTTCTTGGGAACTCTCCATCTTGAGTAGAATCCTCATGGGGGAGGTGCAGAGGCACCCACACGGATAACAGAGGCATGGTCATGGCGTAGCACATGCAAGGAAGACCCGCCTGCGCCCTCAGAAGTCTCTGTTCCCGGGCTGGGCCCTCAGAACTCTGTGTTCCCCTGCTGCGCGCCGAGCAAGCTTCCAGTGCCCTTCTCTAGGCTTGCGTTTCACTTTGCCTGAGCCGGTGACCAGCGCGCCACCCTCCAGAGGCCGTGTCTGAGTTCACTGCGGCTGTGTGCTCTGGCCCGTGTTTTGTCAGTAGACCCTTTCTGGAAATGCTCTGGGGATCATGATTCATTTCTAGAAATTCTGCCTGAATTTTCATATTTCATTATAATAAAGGCTAATACCAATAAATTTTAAAGTTTTTTTTTTATGTCATCACTACCATGCATTCTGATTTATAATATTAGGGACATTGTGGTTAGCTTGTTCATGTATTATGTGTTTTTCTTTCAGGTTGGTTTGTTGGACCTTGAACTCAATCGGCTGACGAAAGCGCTATTTTTGGCTTTAGTTGCTCTTTCCATTGTTATGGTAACCTTACAAGGATTTGTGGGTCCATGGTACCGCAATCTTTTTCGGTTCCTTCTCCTCTTTTCTTACATCATTCCCATAAGGTAAGTTTAAAAATGAAAATAAAACAAATGTCTGGTTTCATTGAGTATGATTTTATTGAATTTATCTTTCTCAGTATGAAAGAAATTACCCAAACAAAGCTAGAGAAGTAGGAGCCAGAAGTTCTGAGGAATCTTGAGGAATTCTTCTGTGGAAATGTTGTTGGGGGAGACGTCATCAGTGCCGGTAGAATGATCTAGAGGTGCCATACTTTCCTGATAGTGAATGTGTTGATGGTGTCTTCTTCAACAATCAGAAGATATTTCCTGATGAAACATAAACCAGAATTTCACAAAATTAGTTTTGTTTTTTGCTGATAGACTTTTAAATGTCCAGTGCCCTTTGATCTGTGTGGAATCACTGGCATTTTAAAGTTCTGTTTAATATATCTAATATCTGTCAAGTTAGATAAAATATTAAGGCTGTGTTTTAGTAGGGACTATCATTTCAGAATGTTAACCTATATTATAACTACAGATTGGAATATAAATAGTTCATATTAGATGCCTATTTAATGTAAAGACTAATATTTTACCATATAAACATAAATCCATTTTAAACTATTTTCTAAAATATTTTAAGAAAGATATTCTTAATATATATGATTTAAAATTTTCATAGGAATGAGCAACTGAAACCTAATGATGGATAAAGTATGAATCTAGAATATCTACCTTTTGTAACAGAGAATGGACTAAAACGGTATAGAATGCTTAGGCTCAAGGATGTAGCCACTTTGAAGAGAAAGATATCTCTATTTCTAAACCAGCTTTCTCCAAAATTTGCTCTAAAAGGTGATGTCTCTTCCATTTACTTACGTCATAAAGTCAGAGCTATAATCTGTTCTTGGGATGTGTACACACTGCACTGCCCTCACAGGCAGTCACCAGGAATGAATCCAGTTGCTCTCACCCAGTCTGTTCGAGAGGTAGGAAATCAGCCTCCTTTCTGCCCGTCACAGTACAGATTCCTGTGGATGCTGCCTTCCATGGTGTTGCTGGTTCACGGGTGGCCAGGCCTGTGCAGAGAGCACGCAGCAAATAGCAACTTCTCATTGCGGCTGTGTAACTTGCTGCTGACATAGATTTTCTGCACTCCATAAAGCTGACTGCAGAGATGGCTGTTCCAGCCTGGCTTGTGGATTAAACCTAATAAGGCCCAGCTTCCCCGCTCTCCTCTCCCACCACACTGCAGCTATCCCCATGTGCCAGCTGCTTCCCACCCTAGCTGTGTCCTCTGCTTCAGTGCTCCTCTACCTCATCATTCCATGGCTGGGCTTGTCTTGTCACTCGGCTCTTACCCTAAATACCTTTCCTCAGAGAGGCTGCGTTTGTCTGCTCAGTACAGACCAAGAAACAGCCAGCCACTTGCTATCATAGCAGCCTATTGAATTCTGTGTAGATCTCTATGACATTCATCTTGTTTGTTGCCTGTTTCTCTCTTCTCACTAAGCCCTGTGAGAATAGAGGCCTTGTATGTCCCGTTTGTTGTTGTGTCCTAGTTAGGACCTAGAACGGAGCACGCTTGGGATGTGGTAGGGCCTCTGTAAGTATTTGTTGAATGGACCCATTACAAAGGCCCCATCCTGCTCAGAGGACCCGAGCGCAGATTGTCACAGTTCTTGTGCCGGCATGTATTGAGTGCCACAGGTGGACTCTGGAGACACAATCTTTGTCCTCAAAATACCCCCCGCCCACTGGCTAAGTGGCAATAAACAAACTATAACCAGAAAGTAACCTGCCTTTTTTATCTGACTGTCATGCCAGAATTTACTTCTTCAGATGTGATGGTCCTTCAGGTAGTTCTCATTTGTTGTTCAGCCTAAGCACTCACTTTGATCCCAGGCCCTTCACACATTGCATCTTCTCTCCACCAGCTTCCTCCATTTGATGCCACCCACTCCCCAAGAGTCTCCTTTGTCTCCATACACATGAATGAGCCCTAATCTCCATTGTTGTATTGTCCAGTGTCGTGTGAGAAGATAGGTTAGCCATCAAGTGAAGGAGGAGATAAGACATTTCACCTGCTTTTCTTAGTTTCTGCCAGCTGGAATGCCTGTCTCAGGCAAAGCAGGCTGCAGTGACTGACTCAGATGGAGGAGCTGCTTCTGCTCCTAGAGCTGCAGTGAGCCCCTCCTGACACTGCAGCCTTGCTCACTCAAAGACCTTCTGACGAATGGGGTCGAGTCTCTGGTTCTCAGTAGCTCCACGTAAGGCACATAGAGGGGCACATATGCATGTTTGTGCCAGCTTGAGAACCTGTCTCAAGGGTGGTGTATTTTTCTCCTGTGGAGCAAATGTATTCCAACTCCCAAAATATGTTGATAGACACTTCTGAGATACTGCTTTTTGGGTTATATTAGGTTATGCATTCATTTTTATTAGAGCTTCATGACACAGAACGTGTTTGGGATTCTTCTCCTGCAAGTTGCTTCCAGAGCCTCATAGCATGTTGTTTTCGTTACCACTTGCTTTGTGGATTGGTACATGGTCATTTTATAAATATTCCATGTGTGCTTTAAAAATATATATTTTTTTACATGAAGTTATTCTATAAATATCCATTAGATTGATCTTTAATTTTTAATATCATGTATGTGCTTTACTGTCTTTTTTTTAAAAAACTCCTTAACTTTTTAGTTACTGAGAGTGTGCAAATCTGTCACCATAATAATGAATTTGTCTATTTTCCCATGCCATTTTGTGAATTCTAGCTAGCTATATATATATATATATATATATATATATACATACATAGTGAGGCTATGTTATTAGTTGCCTATAGGTTTAGAATAGCTCTTATTATTCTGGTGAATGAAAATCTCTTATAAACAGCATTAGCTAGGTGGTAGTGGTGTTTTCTTAAATCCCATGCTACCATCTTTACACTTACTGTGATTAATACTTTATTTGCATTAATTTATGTCACCTTGTTTTTGCTGTTTGTTTTACTTCTATATTTATTTTTCTTTCTTGCAATCTTTGGAGTTTTTTAAATTCCATTTTTTCTTTTAACTTGAAGTGATACCCTATATTTCTATTATTGTGGTTTCCTTAGAAATTTTACATATTTAATATATAATATTTAGTAAAGTTTAAAGTTAAGCTTTATCTTTACTCTCCTCTCAATCAATGCTAAGACCTTAAAATATTTTAAGTCAGCTCATCTTCCCTCTCCCATCCACTTACATGCTTTATTTAGTCGACATTTGCTTTCATTTTGCTGTCCTGTTTGGTTTATACTCAGTGTTTGCACTAGACCTCCGGGCCGCAGCCTTCTTGGCATTACTGCAGTAGTCAAAGGGTGCTTCTAGCGAATCATCCTACATATTCTTGATCAGTCTTTTTTCAAAAAGGATAAGGGCTTTTAGCAGGGTAAATTTCATTTACAGAAGAATAACCTTAATGATTATGTTTGAAGTAAGACTTGGAAAATACAGTGCGTATTATTCACATTCAATCCTATTGCTTTTTATCTTGGCCGGGCGCAGGGGCTCACGCCTGTAATCCTAGTACTTTCGGAGGCTGAGGCAGGTGGATCACCTGAGGTCAGGAGTTTGGGACTAGCCTGGCCATCATGATGGAACCCCGTCTCTACAAAAAATACAAAAATTAGCGGGGCATGGTGGCACACACCTGTAATCCCACCTACTTGAGAGGCTGAGGCAGGAGAATCACTTGAACCCAGGAGGCAGAGGTTGCAGTGAGCTGAGACCGTGCCACTGCACTCCAGCCTGGGCAGGCAAAAGAACAAAACTCTGTCTCAAAAAAAGAAAGAAACAATACAAGGCAGCAAGGTAAGTGTTGTCAGTAAATAGTCAAAGCTGATGCACCGGCCCCTGCTGACACAGAGCAAATGGGCAGGCCATCCAGTGCCCTTGGCCTCTTCTTAATTGGAGGGGATAGGCATAAGCATTTAAACGAAACAGTTACATAGTGGTAAACACTGTTAGTAAAGTCAAACCGGGCACTGGAACAGAGAGAACCTTGCAGGGCTTCAGAGCAATGTGGGGCTTCCCTGGCCTGGTGTTTATTAAGCGGCAGGCTGCATGGTGAGGCCACCGTGGAAGACCTGGGGAAAATGTCTTGGCAGAGAAAGCACATTGTCCCAGCACAGCAGAGACGGCCTGTGGCTGGCACAAGTGCACTCCAGCTCAGCCTCCCCAGCCTCCAGCACAGGGCGCCTGCTCCCATCTCTGTCCAGCAAACACATCTTTTTCTAGGAATTCCTTTTTCTTCTTTGCTTTCATTAATTTGATTTTTCTTAATGTCAGTTGATTTCTTTCAGTTCTAGAATGTCACATGATGTTCCTTTCAAGACTGCTTCTCTTTCACCACGTAAAAGGCCTAATGAGAGCTTTGCTTCCTTTTGTATCTAGGGCACCTCTGTCTTTAACTGACAGCATTGAAGAGTATTGAGACTTTTATTACATTTTAGTGAAATATTTTATTTATATGGACTATCTCCAACCACTTCTTTCTTTAGTAAAATAACATAGAAAGATTTGACCTTTTACCTTTATCCAGTTGCCAAGAAAAATTAATTATAGTTATGAAAATTAGTTTACGCAATAAGCATTTTTTAACTAAAACTAATTTTTGTTTTCATACCTCAGTAATTATATGTATTTATAGTAAAACAAAATAGAAAATAGGGCAGGCTGATAGCTTGAGTCCAGGAGTTAGAGACCAGCATGGGCAACATGGTGAAACCTGGTCTCTCCAAAAAACAAAAACAAAAATTAACCAAGCATGGTGGCATGCGCCTGTAGTCCTAGCTAGTTGGGAGGCTGAGGCGGGAGGATTGCTTTAGCCCAGGAGGTTGAGGCTGCAGTGAGCCAAGATCACACCACTGCACTCCAGCCTGAGCAGCAGAGCAAGAGCCTCTCTCGAAAGAAAAAATAATAATAATAAGAGAAGAAGATAAGTATTATCTGTAATCCTGCTGTCTCCACTTAAATTCTGTCAAACCTTTCCAATGTGTTTATACAGACTTACAAATATGACTATGCATATTTATATCTACATACAACACCCACACCCCAGGTGAAGTCTGTGTATCCTTTTCTAGTGTCTGCTTAGAAAATGAGGATGATAGCCGGCTTTCTGCGGGTCTCTCTTGCTCTAGTTTTTCAGTCAGCTGTTTTATGTTTAGCATGTTCAGTCATGCTTGGAGAGACTTACGAAGCAGAACTGTCAGTTCCCCTCTGTTTAGCTCCAGAACATCTCACACCCACTTCAACACAAGGCTCTACCATGTTTCTCTCACTCAGGATGCAGTTACACAGGGTGCACGCAGGGATGAGAACCGTTGATGTCAAAAGCACAGGACACTGATTTGGGAAATTAAAGTTCACATTTTATTAAAGCCAAGTTTGTTTTCCTTTTGCAAATTTTCCGTAAAATATGAATAATGATACATTCTAGTATTTGCTAAATATGCTTTTGGATTGAATAAAGGGTAAGACTTCTAAAATATGTTTTGGTTTTGCACAGTATACAAATCTGTTGTCCTAACACTCTTAAAAGGCTTTTCAAATTTAAGAAAGTTAAGCTGTTTTATAAAAATTCCTCTGTATGAAGTAAAATATTTTGAGCTACTTGATACAATTTACCTTGTAAATTTCAGAGGAAAATATTATAGTATTTAACGTTGACTTTTGTAATTCTAAAATTCATATATGTTCCCTAAATCCTGTGCATCTCTCATAAGAAAAGGAAAACTGATGATCAGAATTCTGTATTCATTTAAAGTTCTCTGAGGTCAGGGACTTGCAGTTACTTCCCTCTTTATTAACTCTTTCGTCCGTATGCTTTGAAATGCTATATACCATTGTAGTTGATAATGCAAAAACTGTCTTATCAGTGCTGGGTCAGAGTGTTTTTACTCCCACATGAGGCATATGTGGGTGCTAGAGGCAGAATGTTGTTTGACAAAGTGATAAAGGTGTTCCTTCTGAGAACACTGAAGAACCTCTTGTAAATACAGTGGCTTTGTTGAAAGCACTGAAGGTGAAGGGTGTTTGTGTGGCTTAGGGACAGGGTTTCCTCTCATTTACCAAGGGTCTAGCCTCCAACCCAGTGAGCGTGGGGATGCTTGCCTGTGCGCTTCCAGAGCAGACGGACCAGGGACCCCAAGTGCTCTGTGCAGTCAGCACACCCCCAGATGGAAGACCAAAAGTGTCAGGCAGCACAGGCACAGCAGTCATTGCTCCTGGATTTAGGAGAGAACTTTTCTGAAGGAAAACTTTTAAGAGCTTTATCAGGTTACTTTTCGGTTAGGTACCCTTTCTGTGACATTTTACAGGTTTTTGCTAATTTACCAAACATCTTTAGTAAGACCTCATTTTCCAGGTAGAATGCTTGGTGAAAAGAGTGTTTTCAACTTCTTTAGACCTAGATTTGATATTCAGGTATTGATGATTTGGAAAATTTGGAGCCTATCCAGATCACATAAAATGCTAATATTGGGAGATTCACTGTTTGGAAAGCATTCACCAAGGGTGTGTCCAGGTGGCGTTTTGCTCTTTGAAGAGATAGATTAGGGGCAGGTGTTAGTCCGTTCTCACCCTGCTGTGAAGATACTATACTAGACTGGGTAATTGATGAACAAAGGAGGTTGAATTGACTCACAGTTCTGCATGGCTAAGGAGGCCCCAGGAAACTTGCAATCATGGCGGAAGGGGAAGTAGTCACCTTCACAAGTCACCTTCACAAGGCAGCAGGAGAAAGTGTGAGCATGTGAAGGAGGAACCATCCCACACTCATCAAACCATCAGAACGCATGAGAACTCACTCATTATCACGAGAACAGCATGGAGGAAACCGCCCCCATGATCCAGTCACCCATCTCCCTCTACACACGGGGAGTACAATTCGAGATGAGATTCGGGTGGGGACACAGAGCCAGACCATTTCAGGGGCTGACTAAAGGATCTACTCAGCAACTCTGCAGAAACCAGGAGTAGAGATGGGTTATCCAAGAAGGATCTGTGTTGGAGTCTGTTTTCTGATAGTGTGGACTCTCAGGATATGCACAGGAGACCCATCATGTTTTATCAGCAGAAACTACCAGCTTGACCTAAAGGAACAGAGACAGGATGAGATGAGAGAAGCCTGTTGGACTCCCAGAATCTTACAGGCAGGAAACAGCTTGATAGAGCTACTGGCTGCAAGCATGTGCTCCCTTTCAGAAAGAGGAAGAATGACCCCAAGGTCAAAATTGGCATGAGCAGTGCAGAGGCCATGGAGCTGCCAGCCTAAGGGCAGAGCACTGAGACACAGTTCTTCTATTATTCTCAGCTCTCGAAACTTAACAGTTTGCCTTGCTGAATTTCAAACTTGCTTGGGATCAGTGATCTTGTATTCCTTCCAGTTTCTCCCATTTGGAATGGAAATACCTATTTATCCTTGTCCCACCACTGTATTTTGGGAGCAGATAGCTTGTTTTCTAGTTTCACAGGGTCCACAGGTGGAGAGGAACTTAGGTCCCAGCATGGACCATGGCCAGTGTCTCACCCGTGCCAAATTTAGATGGTTTAGATGATGAGATCTGGGGCCTTTGAGCAGATGCTGTTTGGATGAAATTTTGGACTTAATGTTGATGCTATAATAGGCCGAGACATTAGGGATATTGGGATGGGGTAAATGTATTCTGCATTTGGGACCAGTGTAAATTTGCGAGTGCTAGAGGGTGGACTCCCATGCATGCCGTGATGGCCCCCAGAACATGTGCCCATATGAAATCTGTGAGTGGGACCTTACTTGAGAAAAGAGTCTTTGCAGTTATAATTAAGATAATGATCTCTAAACGAGACCATCCTGAATTAGAGTAGGCCCTCATTGCAGTGAATGTCCTTGTAATCAAAGGAGTGGGAATACGCCAAGGAGAAGGTGAGGTGAAGACAGTGGCAGAAACTGGAATGATTCCTCTACGAGCCAGGGCACGCCAAGGACTGTGAGCAGATCCAGAGCTGGAGAGAGGCAGAGCAGCCCACCTCCACCCTCCACACCCCACCACCCCCGACCAGTCCAGGAGGAAACAGCTCTGCCTGCACCTTCCAGATGGTGAGAAAATAAAATTCTGTTGCTTTAAGACATCTAGTGATGGCATCTTTAAGAAACCAGTACACCACATAGAGTCATTTTTTACAAAATGCTTCATCCCCTGCTCTTGGCAAGGTAGCGTCAGGAAGGGTGAGATGCTGCAGTGCTCCATGGCTACTGTTTTGCTTGTAAGAAACAGTTCAGTTTCCCGATATTCAGGAATGTTTCCTCTCTGCCTGTTGTTGCTCGAGCGTTGTGGGAGGATGTCTCCTTGTCCTACTAAGTGTCCTGCTAAGCTCCCACTTTATAATAGGCAGCTCAGCCTTCTGCCTGCTGAACACTTGGTTGAATGTGTAACAGTTCTTCATTTACTCACCATCCGAGTATGTGCTTTTGGGAGGTGTTGTGATGGGCCATTCAGCTCAGTACACGCCCCACGCTGCTGTGTGTGAGGGTGCAGGGATGAATGGCGTGTACCCTCGGGGCCCTGCAGCTCAGTCCTCAGCGTCTTCATCTGGACACCCCGCTCCCCTCCCTCCCTCCCTCCCCTTTCCTTGCTTTTTCTCTCCATAGAAGTAAAAATTATCTGAAACTTTAATTCCTCCTCCTCTCCCCACAACCTAGCCCTCAACAAAAGCCAAAAACCATTCCCTAAACATTCAAGTTTGTTTAGAATTTTTTTTAAATATATTTTTCTTTAGGAAAAAAAATACTTTTCTATAATTTATGTTACGTTTTTAGTTACTGAGCATGGCTAATTCATGAACTCTCATCACTAGTTTTATCTAAAGTTTATATAAAGTTGAAATAAAACAAAGTTTTATTTTATATATACAAACCTTATTGCCTCTAATTGTGGAAATAGTGCTGGGGAACAGAGAAGTCATTTGATAGAAAAAGGGCATAGTTTAGAAGTAATTTTGGCTAAAGAGCCCCTTTTTCTGGTTCACTTATTTGAACTCAGAAAATTCAGAGTTCTGAATTTGGGGAAACAATTTGAAACATTTCTATGATGAAGCATGTTTTCCAGATTTTAAGGTCAGTGGAGATGCTGTGACAGGAAACCTGGTTAATACTGCTTTTGTAATACCACAGTCCATCCCCTTTACGTGGTACATATGCCAGGGATTCCATACATGAACCCTGAGGGTCCAGCGTGGCTGCAAAAACCATCTAGCACTTAGCACCCGTATCTTCACCCAGTTTCAGAGTTAAGGTGCCATACACGCTTAAGATGTTTCCTTTTATACTTTTTCTGTATAAATCTCTTATTAGTTATAGCATGAATTATGTGCCAGTTTTTATATTGGCTTAGAAAATATATTTTTGCACAATTCATTTCATTTCTTTTGAAATAATCACTGTCTTGGCTTTAAAAAAATTATAGTTAACAAATTTATTTTAATCTATCAAAAAAGTTATTACTTCTTGTTGCACAAGCTACTTCAGCAGCCTTTGAGCATTGTTTTATTTTGTAATGTGTGGGCTTTACAATTTTTATTTCATTTTTAATAGACATATATATTTATGAGATACAATGTAATGTTTTGGTATATGTATACAATGCTGCTTTTATGGTTAACTTCTTGCTTTTCCTAAAGGTTTGCCACCTAAAAATTGCATATATAAATATATGCAGTCATCTCTTGGTTCCCATGGGGGATTGGTTCCAGCACCCTCCATGGATACCAGAACGCATGTGTACCCAAGTCCCACAGTGGGCCCTGCAAAACCTACCCGTGGGACAAGTGGACCCTCCATGTCTGCGGGGTTCGCCTCCCAGGAATACTGTGTTTTGATGCATGTTTGGTTGCAGGTGCAGAGCCCTCAGATACGGAGGGTTGACTTGACTTACTAAAAAGAGTCCATATCTGAGAGGACTTGCACAGTTCAAACCTGTGTTGTTTGAGGGTCAGCTGTGAATTAGTTTTTCCTGTTTTGCTAGTTTCTATAATTGAAATCATACTGGATGTTTTCTTTTTGTCTTATTCCTTTTGTTTTACATGGCTGTGTACAGGACGTTGTGTTGTCTTCTTCTCATTTCTTGCAGCTTGTCATTCTCTTGCATGAGCACACTCCAGTGTATTCAGTGATCCTTTCTGCTGTTTTGGGGTTTGGGTTGCTTCCAGTTTTTTTACAGTGAGCAGCAGTGCTGCTATTAACATTTCATGATGTGTACTCCACACGTTAGCACCCTGGTATAAGATATCTAAGAGCAGGCCGGGCGCGTTGGCTCACGCCTGTAATCCCAGCACTTTGGGAGGCCGAGGCGGGTGGATCACGAGGTCAGGAGATCGAGACCATCCTGGCTAACACGGTGAAACCCTGTCTCTACTAAAAAATACAAAAAATTAGCCGGGCGTGGTAGCGGGTGCCTGTAGTCCCAGCTGCTCGGGAGGCTGAGGCAGGAGAATGGCGTCAACCCGGAAGGCGGAGGTTGCAGTGAGCCGAGATCGCGCCACTGCACTCCAGCCCAGGCGACAGTGTAAGACTCTGTCTCAAAAAAAAGAAAAGGAAAAAAAAACATATCTAGGAGCAGCACTACTTGGCTGTGTTATTTGTCAAATTTACCAGATAATGTTTAACTGTTTTTCAAAGTGTTTGTACCAATTTACCATTCCAACATCAGTGTGGAGAATAGTTCACATCCTCAGCAACACTTAATATAAGTGGGCTTCTCATTGCAGTTTTAATGATCATTTCCCAGATTGATAATGAGACTAAACAATTATGCACATATATATTAGCTATTTAGATTTTCTCTTTTGTGAACTTTCTAAGTCTTTTGTCTGGTGTTCTGAGCAGCTTGCAGTTATTTATATATTTTAGATGCCAAGGCTTTCTCGGCTTATGTTTTGCTGATATCTTTCTCAATCTGTAGTTTGACTTTTTACTCACCCATTGGTGAAATTATGAAAAAACAGTTATTGATTTTACATGCCAAATATATGAGGTTTTTTTTTTGTTGGTTATCACTTTTTATGTTGTTTAAAAAATCCTTCCCTACTCCAAGGAGATGAAACTCTCCTCTTACATTATCTTCTAGAAGCTTAACTGTTTTTCCTTTGACCACTGTAAGTGTTTTTTGTTTTTTTTTTTGATATATATGGTGTGAAGTACAGTTTTTAAATACCATATTTCTGCAAACCAATTGTCTCAGCACCAGTTATAGAAAAGACTTTTCCCAGTGACCTAGTGCCCCGTCTGCCATGTACCAAGCATTTGTATACACATGGGCCTGTTTTGGTTACCTGTTCTGTTCCCTTGGACTGTTTTTGTATTCTCGCCAAATAACAAACTGTGTTTGTTAACAGACTTTTATAATAGTTCGATGTTTGATAGAACAAGTCTATCCTCATGTGCAGGTTTGTGATATAGGCAGACTTGTGTCATGGGGGTTTGTTGTACAGATTATTTCATCACCCAGGTATTAAGCCTAGTACTCATTAATTATTTTTGCTGATACTCTCCCTCCTCCCACCCTCCAGCCTCCGACAGGCCCCAGTGTGCGTTGTTCTCTTCTGTGTGTTCTCACATTTAGTGTGTTCTCACCATTTAGCTCCCAGTTTTAAGTGAGGACATGTGGTATTTGGTTTTCTGTTTCTGCGATAGTTTGCTAAGGATAATGGCCTCCAGTTCCATCCATGTTCCTGCGAAGGACATGATCTCATTCTTTTTTATGGCTGTATAGTATTCCATGATGTAGATGTACCACATTTTCTTTATCCAGTCTGTCATTGATGGGCATTTAGGTTTATTCCTTGTTGGTTGGGCTGGTCTCAAACTCCTGACCTCCTGATCTGCCCGCCTCGGCCTCCCAAAGTTCTGGGATTACAAGCGTGAGCCACCACGCCTGGCCCGATGTTGAGCTTTTTTTCATATGATTGTTGGCTGCATGTTTGTCTTCTTTTGAAAAGTGTCTTTTTGTCCTTTGCCTACTTTTTAGTGGGGTTGTTAGTTTTTTTCTTGTAAATTTGTTTAAGTCCCGTTTAGGTGCTGGATATTAAACCTTTGTCAGATCTGTAGTTTGCAAAAAAATTTTCTCCCACTCTGTAGGTTGTCTGTTCACTCTGCTGTTAAGTTTTTTTTTTGATGTGCAGAGATTCTTCAGTTTATTGAGATCTCATTTGTCAATTTTTGCTTTTGTTGCAGTTGCTTTTGGTATCTTCATCATAAAATCTTCACCCATGCCTGTGTCCTTGATGTCTCCATCATAAAATCTTCACCCATGCCTGTGTGCTTAATGTCATTGCCTAGGTTGTCTTCCAGGATTTCTATAGTTTGAGTTTTTGCATTTAAGTCTTTAATTCATCTTGAGTTTGTTTTTGTATATGGTGTAAAGAAGGGGTCCGGTTTCTCTCTTCTGCAAATGGCCAGCCAGTTATCTCAGCACCATTTATTGAATAGGGAGTCCTTTTCTCATTGCTTGTTTTTGTCAGGTTTGTGGAAGATCAGATGGTTGTAAGTGTGCAGTCTTAGTTCTGGGTTCTCTATTCTGTTTCATTCATCCTTGTGTTCTTTAAAGAGTGTTTTAGGTCTTCTTGGCCATGAATATGGTGTATCTCTCAATTTTTTTTAGGTCTTCTCTAAAATAAGTCTTCTCAAATTTTGTTAGAGCAGTTCTTAGATACTTGGGATTTTTAAAATGATGTCGTAAATATCGTTCTTAAAGGAACCATTTCCTCTCTTTTTGCTGATGTAAAGAAATAAAATTAATTTTTATAAAATTATTGACTATCAATCTTGGTAAAAATCCTATTGATTTTATTTATTAATCTAGGTGTATTAAATTTTTTCTATATATAATCATATCATCAGTAAATAATAACAGCTTTTTTTTGTTCAGTTCTTTGCACCATTTATTTCTTTTCCTTGTTTCTGCAGCAAAGATCTTCAGTATGTTGTTAAAGAAAAGTGATTATAATAAACATTCTTCTTTTGTTCCCATCCTCAAAGGCAAAACTTTCAACACTTTGTCATTTAAGTATGCTATAAGTTTGTTTATAGAAGCCTTTTAATGCCTTAAGGACATTTTTCTGTTCCTATTTTGCTAAAAGTTGTTTTAAATCATGAATGTATTTTAGGAAATATTTTTCTAAATCTATTGAGGATTTTTCATCTTTAAATTTTTCTTCTTTAATGTATTAACACGGTAAATGATATTGATTGACTTTCTAGTGTCATACCAACCTTGTATTTCTGGGGGCAAAACCCCAACATAATGATGGTATGTTAGTATTTTGTTTATTATTAGATTCCATTTACTTGTATTTTCTGTGAGATTTTTACATTGATTTACAGGAGTGAAATTGACATGTAATTTTTAATTTTCATACCATTTTTGTGGAGTTTGGTATCTGGATTATGCTAGTCTCATAAAAATATTTTTTTTTCTCATTTTCTTTCTCTAAAATAATTTATCTAAAATTGGAATTGTTTATTTCCTGAACATTTACATAAGAAGAAGGCCATGTGAGCCTCAACTTTTTACTGTGGAACATTTTTGACACATTGATTTAGTTATGGGACTATTCAAGTTTTTAATTTCTTGAGTCAGTTTTGCAAAGTTATAGTTTTCAATTCGTAATCAAGTATTTAAATTTTCAGTTTTATTTACAACAGTTTGTTCATATTTTCCTGTTATCCCTGACATACATAGGATCTGTGATATGAACCTTTTTAATTCTTCATACTTGTTATTTCTGCCCTTTTTGCTTTCTTTTTTTTCCTGACCACTCTTCCAATAGGTTTGCCAGCTTTCATTTCTTATGGAAATACCTACTCTTGTCTTTATGTATTCTTTGAGCTGTGTATTATTTTCCTATTTCATTAATGTTTTCTTACTTATCTATTTCCTCCTTGATTAGTTTTCACCTTCTGCCCCCTTTGTGAATATATGTATTGGAGGCTATAAATTTTTCTGTAAGTACTACTTTGGTTGCATTTCAAAAGTTTTCATATGTAGTATTTTTGTTATTGTTAAGTACAGAATATTTTAATTTCGACGTGATTTCATCTTTGACCCATGCTTATTACAAACTTATTTCTTATCTTAATTTATAAGCATAGTTGAGAAATTTCTAATACATCTTTGTTCATTTTTAGTTTGATTGTATTTTTCTCAGAGAACATACCTTTTTAACTTCAGATCTATGAAATGTGTTGAGACTTGTTCTAGGGTCCAATATTTAGTCCATTTTTATAAACATTCTGTGTGTGCTTCAAAACAACTTGCATTCCCAATTGTTGGTCACAGGATCTCATCTGTGTGATCAGATCTAGATTCTTAATCTTGTTTTTCAGTTTCTGTCTACCACAAGGGTTTTTCTCTTTCATAAAAGTTGCTGAAATTTGTCAAAATCTCTCATCATTATTGTGACTTTGTCTATTTTTCCTTGGAATTCTGTTTATTTTTAGTATTTTATGTTTTGTGGCTTTGATATTGGATGCATACAAATTTAAATTGTTGTCTATATTCCTACTGGATTAAGCAGTTTCTCATTATAAAGGGACTTTCTTTATCTCTACTAAAGCTTTTTGCATTAAATTCTACTTTGTTTTGTGTTAATGTAGCAATGCCAGCTGTCTTTAATTTCTTTGGCATATCTTTTTCCATCTTTTTACTTCCAACTTCTCTGTATATTTATTTTTATGTGTCTCTTGTAATTAGCGTACATCTTGTATTAGCATGCCATCTTGTAATTGGTTTAATTTTTATCTAAATTTGATAATTTTTGACTAGAGTATTGCATATTCAATTATTATAATACTGTTTATATTTTTAGTTTAAATCTGCTGTTTTATTTTGTGCTTTTAATATGACTTACCTGTTCAATATTTTTCTCCTTTCTTGCCATTTTATTATTTTTTTGTAATGCAACTTTTTTCTCCAGCAGTTTAGAAGTTATGTAAGTGGTTTCTGTTCTTTTAGTAGTTACCCTAGAAGTTAAAAACCTTCTTAACTTATCAGAGTTAAAAGTCAGTTCCCTTAAGCATTTAACTTAATTTGCTCCCTTCTGGACTTACACCATTTTTGTCATTTATTTTAATTCTAGTTGTTCTTAAACCCCAAAGAAAACCCTGGTTATTCTTAAACCTAACAATATCACTGATTTTGTTTATACATTCTCCATCATTTTGGTTTATCCACGTTTCGGTTCGTAATGTCTTCTTGCATCTTAGAGTAGAGTAATTTGCCTTCTGTTAGAAATGTGTTCGCTTTTTGTGCTTTTGATGCTGGTCTGTTCTGAACTCTCAATTCTTGCTTGGCCATCCTTCTTGGAAAATAGTTTCATTGGGTATAGAATTCTAGGCTGTCACCTTTCTTTTTTGTCTTCTGTTACTGCTTTTAAGACTTCACTTCTTTGGGTCCTTCCATCTCTTCCAGCCGCTTTTCTATCCTCTCCTCATTGGTGGCATTGTACGCTCTACCCTACATAATGTGTTGAGGTACGATGTTTCTTTTTAAACAGTACTTAGGATTTGTTGGGCTTCTTGACTCTAGATTCTTTTATTCATTCTAGAAAGTCCGCCATCATCTCTTCAGATGCTGCCCCGTCCCCACCTGTCGCGTCCTGCTCTGGGACATGGGGTCAGGGCTTGGTCGATGTCCTCACTGTGTCCCCACGCGGGACATGAGGTCAGGGCTTGGTCACTGTCCTCGCCACACCTTTGTTTCCGCTGCTCTCGCTGCTGCACTTTCTGCTTTTTTTGCTTGCATGCTTCATTTTGTATCATCCTCACTGACCTGTCCAACAAGTACTCATTCTTTGACTGTGTGTAATCAGCTGTTAAACTAAGGAATTTCTTAATTTTAATTATTGATATTTCTTAGTTCTAAAAATTCTGGTTGGTTTCTTTATCACATTGATTATTTCATTTTTAAAGTTGCCTATTCCACACAAACATTTAAAAAAAATTTTTATGTATCCGTTTGTTTTATAATCTGTATCAATATCAGATACCTTTGTCAATCTTTTTATGTTGTATTTTGGTCTTCTGGCTCTTGCTTCTGGTGTCTTGTTTTGCTCTGTGTTATGTGGTAGTGTTTGTTGTTACGGTGTTTTTGGTAATTGTATTTGAAAAACTAATTATAGGAATCATTTGGGAACAAAGATGGAGGTTCATTTCCTAAGACATACACACTTGCTTCTGCTGTGTACTTGGAGATACCCTCTGTCTTGGAGCATCTTCATTCAAGATTCCAAGTCACTGGAAATGTGTTCAGGAAATGTGAACCTGACTTCAGCTCCACAAGCAGGCTCACTGGCCTGCGCCTGCTGGCCCTGCCTTCCCTGAGGCGCATCCTTGCCTCCATAGTTTTACTGAGGTTAGTGTTACCATTGGATAGAAAACTAAGCTTTTCTAACCTTGAAAAGCTCCTGCTTATCCTCCTTGCGGCCTTTAGCCGGCTCCTGTTTGCCTGGTCAGCTTTGTTACTAGCACTTAACATAATCACTGCCCGCTTGGTTCTGGGGGACTTGCCGCTTGTCTTTGCCATTCCTTTCTTCTTAGCCTTTTGGAGACATTTTGTTTTAAGGTGTAGCTCTTAAATTGCATAAATCAGTATTTATTTATTTTTAAACTAAAAGTGCTAGCCTTTAATAGGAATATTTCTTCCTTTCACAATCCTGGCATAGGTGTTCAGCCTTGCTCCTGCATTCTTGCGCGTTCATTTATATTTATATGCACACATTCATCTATTCTATGTGGCAGCTCTGTGTGTGTGTGTGTGTCTGTGTGTGTGTGTACACTGTGTATATGTTTGTACTGCTATACAGAATGTATTTTACTTTAAAATTTTTAAATTATTTGAAAATTGCAAAACTCTCTTAAAATTTGCCACTGCTTGACTTTATCCAATACATATTTAAACCTTGATTTCAAATATCAAAGTCAAGAACCAAACAATAACGTGTGACTCCTCTTAAATATGAGGATTTTAATCTTCATTTATTCTTTTTTTCTCCTTTGTACTTCCTAGTATTTGATCATTTAATCTGTACCTGCAAACCCTAATTTTATAGTTATTTCCTTTTAATATGGAAATCTTAACTTTCAACCAGCAATGATGGCTCTCCTTTGAGGTTGGCGCCCATGTTTGCTTAACAACATGGAGTCATTAATCTCGGTGCTCACCTTTCCCCATTCCTGAGTTTCCAATTTTGATTCATTCTCAACCAACCAGAGTACTTTTCAAACAGTGTTCTTGAGCTTGCCTGGGGAATGAAGCCCCATTTGTCCCCAGAGTTCAGGCACAGGCCCCTCTGTGTATTTCACAGTGACTTCCCACATGAAAGTCGGAAGAGTCCTGAGTGTGAGGGAAGCCCTGAAGCACTGTTTCCCAGTTGCCACAGCACCTGGTCCTGGGGGCCACTGTCAGTCTAAGCAGAAGGCCGGGAGTTGGCTGCACTGAAGACCAGCCCCTGTGAGCTGCATGTGCAGCAGGGAATGTCTTTTGCTTGCCACTTGTCTCTGGTCTTTCTTTGATTCAGCTCATCTTCAAAGCTGGTACTCAGCTTACTCTTCCGAAAACACCACTTTATTGCAAATCTCCAATCATCCCACACCCACTCAGAAACATTATAATGGGATTTAGAATTTTGCTTACACCAGTTTAAATGACTTTCTGTAATACTTTGCTGTATTTTCTTTATTATTATTATTATTATACTTTAAGTTTTAGGGTACATGTGCACAACGTGCAGGTTTGTTACATATGTATACATGTGTCATGTTGGTGTGCTGCACCCATTAACTTGTCATTTACATTAGGTATATCTCCTAATGCTATCCCTCCCCCAGGCCCCCCACCCCACAACAGGCCCCGGTGTGTGATGTTCCCCTTCCTGTGTCCATGTGTTCTCATTGTTCAGTTCCCACCTATGAGTGAGAACATGCGGTGTTTGGTTTTTTGTCTTTGTGATAGTTTGCTGAGAATGATGGTTTCCAGCTTCATCCATGTCCCTACAAAGGACATGAACTCATCATTTTTTATGGCTGCATAGTATTCCATGGTGTATATGTGCCACATTTTCTTAATCCAGTCTATCACTGATGGACATTTGGGTTGGTTCCAAGTCTTTGCTATTGTGAATAGTGCCGCAATAAACATACGTGTGCATTTGTCTTTATAGCAGCATGATTTATAATCCTTTGGGTATATACCCAGTAATGGGATGGCTGGGTCAAATGGTATTTCTAGTTCTAGATCCCTGAGGAATCACCACACTGACTTCCACAATGGTTGAACTAGTTTACAGTCCCACCAACAGTGTAAAAGTGTTCCTATTTCTCCACATCCTCTCCAGCACCTGTTGTTTCCTGACTTTCTAATGATTGCCATTCTAACTGGTGTGAGATGGTATCTCATTGTGGTTTTGATTTGCATTTCTCTGATGACCAGTGATGATGAGCATTTTTTTGTGTGTCTTTTGGCTGCATAAATGTCTTCTTTTGAGAAGTGCTTGTTCATATCCTTCACCCACTTGTTGATGGGGTTGTTTTTTTCTTGTAAGTTTGTTTGAGTTCATTGTAGATTCTGGATATTAGCCCTTTGTCAGATGAGTAGATTGCAAAAATGTTCTCCCATTCTGTAGGTTTCCTGTTCACTCTGCTGTATTTTCTGTGTCTTAGGACCCAAGACTACATTTGTTTGTCCTTACATCTTGTGCAATGGATGCAGATCAAATAGCATGCTTCCATGTTTAGGGTGTATCTCTGCCTTTGTTCCAGCGGCACAGCATGTGTAAGCTGTGTGTCTGTGCATGCCTGATGCACCGTATGCATGTATGTATGATGTGCCTGGTGCACATCTGCACTCCGGAGCCTTCCCTGAATCCTGCACGGATACGCTCCTGTCCCTGAGCTCTCTCCACTGAATCCTGCACGGATACGCTTCTCTCCCTGAGCTGTCTCCACTGAATCCTGCACGGATACGCTCCTGTCCCTGAGCTCTCTCCACTGAATCCTGCACGGATACGCTTCTCTCCCTGAGCTCTCTCCACTGAATCCTGCACGGATACGCTCCTCTCCCTGAGCTCTCTCCACTGAATCCTGCACGGATATGCTCCTCTCCCTGAGCCCTCTCCACTATAGCTCAGGCTCTTCATTTGCCATAAACCCTCTAACTCTTCAGATCAGTGATCATTTCCTGTCATTGATTACTTGCTCCACTGTAACTCTCAGTCACCTTCTGTTATGCATCATTCCTAATCCACACAATGACCATGGCACTCTACAGATGCTGTTCCCGAGGCTCAGAAAAATCAAGTCTGTCATTGGTCTAAGAAGGTTTGAAAATTAGGAATCAATACAGGTAAAACACAGTTACCTATGCCTCCTCCCTACGAAGCATGGAAGGCCAGTGGCTGTGGAACTTAGGAGGTTGAACTGGCAGGAGTTCTTGATTATCTGGATGCAGGCACTGGAAGGAAAAGGGAAATGGATTACTCTTGGTGTCTGGCTGCAGTGGCAGGTGGCCGTGCCAGTCGTTA
Source organism: Homo sapiens (assembly GCF_000001405.40). NCBI lineage: Eukaryota > Metazoa > Chordata > Mammalia > Primates > Hominidae > Homo > Homo sapiens. Next base: position 79,273,080 of record NC_000018.10, read on the forward strand.
TGATGGAGAAACTTTCCACGCTGAGGAAGAGTACATGTGCGTGTTTTATTTTGTTTGGCCCATAAGGGGAGGAAGTAGGAATGTTAACACCCATTGTGTGTCTGTTCATTTCAGGGTGTTTGTGATGAATCTAAGATATCTCATAGGAAATAGAACACGTGTGCATCTGAAGCCCGGAGAGAGGTCTAAACTAGGCCTCGACATTTTGGGTCTTGTCTCCACCATGGATCACACTGGTGGGACTCACCCAGGGAGAGTGTTTGGGCGCCGGCCCTGCCTCCCTAATATCCCATGAAAAATGGAAAGATTTCACAGAGTGACAAATGCTGGGAAAAATTCAGATCACATGGCCTCTGTGTCCTTTCAGCTTTACGATCTGTAGGAAAAGATGTTAATTTCTTCGGTAAAACTTCTGATTAAATGACTTCTGTTTCGTTTTGCTCAGATTAGAATCCAAAAAATAAGTCTGACAGAGGAACGCATGTGAATTATTTCAGGTAGTTTCATTCCCTGAGGAGAATCTCGCGCGATTCTCAGACAAGTTGTGGGACTGGGTTCACCTGGTAGTGATAAATGCTGCAGGTTTAATTATAACAAATTAGAGCTTAAATGTAGCAAGCATCGTGGTGCCTAAATAAGATTGCATGGTATATTTTAGGAAAACGCACTTCAAATTTTTCAGAGTCCAAGTTACCTCCTCAGACACTTTTGTAGCTGTGGAGCAGAAGGAACTTTTTGGACAATAGGGAGGTATAATTAAGAGATCTGACATTCCGAGATTTACGAATGCTTTCTTCCTGTAGCATAAAACAGGTTCATGTATCTTCCTACTCCTAACATTGCTGAACACAGTATTTGTTTAAGATAATTTATTTCATTTTTCATATTGCATAAAAGTCATGACTGCCTTTTGTTTCAGGTAACTGTCTGAAATGACAGGTACCTTTTTCCACTTATCTGGAACAGGTCTCTTGGTAACAATTTCACAGTTGCTAAATTAGCAATAAAATGAGCTTAAAATATAGCTGGTATTGATTACTTTATAATCTATTTCTATAATTCTCAAAATACTAGGTTTAATATATATTGAGGGGGGGTGACATATTATGTTACAGTATAGTACTTTACAGCTGAGTAGAGATCCAGGTTTTAAAATTCTATAAAATTAGAACATTACTAAAAATTACACATAATGCAGCAGTGATAGCTATACTCTGCCAACTTAGTGTTTGAAATCTGAGCATCATGGAGATTTTTAACGTTAAAGAGGAAATTGCTGTATTAACAATCAAAGTACATGTGAATCACATGCATATAAGCTGTCTACTCTGTATGTAGTATTAAATGCTCCCGATGTGTTGTTATATACTCCTTATGTGGTATTAAATACCCCATGTGGTAGTATATGTGCCCTATGTGGTAGTATATGCATCCTATGTAGTATTACATACTCCCTATGTGGTATTAGATGCATTCTGTGTGGTATTATATGCAACCTGTGTGGTATTATACAAAACCCGTGTGGTATTATACATGCTCTGTGTGGTATTACATACTCCCTATGTGGTATTATTGTCTTAATTGAAGTCAGGTGTAGTTTACTCAGTGATCTTTCGCTAGTAAGCTGTAAACTTGCATCCTGCAGTGGCTCTACTTATTTTTTTCATCCTGAAGATGATCTCTCACCTTTTCATGAGTAGCTACTGCTTTATACAATCTTCCGAGAGCACTTGTATTCAACTTACCATATTTCAGTGGTAATTATTATATTCCATGAAATAACTTAATATTCCATGATACAACAGCTCCGCGTAAGTCTAACCACGGAAACGGTTTCATGAGCCATAGGCCCCTCGTGATTGAGGAGCAGCGCCCAGAAGAGCCATCCTGGTCCTTTGGCTTCCACCACCCTGAGCCCAGTGGCCAACTGCAAGCTCTTCAGAAATTCCCAGCTAACAGCAGAAACCCATTTGCATTATAGTAGCTGAGGCAGGCTGACACTCTTCAAAACAGTATGACACAAATCTGAAAGAACACAGCACATAGATAGAAAGCCATGTTTTCCAAAGTGCAGATATCCGAGCCAAAGAATCAGAGCCATGAATAGCGTAATAGGAAGTCAAATCCCCCTTTCAAGCCCTTTTCCCCTCTTCTGTACAGGAAGGCAGTCATTTCTTGGCCACCTTGCCCCTTGCCTGCCTCCTTCTTTCTTGAGTATTGCTAACATTTTAGCTAAGTGGTCCATGACTTCCACTTTCTCTTTCTGATTCACAGAGAATCTTTCTCCAAAGCCCAAATCAAAGAAGAGTTAATGTAAATGTGTTTTCTTTTCCTTCTTCAAACCTCCCACTCACCCTAAACTCATGTGGAACAGCCCTGCTATTTAGTAACCATTTGCAGGAATGTCCTTAGCTTTTCCTGAGCCTTTCCTGCCTGTCAAACACTCCTCTGAACATTTGGCAGGCAGCAGTTCACATAGTCTTCAGCACAGCTGATAAAGGTTTCGTCTCTAGCCCATTTGTTAGGAGGCACTGGAGGCATACAGGTGGGTAACTTGTAGGCGTCAGCATGGCCAGCCAGCACTCCTCGCCAGGGAGCTGCAGCCGTCCTGCACCAAGAGGCCAAGTGGCTGCTGTGTCCGGCCTTGAGTGTCATCTTGCAGGGGAGCTTTGAGTCATCTTCGCTTAGTGCTTGTGTCTTTGATTAGTTTGTATTTTAAATAGCGAAAGATGGTGAGGTGCTGGTTTAAAAAGCTGTGTAATTGTCAAAGGCTTACTTTCTAACTAGTACATAGAATTTTTAAGATATGAACTCTATGGACAGATAAGTCAAAGTATGATTATTTAATGTTCTTTAACTTACATACAGACTTCCTTCATTGACTGTGATTCCTAAAGACTATTTTTCGAGTGTGTACTTATTAATAGTTGAGCTATGTGAATTGCCATTTTGCTGGGTCAAAAATGTTTGAATATCAGCAGTTTCACTCTGTGGTATAAGTACATCCTGTCTGCTTTCTTGACAGGATTAAATTAGACACATGTGAACATTTTTGAGTTGCTGTATAGGAAGAACTGCGCTGCCAGCAGCCGCATGAGCAGAGCCTGCCTCCTAAAGTGATGTGATGTGAGCTCATGTTCTGACATGGCCGCTCTGTAGGTTTCCAGGCCTACAGGGTTCCAGCCTTCTGCTCCACTCCACTGCCTCCAGGCAAGGTTCTGCAGAATTGTCCCCAGTCAGATGACTCATCATATGTGCTTTAATTGCAGTCTTACTACACGGACTTAAATTATGAAATTTTAAAAATGACTAAAAAGTCCAGGGCATAGTTAGCAGATACCATTTTATTTGTCATATCATATCCCATTTGTTCTGTTTTCCAGTTTAGCTCCTGAAACACGGGAAATATCCCATTGGTCATGGTAAAACAAGTGGATAAACCTTGAGGCCCATTTCCCATGTTGATTTGCAGGAGGACCCCGCCTGCTCCATGTGTGTGCCCTGTCCTGTAAGCCTTTGGTAGTTGTCCCTTGCGGGCATATACGGGCACACTCACAACAGTCTGTTTTTCTGTCCCATCTGGTGTTACAGACTGTCTTGAAGGACAGAATAGGAGTTACCTATTTTTCTGTCACCTACAAATATTATCTTGGGTGTAAACATGTTTGTTGACTTAAATGTCAGTAAATACATTTATTTTAAAGTCTAAAATCCAATATTATGTATTTTCATATAAAATGAAAGATAATGCATATTAAAAAATACGTGTATATGGAACCATGAGCCTGAATGTGTGGCCTGGGTCTGGATCACATTAACCACTGCAGTGGGTTTTATCTGGCAGTTTGGGTATGAACTTGGACATGGGTCTGGATCACACTAACCACTGCAGTGGGTTTTATCTGGCAGTTTGGGTGTGAACTTGGACATGGCTCTGGATCACACTAACCACTGCAATGGGTTTTATTTGGCAGTTTGCGTGTGAACTTGGACATGGGCAAAGCGGTGTATGGATGGATGATGATGAAAGATGAGAACATCCCTGGCACGGTCGTTCGGACCAGCACTATCCCAGAGGAACTTGGGCGCCTGGTGTATTTATTGACAGACAAAACAGGTACTGTTCGTGGTCTGTGTTCACCTTTGAATGGACAAAATGACATTTAATAAAAAATAGCATAGCGTATAGATATATGTTTATGTGTATGTATATATGTGTATGTATTGGAACAGATCATTGAATCCATATTTAGAATTTTTCAGCCTCTACTCTTGAAACTGTCACACAGCTTAATCATCTTCTAGTATACACAGTATCATAAGAATTATCAAAATGTTAAGTTCTTAGAGCTTTAAGTAACATATTTCTGTGTTTTTAATTTTCTACAGTCTTACAGTTTTTTTTTTAAACTACCTTTGTAACACCTCCCTAGTGGCTTATTAAGAGCAAGAATTCCATGTTTGTTTATTATAGAATGATACTTGTGAGCTATTAGAAGAAAATAACAGATATGTTAATTTGGTATTTAATACTCAAATTCTCCTAAAAAGCTTTACTACAGACTATTTATCCCACTCTAAAGCTCTAGGACCAAAATTCTGTTTGTCCTTATTTAATTTTCTTCTTTTTTTCATCAAAGAACTCTTACCAATCCGTAACAGATTAAAGACAAACAATTGGAATCTGGTACTATAAGGAAAGCCACATCTGAGGGCTAAAATTCCTCCTTGATTTATTGATTTGTAATTTAAATTGCAAGTAATTCTTAGTGAACTAAAAATAAAAGAATACTTATATAGCGTGATAAACAAAATATGTTGCAAACAAAATTCAACATAGTTTTAAACTATTAAATAGTAGAAAAATCCTCACTATAGTCAACAAGAGGACAGAGAAATCTGCAAACAAGACTGTTATTTAAAATTCATAATGGAAGCTCTAGCCATTGCAGCAAGACAAATAGAAATAGGATATAAGACTAAAGGAAGAAACAAATATTTGCAGGTATAGCAAAAGTGGCAGATTATGGATTAAAATAACAAAACAGGTCTCTAATACATAGTGGAGAACAGACCGAAGAGTAAAGCTCCATTCACAGCAGCTGCGTCCATAGAAGACACAGAGGCAGGAACCTGAGGAATGAATGGAAAGGGCACACAGACGGTCCGCAGCTTCATAGTCGCTCGACTTGATGCGACTTTGATCGAGTGGTGCGGTAGCTTCACTCGAACTCGATGGTGGTGCAGTAGCTTCACTCGGGACTGTACTTCCACTATCCGTGCAGCAGTTCTTTCTTTCACTTTCAATACGGTGTTCAAGAAATCACATGGGATATTCTTTGTGTTAGCTGATTTTGCCCAACTGTCAGGTAACGTAAGGGTTCTGACACAGTTAAGGTAGACAGGGCTAGGCCATGGTATTCGGAAGGTGAGATGCATTAATAACCCCATCATAAGTTGAGGAGTCTCTGTTTTGGAAGTCATACTATTATCTCAAAAGTAGAAATTCAGTATTCTTTGTGTCAGCTCTCATGATGAATTTGTAACTTTAGTGTAATTGAAAGTTCAGTTGTTGGATTTGTGTTTGAGTTCCATTAGACTTTGTCTTGTGAGAGGTTGAGGAACTTGGCCAAGAGAGCAATGTTTATGAATCCCAGTGACTCGGAGAGCAATTTGAGGGGCTTCTGGTTCAAAAAGGTAGACTGAGAAAGAGTGTTAGGATTTTCCCTTCCCAACCTCATGAAGCCTACAGAAAAATGTTTAAAGAATAAATAAATCCATGGTAATACACAGAAAACAAGCAGGAGTAAAAATATTAGAGGATCCAGAAATTGAGTTATTTCTGGAAAACAGTTGGAATCAGTTTGCAGGTGAGAGCAGAGCAAAGCAGACCAAAGTTGCCAGTGGCTGCTGAGGAGACCCCACATGGGTGGGAGAAACGTCCTGCAGAACCTAGGGGTGGACGAGCCCCAGACCTGGAGCCGACAGGTGTGTGGGGTGGCACGGGAAGCCATCAGGCCACCGTGAGCGGCGCCTGTGAGAGCAGGTGACCACCAGGATTTGCTCATGTGCCCCCTGCGAGGGCTGCTTTCCCAACGTGGAGAGGCTTTTGGGGAGAAGCACTCATGCGCCCCCTGTGAGGGCTGCTTTCCCAACGTGGAGAGGCTTTTGGGGAGAAGCACTCACTGGTTCATGTGCCTGCCCCTTATGCAGAGTTCACAGACAGCCCCTTGATTTGGAAACCAGCCCTTTGGAGGAACAGGTTTATGGAACTTCAGAAGAAACCCACCCCAGCTTACTTTACAAACAACTTAGTCTTCATTGATAAATATAATCAGAAATGACAAATCACCAGCATGAAATCAAAGTAGCAAAATATGAACAACCGTACTGTTCCCAAAGAAAACAAATTCATAGAAAAAGCAAAAGAAACTTCAGGAAAATGTTCAGAATTTTAAGAGAATTTATTCATATGTATGAGTTTAATATCTAAATTCAGCAGCAATTCTGTACACCAGCAACCATTAGGACATTTAATACCAAAACACCAGTTAGAGTAACAACAAAAAGTATAAAATCATTAAAAATAAATGTAAACAAAAATACGTAAGACCTAAATGGATGTAAGTTTTTAAAATTTGAAAGCCCTTAAGACCGAAATACATAGGCGTACTGTCTTCTTGAATAGAATATCTTAGCATAATAAAGAGATATCATTTCTTCTCACATTGAAAGATCTGATGTGTTTGCAAGCCTAGGAGGAATCAGAAACTCCTGTTCACTCTTGGTGGGAACTTAAGTTAGCGTTAGCGCATCACTTGGTAAAACACATTTTGGCATCATCAGTCAAGTTGAATATGCACGTGTTCTACTCTCCAGCCGTTTTGCTCCTGCTTCTGTTCCCTACAGAAATGTTTGCACATCTACACCAGAAGACATGCATAAGAGTATTCACAGCATTCTAATGGTTAACAAAAGCAAGCAACTGTCTAGATGTAACATAAAAAAGTTTATCAAAAATAGAATGGACCAAGAAATTGTGGAATGTTCTTACAGTTGAATACTAAATAGCAGTGACGATGGAGTACGGATATTGACAGAAACATGGATGGATTTCAAAATAGAATGTTCAAGAACTAAGAGAAACATAAAAAATTTAATAAGGTTTATTTATATAAAGATAAAAGCCATGAAAGATTAAACCATTGAATATTTAGAGGAAAATAAAGGATCAAGCTGTAAATAAAAGAAACATTAAAAAAAGCATGTAGACCAATATGAATCAGAAGGAAACTGGTATATCTACCTTGATTAATATTAAGCAAAATAAACCTTAAAATGAAAAAAGTTATTTAAGAAAGAGGGTCACTACATAAAAGGTTCAATTCAAAATGTTTGTGTACTTAATAAAATAGTTTCAATACATAAAGCAAGAATTGATACAGGGAGATATTGATTATTTGCTGTCAACCACAGGAAGAAATGTTTAGATCTCTTTTTTTTATTGATTAGCCAAGCAGGCAGTTCAGAAGATTTGAATAGCATAATTGTCAGTTTAGATCTTATGGACATATATAGAGTTACTTATCTAACAACTAGAAACACATGTGCTTATCAGACATGTATGAGAAAGTTACACAAATTTGATACATACTAGGCCGTGAGTCAAATTTCAATAAATTTTAAAGAGTGGATATTTCTGATCACAATAAAAAAGAGATGAGTTAGAAGTTAATAACAAAGAAATAAGTTCTTAAATCTCTGCATTTTTAGAAATTGAAGTATATACTTTTAAATAGCATACATCCAAAAATAATACAGATTCAAAATGCCTAGAACTAAATAATAATATAATCACTTTATATCAAAGCCCATGAATGTACAAAATCAAGGTTTTTATAGGAACTTTCCTTCATTTTTTTAAATAGAAAAACAAGAAAGCCTAAAAATTATCTAAATGGCCAACTTAAGAATAGTAAAATAAATTCAAGGAAAATACAAGGAAAGAAGATACCAACAGAAAGCAGTGACTTGATAAAACCATCAATGATTAATACGTCCTGTCAGACTTTTGAAAAAGACAACAAAATAAACACACTTTCAGAATTCTGATTTTTAAAAAGTAAGAAAAGGTGGGCCAGGTGCAGTGACTCACACCCGTAATCCCAGCACTTTGGGAGGCTGAGGCGGGTGGATCACCTAAGGTCAGGAGTTCGAGACCAGCCTGACCAACATGGAGAAAACCTGTCTCTACTAAAAATACAAAAATTAGCCAGGCATGGTGGTGCATGCCTGTAGTCTTAGCTACTCCGGAGGCTGAGGCAGGAGAATCACTTGAACCTAGGAGGCGGAGATCCTGGTGAGGCGAGATCACGCCATTGCATGCCAGCCTGGGCAACAGGAGTAAAACTCCATTTCAAAAAAAAAAAGTAAGACAAAGCATGAACACATACTACAAAAGAGAAGAGAAACATAGATACAGATGTATCTGATACTTAAAAGAAATTTTAAGAGAATGACAATGTTTTATAACCAGTAAATCTAAAAAGCTGAGTAATAGAAAAATTCTCAGAAAAAAAGTGTAAGCTGTTAAAAATGACTCAGAAGAAACAGTTTTAGCAATCCTAAAACCATTAGAGTAGTTTTTAAAAAAATCTTCTGGGGCCAGGTGCAGTGGCTCATGCCAGTAATCCCAGCACTTTGGGAGGCCAAGGCAGGCGGATCACCGGAGGTCGGGAGTTCAAGACCAGCCTGACCAACATGGTGAAACCCTGTCTCTACTAATGGATCTACTGATAGATCTGGCCAAATCAAATTGAACACCTTCTGGAAAGGATTCACGATTCCAGTTGCCATTAAGAACATACGTGGTACCTGGGAGGAGGTCAGCATTCATACAGGTTTGGAAGAAGTTGATTCCGACCCTCAGGGATGACTGTTAGAAGGTTTCAAGACCTCAGCGGAGGGAAGAGCCGCAGGTGTGGTGAAAATAGGGAGGGAATTAGGAGTGGAGCCTGAAGATGACTGAACTGCGGCAACCTCAGGATGAAACTCGAACAGATGAGGAGTTGCCTCTTACGGATGAGCAAAGAAAGTAGTTTCTTGAAATGGAATCCGCTCCTGGAGAAGATGCTATGAATGTTGTTGAAGTGACAACCAAGGATTTAGAAGATTCCATAAGCTAAGTTGATAAAGCAGGGTCTGAGAGCATCGACTTCAGTTTCAAATGAAGTTCTTTGAGTAAAATGCTGTCCAACAACATGGCATGCTACGGAGAAATATTTTGTGAAAGGAAGAGTCAGTTTATGTGGCAGACTTCATTGTTGTCTTATTTAAGGAATTGCCACAGCCAGTCCAAACTTCAGCCACCACCACCCTGATCAGTCAGCAGCCGTCAACATTAAGACAAGACCCTCTACCAGCAAAAAGATTAAAAGTTGCTGAAGGCTCAGATGATTGTTAGCACGTTTTAAAAATATTTTTAAATTATGGTAGGTATATTGTTTTTTAGACATACTACTAATTGCACATGTAATAGACTTACTATAGTGTAAACATCACTTTTCTATGAACTGGGAAACGCAAAAAGTCATGTGGCTCACTTTGTTGTGATAGTCACTTTATTGCCCAGGTCTGGAACCAAGCGCTTCCCCTGTCTCTCAGTTGTGCCTGTAGTTTCCTATCTAGTTTCCTATGTACTTCATATCCTCAATTGGAAAGGGCTTTGGAATCAAATCTGGGATTGAGTCTTGGTGCCCCCCAACTATGTGTGATGTTAGGCAAATCCTTTAACCCTTCTGAGCAAAAGAAATGTGTTGTCAGTCACTAAAATGTTGTGATAGTTTGTTACACAGCTCTAGATAACAGGGGCACCCAGGCCAACAGAGAAATACAAATCACTCTCAACTCTGAAAGCAGCTGGTTTTGCCCCCTTGCCTTTGTGAGGCCTCTAGTACCCTGGTGAAACCAGTGCATGTATTTACTGCTAATCGGTTGTTTTATTCCAGGAACTTAAATAATTAAGATCTTTCTATTTTGTATTCCATATTTTAGTCATATAAATAATTCTGCTCTTTTGCTCTGCCCTTCAGTGTGTAAATCAGAAGTCAGACAGGCTTTTGCAGTCACCTTGGGGGCCTCAGTCACAGCAGAGGTTCTGTAACTGTGGATGGTTGTTTATTATAAAGCGTCCTGGTTCTCCGTATCAGAGGAGGCATGTTGAGCCATAAGGCAGTTTGCAGATATCTTCCAAGTGCCTTGAGTTTCAGCTGAAGTGATGGAGAGTGAACTGCTGTCTCAGGAGCCTTAATGTTACTAACATAATTGGAAGGTGGTCCTTCGCAGGAGTGTAAATGGGGTCTGTGCTTCATCAGTAAGCTTTTGGATAAGAAGCGTCCATCACAGTGGTTCTCTCATTTGCCACGGCAGAATAGAAAATGAAGTATCCCAATAATTGCATTATAGTTTCCTTCTTGTGGACAAGAAAGCAATGTGGTATAATTAGGTTTGATTGGAGTGCACATTTCCGGTAAGATCTGAAATTAATGATGTTGCTATAGTGACACATCTGTGGCCACCAGTGCATGAAACATAAAGCAATTCATTCGACAAGCGTAGACATCTGTGAACTGCAAGGATGCAGAGCATATTGACACTGACCAGAAATACTCGACGCCGGCTGATAAATGAACAAATGATGCTGAAACAGGAGGACAGCCAATTTGTACTTAATCTGCTGGGAGAACTTTAATCTTCTCACTGGTTGCATTTGACAGTGCCATTGTTTAAAGAACAATGCTGCAGAGAACTCATAAATTTTAAAACTTAACTCAGGGTGCAGCCTATTAAAGCAATACATTAATTCCTTTGTTAGGGAGGTTTTATCTTCATGTAGAACAAAGCCGTTACTAAAAACACCCACTAAAACAACAGGTTTTTTAGGACTCACATTTTAATTATAGCATCCATTACCCAAAATGCCATGTTGTTCAGAATTGAATCACATATAAGTTTCACAAGATGGCATCATCATGAAGGGGAAAGCTGTTTTCCCAGTTTGTAAGGGCAGGCAAGCATGACGTGTGTGCTAGTGAGTGCATACGAGGCAAGCAAATCTCACAGGTAAGACTTGGAAATGTTTTTTAAACCAAGTCTCTTATGCATGATGCTAATAACCGGGTATTCAGTTACAGCAAATATGAGTAGCCTTACTGGTTCTGTTTTTACTAATGTGTGTCCTTGGATATGAGTGCTGTAATTAACATTTTGGGGGTGTTTGGGCCAGTTGAGATATTAACACATGCAGATAATTAACTGATGCATACCGTCCTGAGAATCGCAGTTTAGAGAAAGCCTGATTTGCAGAGACTGTATTTAACTTTGAATATAATATTTGACTTCACTTTAAACAGTGTCATTGACTTTGAATATATTTGGCTTCACTTTTAAAAAGTGTCAAATATTTTCAAAATTCAAAGCATACTTTAAAGATTGGCAAATTAGTCTTATCACTTAAGTTTTGTTTCCATTTCATTTTTTTTAATTTTTTTATTATTATTATACTTTAAGTTTTAGGGTACATGTGCACAATGTGCAGGTTAGTTACATATGTATACATGTGCCATGCTGTGTGCTGCACCCATTAACTCATTATTTAGCTTTAGATATATCTCCTAATGCTATCCCTCCCCCCCACCCCACCCCACAACAGTCCCCAGAGTGTGATGTTCCCCTTCCCGTGTCCGTGTGTTCTCATTGTTCAGTTCCCACCTATGAGTGAGAATATGCAGTGTTTGGTTTTTTGTTCTTGCGATAGTTTATTGAGAATGATGATTTCCAATTTCATCCATGTCCCTACAAAGGACATGAACTCATCATTTTTTCTGGCTGCATAGTATTCCATGCTGTATATGTGCCACATTTTCTTAATCCAGTCTATCATTGTTGGACATTTGGGTTGGTTCCAAGTCTTTGCTATTGTGAATAATGCCGCAATAAACATACGTGTGCATGTGTCTTTATAGCAGCATGATTTATAGTCCTTTGGGTATATACCCAGTAATGGGATGGCTGGGTCAAATGGTATTTCTAGTTCTAGATCCCTGAGGAATCACCACACTGACTTCCACAATGGTTGAACTAGTTTACAGTCCCACCAACAGTGTAAAAGTGTTCCTATTTCTCCACATCCTCTCCAGCACCTGTTGTTTCCTGACTTTCTAATGATTGCCATTCTAACTGGTGTGAGATGGTATCTCATTGTGGTTTTGATTTGCATTTCTCTGATGACCAGTGATGATGAGCATTTTTTCATGTGTCTCTTGGCTGCATAAATGTCTTCTTTTGAGAAGTGCCTGTTCATGTCCTTCGCCCACTTGTTGATGGGGTTGTTTTTTTCTTGTAAATTTATTTGAGTTCATTGTAGATTCTGGATATTAGCCCTTTGTCAGATGAGTAGGTTGTGAAAATTTTCTCCCATTTTGTAGGTTGCCTGTTCACTCTGATGGTAGTTTCTTTTGCTCTGCAGAAGCTCTTTAGTTTAATTAGATCCCATTTGTCAATTTTGGCTTTTGTTGCCATTGCTTTTGGTGTTTTAGACATGAAGTCCTTGCCCACGCCTATGCCCTGAATGGTAATGCCTAGGTTCTCTTCTAGAGTTTTTATGGTTTTAGGTCTAACGTTTAAGTCTTTAATCCATCTTGAATTAATTTTTGTATAAGGTGTAAGAAAGGGATCCAGTTTCAGCTTTCTACATGTGGCTAGCCAGTTTTCCCAGCACCATTTATTAAATAGGGAATCCTTTCCCCATTGCTTGTTTTTCTCAGGTTTGTCAAAGATCAGATAGTTGTAGATATGCGGCATTATTTCTGAGGGCTCTGTTATGTTCCATTGATCTATATCTCTGTTTTGGTACCAGTACCATGCTGTTTTGGTTACTGTAGCCTTGTAGTGTAGTTTGAAGTCAGGTAGCATGATGCCTCCAGCTTTGTTCTTTTGGCTTAGGATTGACTTGGCGATGCGGGCTCTTTTTTGGTTCCATATGAACTTTAAAGTAGTTTTTTCCAATTCTGTGAAGAAAGTCATTGGTAGCTTGATGGGGATGGCATTGAATCTATAAATTACCTTGGGCAGTACGGCCATTTTCATGATATTGATTCTTCCTACCCATGAGCATGGAATGTTCTTCCATTTGTTTGTATCCTCTTTTATTTCATTGAGCAGTGGTTTGTAGTTCTCCTTGAAGAAGTCCTTCACGTCCCTTGTAAGTTGGATTCCTAGGTATTTTATTCTCTTTGAAGCAATTGTGAATGGGAGTTCACTCATGATTTGGCTCTCTGTTTGTCTGTTATTGGTGTATAAGAATGCTTGTGATTTTTGTACATTGATTTTGTATCCTGAGACTTTGCTGAAGTTGCTTATCAGTTTAAGGAGATTTTGGGCTGAGACGATGGGGTTTTCTAGATATACAATCATGTCATCTGCAAACAGGGACAGTTTGACTTCCTCTTTCCCTAATTGAATACCCTTTATTTCCTTCTCCTGCCTAATTGCCCTGGCCAGAACTTCCAACACTATGTTGAATAGGAGTGGTGAGAGAGGGCATCCCTGTCTTGTGCCAGTTTTCAAAGGGAATGCTTCCAGTTTTGGCCCATTCAGTATGATATTGGCTGTGGGTTTGTCATAGATAGCTCTTATTATTTTGAGATACGTCCCATCAATACCTAATTTATTGAGAGTTTTTAGCATGAAGGGTTGTTGAATTTTATCAAATTCATTTCTGCATCTATTGAGATAATCATGTGGTTTTTGTCTTTGGTTCTGTTTATATGCTGGATTACATTTATTGATTTGCGTATATTGAACCAGCCTTGCATCCCAGGGGTAAAGCCCACTTGATCATGGTGGATAAGCTTTTTGATGTGCTGCTGGATTCGGTTTGCCAGTATTTTATTGAGGATGCTTGCATCAGTGTTCATCAAGGATACTGGTCTAAAATTCTCTTTTTTGGTTGTGTCTCTGCCGGGCTTTGGTATCAGGATGATGCTGGCCTCATAAAATGAGTTAGGGAGGATTCCCTCATTTTCTATTGATTGGAATAGTTTCAGAAGGAATGATACCAGTTCCTCCTTGTACCTCTGGTAGAATTTGGCTGTGAATCCATCTGGTCTTGGACTCTTTTTGGTTGGTAAGCTATTGATTATTGCCACAATTTCAGAGCCTGTTATTGGTCTATTCAGAGATTCAACTTCTTCCTGGTTTAGTCTTAGGAGGGTGTATGTGTTGAGGAATTTATCCATTTCTTCTAGATTTTCTAGTTTATTTGCGTAGAGGTGTTTGTAGTATTCTCTGATGGTAGTTTGTATTTCTGTGAGATCGGTGGTGATATCCTCTATCATTTTTTATTGCGTCTATTTGATTCTTCTCTCTTTTCTTCTTTATTAGTCTTGCTAGCGGTCTATCAATTTTGTTGATCCTTTCAAAAAACCAGCTCCTGGATTCATTAATTTTTTGAAGGGTTTTTTGTGTCTCTATTTCCTTCAGTTCTGCTCTGATTTTAGTTATTTCTTGCCTTCTGCTAGCTTTTGAATGTGTTTGCTCTTGCTTTTCTAGTTCTTTTAATTGTGATGTTAGGGTGTCACTTTAGGATCTTTCCTGCTTTCTCTTGTGGGCATTTAGTGCTATAGATTTCCCTCTACACACTGCTTTGAATGTGTCCCAGAGATTCTGGTATGTTGTGTCTTTGTTCTCGTTGGTTTCAAAGAACATCTTTATTTCTGCCTTCATTTCGTTATGTACCCAGTAGTCATTCAGGAGCAGGTTGTTCAGTTTCCATGTAGTTGAGCGGTTTTGAGTGAGTTTCTTAATCCTGAGTTCTAGTTTGATTGCATTGTGGTCTGAGAGACAGTTTGTTATAATTTCTGTTCTTTTACATTTGCTGAGGAGAGCTTTACTTCCAACTATGTGGTCAATTTTGGAATAGGTGTGGTGTGGTGCTGAAAAATATGTATATTCTGTTGATTTGGGGTGGAGAGTTCTGTAGATGTCTATTAGGTCCGCTTGGTGCAGAGCTGAGTTCAATTCCTGGGTATCCTTGTTAACTTTCTGTCTCGTTGATCTGTCTAATGTTGACAGTGGGGTGTTAAAGTCTCCCATTATTATTGTGTGGGAGTCTAAGTCTCTTTGTAGGTCACTCAGGACTTGCTTTATGAATCTGGGTGCTCCTGTATTGGGTGCATATATATTTAGGATAGTTAGCTCTTCTTGTTGACTTGATCCCTTTACCATTATGTAATGGCCTTGTCTCTTTTGATCTTCGTTGGTTTAAAGTCTGTTTTATCAGAGACTGGGATTGCAACCCCTGCCTTTTTTTTGTTTTCCATTTGCTTGGTAGATCTTCCTCCATCCTTTTATTTTGAGCCTATGTCTGTCTCTGCACGTGAGATGGGTTTCCTGAATACAGCACACTGATGGGTCTTGACTCTTTATCCAATTTGCCAGTCTGTGTCTTTTAATTGGAGCATTTAGTCCATTTACATTTAAAGTTAATATTGTTATGTGTGAATTTGATCCTGTTATTATGATGTTAGCTGGTTATTTTGCTCGTTAGTTGATGCAGTTTCTTCGTAGACTTGATGGTCTTTACAATTTGGCATGATTTTGCAGCGGCTGGTACCAGTTGTTCCTTTCCATGTTTAGTGCATCCTTCAGGAGCTCTTTTAGGGCAGGCCTGGTGGTGACAAAATCTCTCAGCATTTGCTTGTCTGTAAAGTATTTTATTTCTCCTTCACTTACGAAGCTTAGTTTGGCTGGATATGAAATTCTCGGTTGAAAATTCTTTTCTTTAAGCATGTTGAATATTGGCCCCTACTCTCTTCTGGCTTGTAGAGTTTCTGCCGAGAGATCCACTGTTAGTCTGATGGGCTTCCCTTTGAGGGTAACCCGACCTTTCTCTCTGGCTGCCCTTAACATTTTTTCCTTCATTTCAACTTTGGTGAATCTGACAATTATGTGTCTTGGAGTTGCTCTTCTCGAGGAGTATCTTTGTGGAGTTCTCTGTATTTCCTGAATCTGAATGTTGGCCTGCCTTGCTAGATTGGGGAGGTTCTCCTGGATAATATCCTGCAGAATGTTTTCCAACTTGGTTCCATTCTCCCCGTCACTTTCAGGTACGCCAATCAGACGGAGATTTGGTCTTTTCACACAGTCTCATGTTTCTTGGAGGCTTTGTTCATTTCTTTTTATTCTTTTTTCTCTAAACTTCCCTTCTCACTTCATTTCATTCATTTCATCTTCCATCACTGATACCCTTTCTTCCAGTTGATCACATCGGCTCCTGAGGCTTCTGCATTCTTCATGTAGTTCTCGAGACTTGGCTTTCAGCTCCATCAGCTCCTTTAAGCACTTCTCTGTATTGGTTATTCTAGTTATACATTCGTCTAAATTTTTTTCAAAATTTTTAACTTCTTTGCCTTTGGTTCGAATTTCCTCCTGTAGCTCAGAGTAGTTTGATCGTCTGAAGCCTTCTCTCAACTCGTCAAAGTCATTCTCCGTCCAGCTTTGTTCTGTTGCTGGTGCGGAACTGTGTTCCTTTGGAGGAGGAGAGGCGCTCTGCTTTTTAGAGTTTGCAGTTTTTCTGCTCTGTTTTTTCCCCATCTTTGTGGTTTTGTCTACTTTTGGTCTTTGATGATGGTGATGTACAGATTAGTTTTTGGTGTGGATGTCCTTTCTGTTTGTTAGTTTTCCTTCTGACAGACAGGACCCTCAGCTGCAGGTCTGTTGGAGCTTGCTGGAGGTCCACTCCAGACCCTGTTTGTCTGGGTATTAGCAGCAGTGGGTGCAGAATAGCGGATTTTCGTGAATCGCGAATGCTGCTGTCTGATCGTTCCTCTGGAAGTTTTGTCTCAGAGGAGTACCCGGCTGTGTGAGGTGTCAGTCTGCCCCTGCTTGGGGGGTGCCTCCCAGTTAGGCTGCTCGGGGGTCAGGGGTCAGGGACCCACTTGAGGAGGCAGTCTGCCCGTTCTCAGATCTCCAGCTGCGTGCTGGGAGAACCACTGCTCTCTTCAAAGCTGTCAGACAGGGACATTTAAGTCTGCAGAGGTTACTGCTGTCTTTTTGTTTGTCTGTGTCCTGCCCCCAGAGGTGGAGCCTACAGAGGCAGGCAGGCCTCCTTGAGCTGTGGTGGGCTCCACCCAGTTGGAGCTTCCTGGCTGCTTTGTTTACCTAAGCAAGCCTGGGCAATGGCGGGCGCCCCTCCCCCAGCCTTGCTGCCGCCTTGCAGTTTGATCTCAGACTGCTGTGCTAGCAATCAGCGAGACTCTGTGGGGTAGGACCCTCCGAGCCAGGTGCGGGATATAATCTCATGGTGCGCCCTTTTTTAAGCCCGTCAGAAAAGTGCAGTATTCGGGTGGGAGTGACCCGATTTTCCAGGTGCTGTCTGTCACCCCTTTCTTTGACTAGGAAAGGGAACTCCCTGACCCTTGCTCTTCCCGAGTGAGGCAATGCCTCGCCCTGCTTCGGCTCGCGCAACATGCGCTGCACCCACTGTCCTGGGCCCACTGTCTGGCACTCCCTAGTGAGATGAACCCGGTACCTCAGATGGAAATGCAGAAATCACCCATCTTCTGCCTTGCTCACGCTGGGAGCTGTAGACTGGAGCTGTTCCTATTCGGCTGTCTTGGCTGCCCCCCTTCCATTTCTTGTAAGGTCTAAGTAAGTTTGTGTTTTGATACATCCGCTGATTATGTATGTGTCTTACTTTGTTTAACTAGAATCTTCACAAGAAAGTTTATTGCTCTAGGTGCGTGGCATATCTCAGTGTTACCTTTCTTTATATATTAAAATCACTGGCTCCCTTTTGTATGATGGTGTGGTAGAGTTTAGGGGTGAGGCCAATTCACAATTCAGGAATATGTGGTCCGAAACCTCTGCAGCTGTGTCTCAGAAACTGTCTACTCGGCTCAGTCATGGATCACATCTGTTGCCACTCTGAGAATGATGCCTGCAGGACTTTTTCCCTAGAAATTAATTTCCTCTTTGCCTGCTTTGTTCATTATAGTCCCAAAAAACTCTTTTTCATTAAAGAGCTGCAGCTTTTTTTTTTTAAGAAATCAGAAACCTTTTGTCAAAAGACATTTTCTGTCTATATAGCTACATACCATAGCCGAGTCTGCTGTGAATCTCTTTGACGTGACGGCACTCTTACTCTCTGGCTGCATTCATTCCTCCCTTTTCCAAAGCTTCCAATTTGGGGGCATATTAATTTCTGTTGTATTAAAATGACAAAAGTTGTAGAAATCATCAGTGTTTGAAATCATGGAGAGCATTTGAGGTAAGATTTGAAAAATAATTTTGTATTACAGACTCTACATTATCTACTACTGCATAAGAGGTGAAGGAAAGTCTGAAATTAGCAAGTTATGAAATTAAAAAATCATCGAGATTTAAAAAATATTTTTGGGCTTCATCTTCATATGTGAAGAAAGTACGTGTGCCACTCACCTGAAGGAATGTCTGCATAAGTATTGCAGTTTCTTTAACCCAACAAGGTGTGATTGCATTTATTCACATGGACAGAATAACAAACCCAAAAACTTTATCATTCGTTGATGAGAAGTGTTAGTCATTTATTTGAATGTCAGTTTTAAGCTACTGATAACATGATTGATTAGCAACGGAAACATTTTAGAAGATACCACGCATTTGTTTAATTCAAATGGTCAACTGTCAGGATACATCGCTCTCTTATTCCACTCTCACCACAATCTAACTTTAAAACATTCTCATCACCCTAAAAAGCAACCTTGGCACTCCCCATCCTCCCCTTCCATCGCCCGTGCCCCAGGCAGCCCCTGGTTACTTTCTGTCTCTGAGGACTTGCCTGTCCTGGGCGTTCCACGTAAATGAGTCAGACCTATGCAGTCCCTGCTGGCCTCCTTCACTGGCATATACTCTTTTACTGGTTCATTCGTATTGTAGTGTATATCAGTACCTCATTTCTGTTTATTGCCAAATAATATTCCATCGTGTGGATACACCACACTTTATTTATCCATTCATAAGGTGATGGACATGGGTTGTTTCTACTTTTTGCCTACTACGACTAATGCTGCTGTGAGTATTCAGGGTTCTAGCCAATGCAGTTAGGCAAGAGCAAGAAGGTGGCGTCCACATTGTAAAGGAGAGCAAAACTCTCTCTGTATGTGTGACATGGTCATGTCCGTAGGAAATCCTCAGGAGTCACCCAGCCCTCTATTAATTAAAGGGGTTTGGTAAGATTGTAGGACGCAAGATCAACACACAAGAATGAAATTGTATTTCTGTATGCTAACAACGAACCATCCAGAGATAGAATTAAGAAAACAATTGTATTTACAGTGCATCAAAAAATATTTCATTGTGTTAAGACGGCAACAATTCTAGCTTCTTTTATCTATAGGTTCTGTGTAATACCTACTAAAATCCCAGCTACCTTTGCATAAATTGGCAAGCTGATTCTGAAATTCACATGGAGATACTAGGGATTCAGCATGGCTACAACAATCTTGAAAAACAAACAAAGTTAGAGGACTTGCAACTCGTGATTTCTTCTTTAAAAAAAAAAAAAAGACATGCATCCGAGGAATGTGGGCTGCAGAGTGGGGGGTGGGTGAAAGATGTGAGGTTAGGGGTTTGTTTTGTTTTGTTTTGTTTTGTTTTTGAAACAGGGTCTTGCTCTGTCACCCAGGCTGGAGTGCAGTGGCACAATTGTGGGTCACTGAAACCTTGATCTCCTGGGCTTAAGTGATCCTCGTGCCTCAGCACCCAAAATGCTGGGATTACAGGCATGAGCTATTACACCTGGCAGCAGCTCCTGGTTTCAAAACCTAATACAAAGCTACAGTAATCAAGACAATGTGGTATGTGGTGCGGGCATAAGGACAGACACATAGATTGATGGACTAGAAGTGAGAGGCCATAAATAAATCCAAACACTTACGGTCATTGGGTTTTCAACAAGGATGCCAAGATAATGCTATGGAGAAAGAACAGTGTTTTCAACAAATGGTGCTGGGCAACTAGATATCCCATGCAAAAAATGAAGTTGGATACTTATCCCACTTGTACCTAAAAGCTAACTCAAAATGGATCATAGACCTAAATACAAACACTAAAATTATAGTATTTTTAAATTACTCAGCTTTGAGAAAGTATTCTAAATTTGTTATACAGTTTGAATGTTTGCCCCCTCAAAAACTCTTATTGAAATGTCATCCCCAGTGTGACACTATTAAGAGGTGGGGCCGTTAAGAGGCAAGTGGGTCATGAGAGATCTGCTCTCATGAATGAATGAATCTACTCATGGATTAATGGGTGAATGGATCAGTGGATTTTCATGGAGTGTTAGTTGTCACAAGAGTGGGTCTGTTAGAAAAGCCACTTTGGCCCTCTTGAGCCTCCTCCCATCATGGGGCGGCCTGCAGTGCCTCAGGACTCTGCAGAGAGTCCCCACCAGCAGAAAGGCCCTGACCAGATGCAGCACCTCAGCCTCGGACTTTCCAGCCTCCAGAACTGTAAGCAATAAATTCCTTTTTAAAATTAATTACCCAGTCTCAGGTATTTGGTTATAGCAACAGAAAATGGACTAAGACAGTTCTCCATTTCATTCTCCCTGGCTCCAATTAAGTAACTGAATAAGACTTTTGGTATCTACTGAGATATAAAGCTTTATAAACATAACTCAAAAGGAAAAATAGTTCAAACCTAAGTTTCAGTTATATTTTAAATTATTTTCAACTAAATGCATAAATGCGCAGATATTATATTCAGTATTTTAGCATCGCCTTGCATGTTTCTGTGACAGCTATCTGGTCTCCAGTATTTTCAAGGGGTCTTTGTGTACATGTAGAATTCCTCTCAGTTTTCTCCAAGCAGCAGTAAGAAGCAAAGTATAATAGCATAGCTGAAGTTGGGAATCTCAGAACTTGAAATACTACCACCAAGCTGAGAAAGGACATCTAACTAAAGCACTGGATTAAAATAGTGCTTTAAAATCCCTGATTTACTGTCTAGAAAGAGTCTGTGAATGGAGTGATTATAAATGATGTAACTTTGTTTTTGGAAAACATCTGTTGTCCATGTGGATTTTTTGCATTTAGAAATGCCAGAGTTCTCTTCTCCAGAAAAAGATGTCCCAAAGTCAATGATAAGTACCTCAACTATATGCCACTTTCAACCCATGATGAATTCGTGGGCCTAGGAATCGATTGTGGGTGGCTGTTTACATCAGAGGAGGCGGCCAGACACCCTGCTTCCTGATGGAAGGACGCTCCCTGCGCTGCAGCAGTCTCCACGGAACCTTGCCTCGCCAGCCTTGCCCAGCCGTGGCTCACAGGAAACACAGGGCCCACAGGCACAGGAGAAACGGCCAGTGGCCAAGTACAGATTGTGGGAACTGAAACCGTCAGTCCAGGTTCTTTAACAAATCAATTTCAAGGAAGAAAGAGATGGAGGAGAAAGCTGTAGAGTAAAAGAGGCTCAAGAGACCTTTCCTGGATCCATACTTCAGACAAGCAGTGTAAAAAACTATGACACACGAGACACCTGGAAATTAGAACCCTGACTTCTGTTTAACATGGAGGAGTTATTGTGGCTGTCTGGTGTGCTAATATTTCGGTTCTGTTTAAAGTGTCTTTCACAAATGATACTGACATGCCCATGGTTGAAATGATATGGCTCAGATTAGTTTCAGCAGCGCCAAGAGGAGTGAAGTGAGGGCTCAGATGAAAGAGCTGCCCTAGGTCCATGTTGCCAAAAAGGAGCGATGGCCACAGGGCTTTCAGGAGACTATCTGTCTTCTTGAGGTAATTTAACATTTCCTTTTAAAAATGTAGAAGGGGTGAAAAGAACATACGTTCCTGGATTTCAGTTCCTTGCATTTAATATCTTTCAAATTTACATACAAAAATGACATTTTCTGTGTGTTTTGGTTTTATTCCAGCTATAGGTACGTGTGCGTGCATCCATGAATGCAAGCACACACATACACAGACACAGACACACACACACACACAGCAAGGTTGATGCCCCATATACCATGAGGGATTTCTAGTGTGTATTCCGCATGTTGAAATGGTATTATTACCAGGAAAGTGGAAATTTTGACTATTAGACACCCAAAATCAACATTTCACTGTTCAAATCAACTGCCCTACTAAAGCATCAGAAATACATTGGTCTAGCAAAGTGAAATTGGCACGTAATTATGTTTATAACCATCTTACTCATTGATTTCCTCTAAGAAAACTGTGTTATTTAAAACCTATTATAAAGTTTCATATCGAGAAAACTTGAATCTTTTACTGTCTACAATTTTTCTCATTGCTTTTTGGCCAACTGTATAAGTGAAAGGGGGTATTATGTCTGAGGGCAGAATGTACATGGTGTTTAAAGAATAATTTTCACACATGGCAAATTCCACATTTGCCAAACCTCTCCTCCCATTTTCTTTTTAAATTTTTATATGTGTCATTAGAATAGCTTTATTCACAATGCAGTGATATTCCCTGTTGTTTCTGACAGCAGATACGTTACACTCAGGTATCATGTGGCCTGAATGTTCATCTCTCTCTAAAATCCCTGTGTTGAAACTGAGTCCCAGATGATGGCATAGTACTAATTAGGAGAGGTGACTGGGTCATGGGGCAGAGCCCCCATGAATGGGATTGGTTCCCTTAAAAGCAAGGTCCTAGGGAGGCAGATTCCCTCTCCCAGCCCTGAGGACACTGCAAGAAGGCTCCACTATGATGAGGGCCCTCATCAGACACCAAATCTCCTGGTGCCTCATCTTGCATTTCCCAGCCGCCAGAGCTATGAGAAGTAAATGTTTGTTGTTTATAAACCACTTGGTTTATGGTATTTTTTAATTTTAATTTTTATTTTTTGAGACAGGGTCTTGCTCTGTCACCTGGGCTGGTTTGAGACAAGGTCTTGCTCTGTGACTCAGGCTGGAGTGCAGTGTCGTGATCACAGCTCACTGCAGCCTCAAACTCCTGAGCGCAGTCCATCTTCCTGCCTCAGCCTCCCTAGTAGCTGGGACTGCAGGTGTGTGCTGCCATGCCCAGCTAGTTTTTGTATTTGTGATAGAGATCGAGTCTCACCGTGTTGCTCAGGCTGGTCTTGAACTCCTAGGCCCAAGCCATCTTCCTATCTTGGTCTCCCAAAGTGCTGGAATGACAGGTGTGAGCCACCATGTTACTGCAGCCCAGAAGGAGTGAGACAGGAATTAATAACTTAATAACACATAGTTTCAAAAATCAATTACTGTAAATTGTGTGGTTTTTTCCTAAAGATCTTGTGTGGCTTTAAATTTATCTGCATGTTGCCAAACCTGTGGTGAGAATCCTACGCTAGCTGCACTTTGCAACGTCAATAACGAGGTAAAAAACAGATTTTTCAAATAAATCTCAAGTATTTTTAAGGACAGGAAAGAACTAAATATAGAAGGTATCTTCCGGATTTTTATATAATATTTCCAACTTTGGATTCCACACAGAAAATATTTTCATCCAGGGCAGAAACAGTAGTGCAAGTGTTTGATTTCTGTTTACAGCAGTCTTCTATATACCTTCCACCACCCTTGTTTCATAAATTAGGCTCGTTATCATTATTCTTTTTTAAAAATTTAAATCAGCAACTTTTTTGGCTGCTATTTAGGAGTCAGGTTCTGGGGATAGAGTTGGGATAATACAGACACTGCCTTCCTGGAGATTCCACTGCAGTAGGGGAGATGCACGCTCAGCAGCTAAAGACCCAGAGAGAAGACAGGGATGACCCACAGAGAAGACAGAGATGACCCAGAGAGAAGACAGAGAGATGACCCAGAGAGGAGAAAGAGAGATGACCCAGAGAGGAGACAGAGAGATGACCCAGAGAGAAGACACAGACGACCCAGAGAGAAGACAGAGACGACCCAGAGAGAAGACAGAGAGATGACCCAGAGAGAAGACAGAGAGATGACCCAGAGAGGAGACACAGACGACCCAGAGAGAAGACACAGACGACCCAGAGAGGAGACAGACGACCCAGAGAGGAGACAGAGAGACGACCCAGAGAGGACAAAGAGAGATGACCCAGAGAGGAGACACAGACGACCCAGAGAGAAGACAGAGAGATGACCCAGAGAGGAGACGCAGACGACCCAGAGAGAAGACAGAGAGATGACCCAGAGAGGAGACACAGACGACCCAGAGAGGAGAAAGAGAGATGACCCAGAGAGGAGACAGAGATGACCCAGCCAGAGAGGAGACACAGACGACCCAGAGAGAAGACAGATGACCCAGAGAGGAGACACAGACGACCCAGACACCACAGGGGCTAGCAAGACGCGGCCCGCCGTTCTCATCGCGTTATGAGGCACTCAGTAAATATTAAATACACATTTTATATATTGTGGGTATTTTTGGTAATATATCTACTTTTTAGTGAGACAAATGGGATGTGGAATTCCATGACTGTCTATGTGGGTGTCCATTAGGACTGTAGTTTGTCCTGTAGCTTAATTTTACTATATTTAGATGTAGGGGTTTGTACTTTACAGATCAAAAATTCTCTTCTTAATAGAGAAGTTTGTTGCACTTTCAAATACATTATATTATGTTTAGTTTAAGGAGATAAAACAGCTACTCAGGGACTTAGGATTTCATGTTTCGCCTTGATAAGACTCTACACTGTCGTGTAATAATTGTATCTAATGCTGGCCTGATCTGTAATTAGGAAGGAAACACTGCAATGACCTTAACAGAACAGCCCTGGGTATAAAGAGCAGGAAGGGATGCAGAAAAGCATATGACAAATGTAGCCCTCATTCATGCTTTAAGAAGAAAACTCGGAAAACAAGGATTAGAGGGGAACATCCTCAGGTTGCTGAAGAGAATCTTAAAGAGCTGAGGCTGAGGCCTCACTCTGTGTGATGGAGACGCACGCTTTCCCTAGGTCAGGAAGGAAGCGAGGGTGCTTGTCCAACAGTGCCAGCATTCCAGACAGTGCAGTACGGTAAGAAAGGGGAATGCAAGGTATGGATATCAGAAAGGAAGAAATCGAGTTAAAATTAAAGAAAGAAAATTGTCCCTGTCTGCAGATGGAATAATTATCTACCTAGAAAATCCAAGGAATGTACAAAAAATTCTGTGAGCCAGTGAGTTCAGCAGGGTCACAGGGTAGACTGTCCACATGCAGAAACCAATGGTGTATCTACACTTGCAGTGAATATGTGCCAGCTGAGATGAAAAGTACGGTGCCGTTTATAATTCCTTGAAAAAAGCGCGGTACTTAGCCGTGAATCTAATATAAAATGAGTGGGCCTTGTGGGCTGCAAACTACGTCACACTCATGAAAGAAACCAAAATAGACCGAAATAAACACAGTGATTTTGCTCATGGACCTCAAGTCTCCACACACTAAAAATGTCACTTCTCTTTTCGATATTCAGTTTAATTCAGTTTCTGTCAAGATTTGTTTTGTAGGTAAGATTATTTCTAAATTTATTTTTAAGGCAAAGGAGCAGGATAGCTGAAGTGACTTTGACAAAGAAGAAAGTTGAAGGACTCACTACCAGATTTCAAGACTTAAATAAGCTGCAGTCATCAAGACTGTGTGGTATTGGGGGATTTTTCAATGGATACAGAACCTAGAAGTTGGCCTTGCACCAAAGAGGATATGGGAACAGAACATCAGTATGAGGAAAGATGTTCCTCCTTCTCAGGAGGCAGAGTGGCTGTCCCATAGCCACTTCAGACTCACCATCTGTGTGTTCTCCCCTTCTCCCAAAGCTGTCTACTTTCTTAATTCCTGTTTCTTGTTGAGGGCCAGCCTCCCTGAGCAAGGCAGTCAGCCTGAGCTGCTCTTCGAGGTCTTGGATCCGGAGCCTCCACATTCAGTTCCCAAGTCCAGTTGATGCTCTTTTCTAGACTTCTGAAGATTTCATGCATTTGCCTCTTCCTTTCTGTCTTGATGCCTGCTGCCACATCATCCTTCACGTAGACCTTGATCCCAGTTCTTTCCCCCACATTTGACCCCCACCACTCTGTCCTTAGAATAATGCCTCAGTTAACTCTGTTACCTGGACAGGGCCCATCCAGAATGAAGCCGGGACTCCTGAGCCTGGCTCTGCATGCCCTCTTGGTGGACAGGAGGCTCTCTGCTTCACTGTGCTCTCTTGATGGGACCTAGAGAGCTCCTCACCCCCTCCTCCCTCTCCAGCCCTTCTCTTGTGTGTGTCTCTTCCATTCACAGGCATTTGTCTTTGCTCCCAGACCCATGTGCGAGCCACATACAGTTCCCTCTTCCTGGAGCGCTTCTCTTGTGGAAACCACTAGTAAATTCATATGCTTCAAGTCACAGGTCAGATGCCACCACTCCTGGGAGCAGTCCCTGCCCCCTCTCTGCAGTCTCCTGTGACTGCACCACATGGACCCTGCATTAGTGCCTCTCAGTAGCATGATCTCTTGCAGCCTCTCTCCCTGTTATGCTGTGGGATTCTTTAGGAAAGGAATCCTCACCCTCCTTGTGTTTGGGGCACTTTGTGCATTGTCTTATTCATTTTTATCCATGCAACATATGAGATGTATTCCGTATTTTACAGGTGAATAAACTGAGGCTTGGAGAGCTTAAATCCACTCTATGAAGTTTTGCAGCCTGCAGGTTACAGCAGGATTTGGACTCCCAAGCTCAATGAGTAGTGATGCATTTTCATGAGTTTTTGCCAAATGAATACACAAATTCTCAGTGGGAATGTGGGAGTCACTGTCTGTTTAGAGAACTGTAGCTCCTGCTGCAGATGGGCAGCTCTCCGGAGCCCTGTGCTGTGCCACGAGGAGCAGCCGTAGGCCGGGCTGTGCAGAGCCTTGTCTCCATCTAAGGAGTGGATGCTTTGATTGGTAAGCAGTGGCGAGGCACGGATGGTCACTAAAAGCAACGTACTAGAATGAGGAGGTGTTTGTCTTCGGAAATAGCACTGCTGGGGAAGGTAGGTTAAAGAATGTTGGAGCTGAGCTCAGGAAGCCACGGAAGAGGCTGCAGTCAGGACGCGTGGTAAGAGGGCAGAGCGAAGGAGCTTCAGGAGGGGGGCACTCCATGTCTGAAGTGGGGTTGAGAGGTTTGAGAGCGTTTGGGAGGTAGTTGAATCCAGAAAGTGAGGAAAGGTTGGTGGTGGTGATGATGGCTGTGGAAGAGTAGCTCTCGTTTATTTAGGACTGACTGGGTCAGGCATGTCACCTGGGTGCCCTCGTGTCATCCTTGGACCACCCTGCAGTGCTTGCAAAGTGAGGAGGCTGAGTGGGAGGTCTTTCCCTTCTCGGTTAAGGTATCCATAGGGAGAGGCCAGCGGGGCCAGACAGGCCCCTTGCAGATGTCTCAGCAGGTGCTGAGGGACAGGGAGGTGCAGGCTGTTGAGGGAGAGGCGAGGCTGGGCTGTGGGTCGCATGTGGGTTGCGGTGAGGACACAAACCCCTTTGTGAGGACACTGAGACTTGAGCCCGGGGCTGCGGGGCCGTGGACAACAGCACCTCACATCCCAGAGGGAGCTCTGCACTTGCAGCTGACTCCACACCCAGGGCCTGTCACAGCCGCCCAGCAAACATACTGAGCAAGGACTGGATGGAAAATGAGATGCTATTTCTTTCTTTAGGGTTCTTTGCATACTTGCACAGTCATTTAAAATCCTAAAGAAGTAATTGTTCGCTCTTGGTAGGAGCTATACAGGTGTTCATTATAATATTCTTTTAACTTTACATATGAAATTGTTCATAATAAAAAAGTTGGGTTAAAAAAGTGGCATTAATCATAGTCCTGTTTACAAACTGCATAGGATTTATGCCTCATTACGATTCCCCACCCTAAATCATCATGCTTCACACTAAGAGAGAAAAGTCTAAAGGAAATACTTTGTTATCTCAATCTGCTAAGTAGAATGTTTTTAACTTAGCACATTTGTTAAATAATTTTTCAGAGAGCTGCTTACTTGGGCACACATAATAGAGGCAAACTTGGTACTTACCCTAATATGAATTAATGTAAGGTTTCATTATCTTTTAACTGTTGGCAGTGATAGAACTACCATTTTTCATCTCACATTTTTGCTATTTAAAGCACTCATAGGCCAGGGGTGGTGGCTCACACCTGTTATCCCAGCACTTTGGGAGGCCAGGGCGGGCAGATCACCTGAGGTCGGGAGTTCCAGACCAGCCTGGCCAACATGGTGAAACCCTGGCTCTACTAAAAATACAAAAATTAGTTGGGTGTGGTGGCGCACATCTGTAATCCCAGCTACTGGGGTGGCTGAGGCAGGAGAATTGCTTGAACCCAGGAGGCAGAGGTTGCAGTGAGCCAAGATAGTGCCACTGCACGACTCCGTCTCAAAAAACAAACAAACAAATGTATGAAGCACAAATGTATAAAGCACTTGTAGAACTTCATGATGGTAGTCAGAGACTGAATTGTTGCTAACTGCATTATTTAATATAGCCTAGTGTTTTATGTTAATTCTACTTATTTAACAAGAGTAGCATGACAAAACAAAAAGGTTTAAACTGCCTCTCATGTAATTTTGATGATTTTGTTTCCACTTAGATTTATGAAACTTGGAGACATCTTTTCAAGGTATACAGAGCACAGCCAGTTTAAAGGTGCTTCATAAAACTTTGTGGAAGCCAAAATCTATAGAACTGAGAAGCATCTCAGGTAGATAGTTAGCTGCTGTTTGGAATTTTTAAAACTTTATTATATTCACTCTTCTAAGAGCATTTATCAAAACAATCTCTAAAATAGTAATTGTAAGCTCTATTTTCCTTGTCTTTGAAAGTAAGCGCTGTGTCCTGATGGAAGGCTCTGAGCCAGCTGACCTCTTGAGTTCTGATCCTAACTGATTCACTTTGTGCTCTAATCCTCACGCACTTAGAGGGTACCATAGACATGAAAATAGTTTGGGTTATATTCCAGTTTGGGTTATATTCCAGTACCATGTGTGCCAAAGAACATAAAAATGAGTGAATATTTTTATGGATATTTTGCAACCATAAAATTGGGTTTTATGGTTTTATTGCAGTCAATTGCAATTTTGTGCAATGAATGGCTGTGTCATTGTTCATACTCAGATTTATAACGTCAGCAGTATCCGTGGATAACCCTTCTTGGATGTGCTGTGAAATAAGTGCAGAAACCTCCCTGCCCCCACCCTCCCCGGGGACAAGGTGAAAGCAGCACGTTGTGAAATAAGTGCACACACCCCCCGGGGACAAGGTGAAAGCACCACGCGTGGCACCACGTTGTGAAATAAGTGCACACACCCCCGGGGACAAGGTGAGAGCACCACGCGTGGCAGCACGTTGTGAAATAAGTGCACACACCCCCGGGGACAAGGTGAAAGCACCACACATCGCAGCACGCTACATACATATCCAGAGGGTATTTGAGCTTCCCTGTGCTACTTTGCTTCTATAAAGCCAAATAAATAAAACATATGCACATGTAATATGTGTATTTTTAGGTTAAATGAGATCTCTTTGTCACCTAATACATGGCCCAACTTTTCTGGCAGTCCTCCTAAGGGAGGACTGTGGTACTTGAGGAGCAGGCATTAGGGAAGCACATTCAGATAGCCCAGTATTTGGAAAACACTAAAGAAAAGCCATCCTATCTTTCACAGACCTCCTGTCTGTCATTCCAAGGGACACACATACATGCTAAGGATTAAACACATCTGGAATATCCATTTCTGTTCAGCTAAAAAGACTTAATTTTTTGAAATAGGTTTTTTTAAAAAATTAATGGACACCCTAATTTGGGGCTTGTTGATGTCTTTCTCAGGCAGTGTTCTATATTGTAATTATAAAGGTGGTGACTCAGTTTTCTAGTTTTATGTCCGCCTCTTTCAGAGCAGGCAAAAGTTGCATTCGTTCCAAATAACAGATCTGAGCTGAAAGGCAATGACGGACTTTCTTCATATAACTAGAGCCCTTCTCATTATTAAACGTTGTTAGAGGCTGCGTGTGCAGTGGCTCACGTCTATAATCAGAACACTTTAGGAGGCCAAGACAGAAGGATCGCTTGAGACCAGGCTGGGCAATGTAGGGAGTCACTGCCTCTACAAAAAACAAAAAAATTAGCTGGGTGTGTTGTCGTGCGCCTGTAGTCCCAGCTATTCGGGAAGCTGAGGCAGGTGGATCACTTGAGCCCAGGAGGTGGAGGCTGCAGTGAGCTGTGATAATGCCACTGCACTCCAGCCTGGGCAACAGAGTGAGACCCAGTCTCCAAAAAAAAACACACAAAAATGTTATAAAGGTACCTTGACATGCTAGGGAGAAAATATCTTGTTCTTCCTATTAAAATGAAAATAGTAGCAAGTAACAATCTTAACGCTACTTTGTATTATACAGTTGGGCATCCCAGCTGCTTCAGCCCATGAATGTGCAGCATGCCTGCATGGTAGGAAAGCTGGGTGTTCCCGCAGGCCTCCTGCATTAATGTGTTTGCTGTTGTCCCCTTTATCCTAGGAACCCTCACCCAGAATGAAATGATATTTAAGCGGCTGCACCTGGGCACCGTGTCCTATGGCGCCGACACGATGGATGAGATCCAGAGCCATGTCAGGGACTCCTACTCACAGGTAAGTGGGTTCCTCCTGCACGGGGTCTGCTTCCACACACATCCCGCGCCATGAGTCCAGCTGAGCCTCGTGTGTTCCCATCTGTAAATTAGCACGCTTCTTGGTGGTCTTAACATCCTGCTACTTCAGTCGTCTGTTCGAATATACGAATCAGGAAATCGTCTTTGATGAGCATTTGTACATGAGTGAAATCGTAGAAGGCATAGTGTGCTGAAGTCATTTATTCATATCACATTTTACTAGTGAGTTATTTGTAAAAAATTATTCAGTAAACATTGTAGTTGAAGAATGTTCAGTAGGATACTACATCAATATGTTTTCTAACAGTTCTGTTTTTCTCTATAATAAAATGTTCTCATATTTTTAAAGGTAAATTCTTTTTTTGCCTTTTCGGTAGATAAAAGTAGACACCATCGTGTTGGGAATCTCGTATCTGTCATTCACCTACCTGTCATCAGTGCCCAGGTGGTGATGTTTCATCTGTAGGTGTTCTTCATTATTATTATATTATGACATGAAGCTCAAATATCACATTCTTTCATCTGTAAATATGTATTATGTGCCCCTAATTGATAAGGACTCTGCCTTTCGTTGGGGCCAAAGCTCCCTAAAGTTCTGAGAACAGGAATTAGAGGTTGAGTATCCCTTATTCAAAATGCTTAGGACCAGAAATATGTTGGATTCTGGATTTTTTTAGATTTGGAATATTTGCATTATCCTTACTGGTTGAACACCTCTAATCGCTTATCTGAACATCCCTTTGAGCATCAATGGCGTTCAAAAAGCTTCAAGTTTTAGAACATTTCCAATTTTAGATTTTTGGATCAGGGATACTCAACCTGTATTTGCTTTTAAAACAGGATTTAGCCTAGAGGCTGTACCACTTGCCAGAGATTTTGCAGGCAGTGGGTTGTGTATAGAGTCTGTCCATGGACCCAAGTCATCCTAACAGCCTCATTCCTGCTGTAGGCACCTCAGAGCCACCACACTGAGCACAGCCCTGGCCCTGAGGAGTGTTTCCTTGTCATTCATTTGCATTTTTTTGTGCCTGTCATAATTTGAAGTCATTGATTCAGTTTGATCAGACCTGGAGATCTGAGAGAATCAATTTAAGAGACTAGCAGACAAGGCTGCAGTGTGCGTCACAAATTTACACCTTCTGAGGCCCTTTTTCTGCCTGTTTGTTGATTTATTCTGAATATAGTGATCCACATAATAATGAGCTAAGGCCTATCAGGTTCAAAATTGTACATAGCTCACCCTGGGGGGTGTGACAGTTCCCAGCGCTGCACGGCACTGCTCCCCGGACTTGCAGAGGCCACCCTTCAAAAGTGTACACAGCCCACCCTGGGAGGTGACAGTTCCCAGCGCTGCATGGCACTGCTGCCCAGACTTGCAGAGGCCACCTGGCGACGTCAGCTGTGGAGTCTAGGAGACTTTTTGTATTTACAGTAATTTGTTTCAAACTTGATTTTCGCAGAGACTAGACTAAATGACACTTTCCCATTGCTGCGTTTCTACTCTTGACAACTCCAGAGTAGCATTCAGTGGTCAGCATTGTATTCAGTTTTTTGAAAACCTTCTCTTTCTTGTATACTTGCTACCAGTCTGGCATAAGCTTTACTGTCGGCATGCTGTCAAATGGAAGAAGTCTCATATGTGTATATATTTAGCATATGGAATGTTTATCCACACACATAAGCAAACAAACATACGTACACAGCCAAACACTTTATTATTTTGGATGTAATTCATTTAGATACGGAATATTTGTAACCTAGGATATTTATTAATAGAAGAAAAATCTTAAAAGGAGAAGGAATACAGTTTCTCCCAGGAATCTATTTCTGCGTTGAAATAGTACCAGATGAGCTCTGCTTTTTAAAAAAAAAAAATTATCTATGAATGTAATTTTAATAGCTTCAAATAAGTTATTAGGAAAAAATTAAAAGCAGAAAAGATGAAGCATCATTATATAAACACAGTAAATGTTTATTGTGCTTCCACCTAAGAGGACTTTTAAAATCATTTTTGCTGAAAGCTTCTGTTAGTTGAACAGACAGTACTTCTTATGTGAAATTGATCTGATTCTCTATCGGTATTCTGTTTTATTACTAAGATGACAGGAGTCTAGTAGGTCCACTGCCGTGCAACACAGATCTTTTATAACCTGATTGTATTTCCCCACTGGAGGCATTTGGTGATAGAGGGCATAATCTTTCATGGAATTTGTGTGAAATTAAATTGTACAAGCATCACTAAACATCACGTAGTTTGGAAGGAGGGAGCCAGCTGAGTTTGCTGTCTCGCAGCAGCGTGAGCAGGCGCAGATGGGCTGGGTCCTCACTGAAAGGCAGCACCAGCTGAGCAGAAAGTTAAACCCTTCATTAGACAGCACTGTAATTTGATGGGCAGGAGATTCACAGTTCATTGGATCTGTTCACCCAGTCCAAGCGTGAGAGCCTTGGTTTCCAAGGAGGATTGTCATGAGTTACTCCGAAGTTAACTGAAGAAACGTTTGACATCCTGTTGGGGTTGGGGGGAGTGTCCTCTGACACCCTCCGCCACGTAGGAGGTGAATAATAAAAAGTTATTGCTTTGGTGGTGCCGATGAAATCTCTGAAACATGGCTGAGCCCGAGGAGAGCCAGGCACACACATAAGCCCTAAATGGGGACTTGCTTTAAGAGAGCAGGATTCTGAGATATGACACGGGGCCATTTTTCCTCTGAATGCAACTTAGGATTGTATTTGGTTGTTATTATCCACAAAACTAGACTGTCTAAACTCAGAGACTACTGAGAGCAGGATTAATTTATGGTATTAAGGGAAGATTCTTAAAGATTTTGTCCTGCTTTTAGCTTTGTACAACATTATTTAAAGAAAGCTGAAAGCAGTTGTGAGTATACCATTTCATTTTGTTCTTTAATTGACTCTGCTTTTAGAAGTCATGAATAAATAGGAGTTAAGGACATAGCAAATTAGTGCCATTGTTGAAGTGAATACAGTAAAAATAAATTGTCAGATTTTTAAGTAGTATAGTGAATATTTTGGTGTATTTGACAACCTGGATATATCGAAGTGCTTCATAGTACTAGGCTTAAAAAAATAACTCATTAATCAGTGCTTTATAGGAGATAATCAGAATCAAATCAGGCTACTTATTTCTAGCTACTTTGCTTGTAAAAATCATATATGTTAATAATTCCATGTTAACTAGATAGTTCTCTTTGCTCTATCTTTAATTATGTGACGTTTCATATTCTAAAGATGCAGTCTCAAGCTGGTGGAAACAATACTGGTTCAACTCCACTAAGAAAAGCCCAATCTTCAGCTCCCAAAGTTAGGAAAAGTGTCAGTAGTCGAATCCATGAAGCCGTGAAAGCCATCGTGCTGTGTCACAACGTGACCCCCGTGTATGAGTCTCGGGCCGGCGTTACTGAGGAGACTGAGTTCGCAGAGGCTGACCAAGACTTCAGTGATGAGAATCGCACCTACCAGGCTTCCAGCCCGGATGAGGTCAGTCAAAGCACAAAACCGTGGGAGCTTGTCCGTTCCATTTGGACTCCAGAGTCATGAGGATTCATTCTTTCTGGGATGGGGAATATAGAGGAGCAGTTTATCGTAGCTTTAATGTATGTTTTAGCTGTATGTGGAAAACTGCCCAACCTATTCCAGCATGTAGCCTCTGACGTAGCCTGGGCCTTGCACATGCAAATGTGCGGCCGCCACATCTCGGCACATCCCAGAACACCCAGGGCTGGTCACAGGGAACAGCATGAGAAATACCAGCGAGGTTTACTGATTCCGTAAAGTAATTTGTGTCAAAGCTGCATTTTATAAAACTGTTGAAGTTTGGGACTGTCCTTATGGCTATGGATTCCGTGTCCAAATTGAATCATCTGGTTTCCATATTAAATTTCCACATATTTTGCCAGATTTTCAATACAGGGCATTTATTTCAAAAGAAAATTGGAATGTAAATAATTTCCAAAACCTACAGAAATGGTAAGATCTTAAACATGGTAAATTAGTTATTTCTAACTTTACATCACTCTTTGATTTTTAGATCGGGAAAATTCATTATTAAATTTGTTTAATTAATGTCTTAGTATATTTTATATACAGTTTTGTGTACACTTTGTCCCTTTAAGGTCCTTGAGGTAGTTCTGTAAAGTAATCAAGCCAACCACAGAAGCACTATAAACCAACTAGTGTCTTCCGATACTTTGTAAAACTGTGTCATATACATAAATAATTGGTGGGGGCAGGGCGTACCTTCAGTGAAAACAAAAAGAAAAAAATCAGATCTAATGTTTTAAAGAGAGGAGTCTGGTGGTTCTGGTTGACGAGTTTATTACAAAAGAGCGCCATCATCCCCCTCCATAATGGAATAGAATCTCAGCCAAGAGACAAGACGCAACTTCACACCCACCAGGATAACAGGAATCAAAAAGACAGACCATAGCAAGGACTGAGAGGTTGCAGAGGAACTGGAACCTGCATGCACTGTGGGTGGGATTGGAACAGGGTGCAGCCACTCTAGAGAACAGTCTAAGCGTTCCTGAAAAAATTGAACATGGAATTACCATATGCCCCGCCCGAGAGACATGAGAACAAAGACCCGTATGTTAATGTTCACAGCAGTGTTAGAGCCGGGAAGTGGAGGCAGTCCAAATGTCTATCAGCTATCAAACAAGAAATAAAATGTAGTCTGTTCGCACACATGGAGCATCATACAGTCACAAATGGCAGGAAGGAGCCACGTCTATGATGGCATCGAGGCACCTTTGAAACCTTTTGCTCAGTGGAAGAAGGCAGGTGCAGAAGGCAACCTGCATGCCTGTGTGATTCCATTGCCATGACATTTCCAGAGCAGACAGACCCATGGAGACAGAGAGCAGAGCAGCAGGTACCAGGGTCTGAGGAGTGATCCCCAGTAGGTAGAAGGTCAGGGGTGGTGGAGTGATCCCCAGCAGGTAGAAGGTCAGGGGTGGTGGAGTGATCCCCAGCAGGTAGAAGGTCAGGGGCTGAGGAGTGATCCCCAGCAGGTAGAAGGTCAGGGGCTGAGGAGTGATCCCCAGCAGGTAGAAGGTCAGAGGCTGAGGAGTGATCCCCAGCAGGTAGAAGGTCAGGGGCTGAGGAGTGATCCCCAGCAGGTAGAAGGTCAGGGGCTGAGGAGTGATCCCCAGCAGGTAGAAGGTCAGGGGTGGAGGAGTGATCCCCAGCAGGTAGAAGGTCAGGGGCTGAGGAGTGATCCCCAGCAGGTAGAAGGTCAGGGGTGGAGGAGTGATCCCCAGCAGGTAGAAGGTCAGGGGCTGAGGAGTGATCCCCAGCAGGTAGAAGGTCAGGGGTGGTGGAGTGATCCCCAGCAGGTAGAAGGTCAGGGGTGGTGGAGTGATCCCCAGCAGGTAGAAGGTCAGGGGCTGAGGAGTGATCCCCAGCAGGTAGAAGGTCAGGGGCTGAGGAGTGATCCCCAGCAGGTAGAAGGTCAGAGGCTGAGGAGTGATCCCCAGCAGGTAGAAGGTCAGGGGCGGAGGAGTGATCCCCAGCAGGTAGAAGGTCAGGGGCTGAGGAGTGATCCCCAGCAGGTAGAAGGTCAGGGGCTGAGGACTGATCCCCAGCAGGTAGAAGGTCAGGGGCTGAGGAGTGATCCCCAGCAGGTAGAAGGTCAGGGGCGGAGGAGTGATCCCCAGCAGGTAGAAGGTCAGGGGTGGAGGAGTGATCCCCAGCAGGTAGAAGGTCAGGGGTTGAGGAGTGATCCCCAGCAGGTAGAAGGTCAGGGGTGGAGGAGTGATCTCCAGCAGGTAGAAGGTCAGGGGTGGTGGAGTGATCCCCAGCAGGTAGAAGGTCAGGGGCTGAGGAGTGATCCCCAGCAGGTAGAAGGTCAGGGGCTGAGGAGTGATCCCCAGCAGGTAGAAGGTCAGGGGCTGAGGACTGATCCCCAGCAGGTAGAAGGTCAGGGGCGGAGGAGTGATCCCCAGCAGGTAGAAGGTTTCTCTTAGGGGATGAAAATGTTTTGAAATAGATTATCGTGTTGGTTACGCAACTCTGTGAATATGCTGAAATTAATTCAATTGTACATTGTAAATGGGTGAATAGTGTCTCCATAAAGCTATTTAAACAAAAGAAGATGCAAAGTGAGTGTAGGTTCCATGACTATTGAATGAGTAGAAAATTAAGATTCTTCACAAAGACAAAGCAAATTCATAGGTTAAAAAACTAAAATCTTAGAAAGTGTTAGGAATACTGATTCAATTTCTGAAAGTATGGGTATGAAAGCTGCTCAATTCTAATTCCACAGACAGTGGAAATATGAGCCTAAAACCCCACTGTTGCTGATCAGCATGTGGGCCAGACAGACAGGGAGGCATGTGGAGAAGAGGCAGGAAGAAGGGTGGAGAGGCATGAGAGAGCCTCTTTCCCTGGTGATAATACATCTTGCAGCAGAGACTCAAGTCCTTGCTGTGGAAGGGTGAGAATAGGGACAGACCGTAGCCGCCATGAGGAGGCGGAGCTGGCGTGTGTGCGCCTCATCATGCACAGTACGGGGCTTGCAGCACTGGGAAGGGCATCACCGTTTTGCTGATTAAAATTAAGAAGTCAGAATATACAACTATGCGTTCAGAATGTTTGGAAAATTGCCTTATGAGTAATAACTAGAACAGATTTGTAGCCCAAAGAAGACAGAACAGAATAAATAAATGTGTGTTGATAATTGAGGAGGAGCTATGCTGGCTGCAGAGCTGACCAAGGGTGGCAAGCAACTTTTACTTTAAAATTGCCTGAAAGCAGGAGTCTCTTGTCTAGGCTTCTAGAAGCAGAAGAATTCTACCACTTTATGGCTCAGGAACAACCAGTAATGTCATTCATCTTTTTTTCCTTGAGAGTTGGCTGTGACCGTGTCCTGACAAGGCACAAACTTCCAGGATCATGGGACTAGATCTCGTGTCCTGAAGGCACTTCTCATGTCTGTGTGCAGATGTGGGAACCACTTTCCTGGGGAAGGAAAGATATACACAGAAGCAAGTGGTTTTTAAACTTGTCTGTACATCAGGCAGACTTCCAGGGGTTTTTTTTTGTTTCCTTTTTAAAAATACTTATCTTTTTATATATGCACGCTAGCACCCCCATTACAGAAATGCTGGGCTGGGGCCAGGCATGGTGGGTCATGCCTGTCATCCCAGCACTTTGGGAGGCTAAGCTGAGCGGATCACCTGAGGTCAGGAGTTTGAGGCCAGCCTGGCCAACATGGCGAAACCCCGTCTCTACCAAAAATATAAAAAATTAGCCAGGTGTGGTGGCAGGCTCCTGTAATCCCAGCTACTTGGAAGACTGAGACAGGAGAATTGCTTGAACCCAGGAGGCGGAGGTTGCAGTGAGCCAGGATCACGCCACTGCACTCCAGCCTGGGCGACAGAGCAAGACTCAGTCTCAAAAAAAAGAAAAGAAATGCTGGGCTGGGGCTGGACATTTCTCCATTTTGAAAATCTAAAAGGTTACACCCCACAATTGAGAACCACTGTATTTTATATATCTTTCCTTTTGACTTACTTTTAGGACTTGAGGCGAATGCTGAAGTTTGATAAACGGGTGAATGTGAGGATGTGAGGCCCTCCTCCACCAATATTTTAAGTTTTCTGTACACTTTTCGTGGTGGTGACTCTCAGTGGGCTCAGCTGAGGTTGTCCAGGGGACAGATATAAACATCCCCTGATACGGTGACCTCAGGAACAAGAAAGCCTAAATGTGCCAGCAGATTCATGGTATTCGACAAAGTATAAGCCACGGCTAGACTTCAAGGAAAACAAGCTTGCTTATTTAAAACTTTAGTTACATAGGCATTTTTCTTTTTGTTGTTTAGTCAAGATACTAACTTACTCTAACCAAAATATACTAATTTAGCAATTATGACACGTCATTAGCCATGTAAGAACCTAAAGGATGGTGAAAAAGTAGCCAAAACGATGAAAGTGGTTTTTTTAAACATGGGAAGTTGAGAACATGGATC
This sequence comes from Homo sapiens, assembly GCF_000001405.40. Lineage (NCBI taxonomy): Eukaryota > Metazoa > Chordata > Mammalia > Primates > Hominidae > Homo > Homo sapiens. The sequence goes on from NC_000018.10 coordinate 79,311,727, forward strand.
ACTCATCTCCCCTCAGACTCTGCGGATCACAGGTTGGCTTTCCGTCTTTCTCTACAGTCCGTCGCCTTCCTATCTCCAGATAAGTATCAGGGATGCCACCGTGATGGGACAGCCCTGCATCGCAGCCAGTACACGTTCCTCTCTGTCACCATCACCGGAGCTTCTGTGTTTCATTGAGCCTTTCGTGAGAATCTCTGTCCCCGGTGTGGCTGGGCGCACTTGCACGCAGCCATGCAGCCTTCCCTCGTGGCAGGCTTTTGCTGTCAAACCCGTAATGCCTTCTGTTCCCGAGACCTCTCTGAGTAACTCCGTGTGCCTGCCGCCTTCCCTCCAGTCATTCCCATGCACAGCGTTGAGACCGGTCTGCTCACGCGCCTTCGCCGAGGTGCCTTCACAAAGGTGCCTTCGCGGAGGTGCTGGTCTTGGCTTCCCTGCTTGGGTTCAACCAGTGCCCCATCCAAATGCTCTTCCGGCCACATCAGTAATTCATGATGGTGGGTACATGTGGATTGGGTGGTGCCTTCTATGGACTGGCATAAACGGATCATTTACTTTTTCCTAAATGCAGTTATATTACTGTGTGAAATTTCTGTAGTCACTCCGTTACTTTTATAATTATTCAGAGCATTTTGTTCAGCAAGGCTGCGCCAAGCTTGTATGGAGCTGCATCCTGGCACTCGCTCGTTTGCTTCTTCTGTGCTCTTCCCTAGCCTGACATCCCTTGGCTGCCCTCACCCCAGACCAGGGGTCCCCAGCTGCCCATTGGCACGCGGGACTCCCATGTGTCTTCTGGGTGGGCATCCCTCTCCGTGTTTTCGCAGGTTCTGAGTAGCAGGCTTTATCTTCCTTACGCCACATCTGCCTTCTTTTCAGGGGCTCACAAGCGTCGCCTGCTGAGCGAACCTTGGCTGTGTGGGAAGATGGTGCGGGGAGCTACTGGTCAAGTGGGAGGAGGGGAGTAAAACACATCTGTAGGAATATTGGTCCTTAAAACTATATTAGTGGAAGTTTAAGTAGGAGCTAGTTTCCTATAGTTTAGCAAGGCCATGTCCCAAAGTTTAGATGGTATTTGCCTTTTTGGTACAATGTGAAATTACGATAAAGAACTTAAGTTCCTTCTTGTGAATCACATTGTCACTTCCCTCTTTTCAGAAAGTAATTGGCAAAGTCTCTGAAAATTGGGATCAGTTGAAGTATTAGATTTCAGAAAAGCTCCAGAATACAATGTCGTCATCGTATAGAGTTTTTCAACTTTGAGGAAATGTGGAAACCCAAGCTCCACTCTTCCCACTCCCTGTCAGCGCGCTGTTGGCTACACCTTTCTGTCAGTGGGCACGATTGTTAAGCTTCCTTTAGCCATCAGCCCTGTTACAGTTCATAGATTGTGTTGACTGATAGATACGTAAAAATCTCTGTAGCTAAACTCAGAACCACGTTTGGAATTGGGGTGTGTGTATGTGTCTCAGATCCATTTATTTAGTAAAAGAGAATCTGAGCGAAGAGGCGTAGTTCCACAATCATAAGCAAATATGGGCATTTAGACTGACAAGACGATGAGTTGAGACTTGTAAGATTTATCAGTTGCTGTCTTCTTAGCATTCTAGTGTGGGCTGTGAGACAAACACAGGTCATGAGCAACCGCTCTGTAAGAGGAAGCAAGCCCCCATATTCCTATCAAGAAGGGGTCGAACACATTGTTTTTTCTGTTATGGCATTCTGGAAATTCTCAAAAATGTCATGTGATTATGTATTGAAAAAGAAGGATTTTCCTGCCATAAATATGAGAAACCTAGACTAGAGATTTTTCCCAAAGAAAACTGTATTTGAAGTTTTAAAAATACTGTATTACATATTTACCATATTACCTTATTCCACATTTTTTATTCAAAGTATCTGGGATTTTTTATTTTTAAGTTTTAATATAAGTCATAACACTTTTTGAATCTTAAATTGGGAATTCACAATAGAGATTTCATTGACTCCAAGATTATTAAAAATTTAGAGAAACTATAGACATTGCTAACCTTACAGTTAAATTTTTTTACTTGTCTAAAATGTCTTTCTACTTGGGAAATTGGACAATGATAAAAAATAGCAGAACATTAAATAACCTTTTAAAAATCCCTAAAACGTATTTTAAATCTGAAAATGAAAACAATAGACTTCATCATAATTTTTAAAGAGCTCTATTGATGCAATGTTTGCAAGTCCCTAAAGCCTCAGGAAAATCATCTAAATGGTTCATTATTTAGCTTATTGAACTTTGCTGCAGTTAGGTTGACGGATGATAGTAGTGTTTCCCGATCACCAAAGTACCGTTTTAAAAGCATTTTTTATCGAATAAAGTGCTTAGAATATTGCACCCTGGAGCTTTATTTAGGGAAATGGTTCAATTGATGTTTTCTATTTAACCTCAGCTCTGACCTATCACAACATCTATGGTTAATAAGCAACATTATCATTTGAGAGACTTAACTAGTTTCATCCACTGTGCACCCATACCATCCTCTTAAAACCCTGTTTGTGGCGCTGTGTCATCTCGGTCTTTAGGAAGGATGCAGTTTAGTAAGTAGAGTGCCCTAGTTTTAGTCGCTGATACACAGTTGCTGTTCTTCAGGAAATAAGCAGTCTTTGATTTTCATTTTTCCTGAAGGAGAAACAATCTTTCTCCTTACCTACACATGTGCATAGATGAATCTGTATTATACAAATAATTGAATTCTGAGGAATTAATTTTAAATCCTTAAAGGTCCTGTGAGGCATAAGCAATTAAACACTTGAAGTGTGATGTGTCTTGTGTGGTATGTGTGGTGATACGATACTTGAAGGTAGATGTGATGGTGATTGTCAAAGTGTAAATAACTGATTTCGTATTCATAATGTGGAACCTACTTATGCCCCGGTCATTGTTTCTTATGATAAGTGATCAATATTTCATTTTCTCTAAGAGAGTAGAAAGTTCTGCTTGCCTATCACTTGCTCTCCGCAGGCTCAGCATAGCAGGCTCTAGCTGAGCAAACGTTAAATGCTCTCTGGAAGTTCCCTCACAGAATTAAAATTCAGCCCTGTTTAACTGTTAGGGCATATGTCCAGTGCAGTCGCAGGACACCAGCACCGAACTAGTGGCATGAGCCCTCGGAGAAGGACAGAAGCTCGGTGGGCAGAGCCTCTGAGTGCAGAGGGTGTCAGCTCAAGCGCTGAAGGCGTGGGGTGGAAGGAACTTTGAAGACCGCCGGCTTCTTTTGGTCCAGAAAGAGTGACTGTGATTCTTAATGACTGCTTATTCCTCTAGACTAGCTGTTTAGTAGTCTCATTCTTTTCCCTCTGTGGCTGTGTTTTCTCATGTTGGTAAGTTCCGTATTTAAATAGTATTTCAGAATGTAGCTGTCATCGCCTGACTCCAGTATTTATTTGCAAGAATCAGCTATAATTAATGACAGAGCACAAGTGGGTTATTAATAGTATTGCTTTTGGGTTTACAGAAGTAGGCACTAATGCATGAGGCGTGCTGTATTTTTTAATTCATTTTATCGTGTGTGCCTATTGAAGCAAGACTAATTGTGGGGTTTTGTCAGATATATTTGTGAGGAGCAAATCATTGTCAGTGACATAAAGCCTTCACACTGTGACCTTCAGGACCAATAGAGAATAAATACTACGTAGCCTATCTGTGAATATTGATTAGCAGCTTTTTCAGATGATCAAATTGCATCTTATGTTAATAATTCCATTAAAATATAGAGATGATTATAATAACCACAATCAAAAATGATGAAATCTCAGTGATTAAATTATGATGTACAAAGTGCATGGTAAGAAAATGTATATTTTTACAGTGTAGCGGGTAGCTGCCTGTGTGAATTGCTAATATGATAAAGGAAATTTCTTCCTAGCTTTTAAGAACAGTAGCACAGAAATTTCTGAATAATGGAATTATAGAGAATTATTAATGGTAAGAATTGCCCCGTATTTTGTATTCTCTCATATGATATTACTTCTGGCTGTGCTACTCTTGGGTCTGTTTCTCAGAGTGGTTATTTAGCATGGAGAAGTGCAAGTGTGTAAACAAATCGCCTGTGGCAGAGATTACTTAACTGTGTTGCTAAGCAGCCTGTGCATGAGATTCAGCTCAGGTTCCCACTTACATATATTTTTTTGCATTCACATCTTAGTTATTTTTTGCCTTTGAATTGTCAAGAATCACATTATTAGAGATTTTTGACAGCTCAGTATCAGAGAACTAGTCATTTGAAGTGTACTAAGCCTTTAAATTCTGGTCTTTCTGCATTTCAGAGAAAAATATCTTAGGGATTACTTCCTATCATAATGTCAGGCAGCAGTTAATTCCATATTAATATAGAAGCACACGAGGAGTACTTGATAAACTACTCTGCCAGTTTTTTATTGAATACGGACACAATCGCTTTGAAAGAGAAAATCAAGTGATGACATCGGAAACAGGATTATTAGAGAGCTCCTGACTGAGTAAAGAAAAATCTAAATGACAAATGGCCGGTCGTGCAGGTGGAGATTGCGTTCTGTGGTTGCCTGCGCCATCCCTGAGAGCATCCAGAGAAAACAGGGAAAAATGTCCACTGCAACCTTCCACCCGCCGCCTGAATGTGAGGGCTGCAGCCACGTGTCACCTGCTGCTGTGGAGACAGAATCTGAGCCGCACACCTGAGAATTTCCATCCACCCCTCAGCAGCCTTCTTCCCATGTCTGTCCTGTTGGCAGCTAACATGTTTAGTATACAGTCCAACCAAAGACTGCAAATAATAACCTCAAAGAAGCTGTGGCAAAGAGGGCAGAGATCAAAGTGGTCTCTGTGGGAAAGTAGCTCTTGCAGGGATCCACCTCCCAAATGTGGTCAGCAGTAGCAGTGACCTCAGGACAGCAGCCCCACCGCAGCGCAGCCAACACGTCAGAGAGCACCTGGTACCCTCACCAGATGCCATGTGCATCAAGAGAAAGAAATGAACATATGTTAACTTGGCATCAAACTAAAAACTCAGTAAGAAGAAGAACAAAACCAAAGGAAAGTGGGAGGAAGAAAAAGTAAAGGAAAACATACAAGTAATGATTGAGTAAGCAGTAATTCAAAAGCTGATTCTTTGAAAGGTTAAATGAAATCGGAAGATTATTGGCAAAACATAGTAAATACAAAACAGCGAATGTAAACTAAGTTCACACATATGAAACTATCCATATGTAAGAGTGTATAATAAACAAGTAGGCTTAAATGTTTATAAGAGAATATGAAATACAGCTCAAATGCTTATGTTTTCAAAGACAGTAAAATAAGTGTTTTCTGGAGAAATATAAATTTCAAAATTGACTCCATATAAATCTGAGTAGACGAGAAAAGAAATTTAGAAAAATCACCCAAAATGGCTTTTGACCAGTTTTATAGGTCAGTTGTTTTGAGGCACAAATAAATCATATACTGTAAGAACTTTTCTTGAGCAAGAAAAAGTTTGGCAATGATGTCTAAGGACACAAAAAAAGCAGAAGTTCTGAAAAAAATGATAAATTGAATATCAGAGTAAAACTTATTTTTTTCAAAAGACATTTATTAAGAAAATAAAGACAAATTAGGATTTCAACATAAATTTGAAAAAAGAAAATAAAGATAAGCCAGAGACTTGTAGGAAATGTTTGCAGAATACTTACCTGATAAGTGACTAGTATGCTGAATATATAAAGAATTCTCAAAACTCAGTAATGAGGAAACATCACCTGAATTTAAACATTGGCAAAAGATTTGAACAGCTACATCACCAAAAGAGATATGAATATTGACTGTAAAATACCATAAAAGTAGTGATTTGTGGGGTCTAATACAGAAAAAATATTAAGATACATGATGATAATAGCCAAAAGTCAAGAGGCGATTGATGTCAATGGGAGTAAATTACTCTAAGGTCCTTAGAGTACAGGTAAAGGTGCTGATTTACTTAGACTTTGGTAAGTTCAGGATTATGCTGGCAGCAGTGGGATGACTGCCAAAGAGCAGTAAAAGAGCATGTACCTCTCCGGGGTGGTGGAAACATGGCCATTGCATGGTAGAATGCACACAGGGCTCCTTGCAGAAATGGCTGATTCTAGAACCAAGGCAGGAAATACCCAGACTGAGCCTGGAGCATCTGGTACTGCCAGGAAGTAAGGAATTGCTCAAAGCCAGCAAACAAACAGAAAAAGCTGCCTGCATGGCAGGGGATGTGTCGGAGGGACACAGAAGCCAACTGGAAAAGCTCCCTGTGGTGAATGCTGGAACAGCATGAGCAGCAAAGTCAGTTGTACTGGATTATAGCCCATAGTATGAAACAAATAATGCATGAGTCCAAACTGATATGAATAAATAAATGAATGGGAGAGAAAGACAGATCGCCCATGCAGAAGGATTCCTGTGCAAAAGGATCATGTATGTAGCTACTGAACCCGCAGGTTGGGGAGCATAATTCCTCTTCCTTTAGGTGTGGGCTACACACGATGACTTCGTCCCAAAGAGCATGGTGTGAAAAGGGGAAAGGAAGAGTAGCTTGACGACCTCAGTCAGGTGAGTAGGGTCAGCATCAGCAGTGAAAAGTCGTGTTGCTAGATGCAGCCCCCACAGGATGTGGTCAACAGCACCTCACCTTCATGGTCTTCCTCCCCAGCCCCACAGCCCCAGTCTACTCGTGAGAAAATCATCAGACAAATAAAACTGAGCGATACTTAACAAAATACCCGACCAGTACTTCTCAAAACTGTGGAGGTCATCAAAAACTAGGCAGGTCCAAGAAACTGTAGCAGCCAAGAGAAGACATGAAAACTAAATGTGACATCCCGGATGGGACCTGGGACAAGACAAGGACTTGAGGTAGGAATGAAGGATGTCTGAATCAAGTATGGATTTAAGCTTTTAAAAATGGAACCTGCTGCTTGCTCAGATTTTATTGACAACTTGAAGAAACACTGTGTATATGCACCTTTCAGAAAATTACCAAATAAAAGTTCAGATATGTTTTAAGTGCTTTGTCTTTTTTTGTGGTTATTTTACAACAGTGGTTTAGCCAGTTTCTTCTTTGTGGTATCTGGCCTTTAGTATTTATCTTGTAATTGTATGGAAGACACAGGGTCACTGCAGGATAGCATGACTTCAGGTCCCACTGTAGATCACCCAGTAATATTTCCTCTGCAGAACGAGGTGACCACTCTGGGTGGTGTGGTCTTCCTTTAACTCGTGTCCTTGTGAAATTAGAAAAATGTTAAAAATGTTAGGGAAGAAAAGTGTGTTTCTGGGCACAGGGTCATCATGACCAGCTGTGTGGTATTCTGGTGAGTGCCAGCATCTCGGCCACCCATTTCATTCACACCTGGTTGTGCCTTCACTGGAGGGTCTTGGATGTTCTGGGACCTGCAGTGGAAGGAAGCAAGAAAGGGCTTCTCGGCTTCACTTTCAGGCAAGTTGGAGACCCATGTCAGACACTAAAAATAAAAGTTGAGGAACAAACATTTTAGCACTGTTAAATATTGTCTCTTGTTAAAGACACGTAAGCTGCCTTCCAGAAGTGCTTCAATAAGAAAATAAAATGCCCTTGTATATGTAGTGTTTGAAATGTGAGTGAATAGAGAGGGAACAGTTCCCTAGGGGTCCCTGCCTCTCCTGGCTAATGTGAGTGAATAGAGGAGGGGCCCCCTCCTCTCCTGGCTAACGTGAGTGAATAGGGAGGGAACACTGAACAGTTCCATAGGGGCCCCCGCCTCTCCTGGCTAACGTGAGTGAATAGAGGGAACACTGAACAGTTCCTTCCGTAGGGGTCCCTGCTTCTCTGGCTTGCGTTGTCCTCCTCATTGTTTCCTTCCCTACGTCTCCACTTAACATGACAAGTCCTGTGGCTGGAATCACTGTCCTCAGTGTCTCTCCCACGTTGATAGCACAAAAAGATTTAAGGAAACCGGCCTGAAGAATATCTGTACCGTATATCCATTTCATTTATTGCCAGAATTTAGTTTCTAGTTCCTCGGGATTAAACTGATTGTAGAGGTGATGCATGTATGTGATTCTCCATGTAAATAAATCTAAAATAAAGTCCTGAAGCAAATATTGCCATGACTTCTGCATCTACAGAGCTTGGCTTACAGGAGTACTCTTTGATTTAATTAATTTATTATTAACCTATTTACTTCTTTCAGGTGATTTGCATTTTATATGCAAATAAATGGTTGAGAGGCACACTAGTAACTTCAGGGAGAGAGCGACTCTCTTTAAACTCAGAGCCCAGATTGCTCTGCAGCAGCCCTGTGCTCACCAGGCTGTCCAGGCCCTGGAGAGTCCTGACACGGAGTGCCGAGAACGTGCCCATTTATGGTTTTGCCTGTGTCTTCAGAATTCCACTCAGCTTTCCACTTTTAAATCATTTTAAATAGGAGATCTTTTAGCTTTCATTTATTCAAGAAATAAGTCGTTGTGCTTGTTCCTGAGTCTACATCGGTGAGCACAGTGCACCTGGACCTGTGTGGGGAACTGAGGTTCTGGGAGGGAAGGAGCCCGGACCTGGGAGTGTTGGTCCCTAGAACGCAGCGGAGGCGCAGTGCGAGTACGTCCTCTGCCAGGGGAAGGGGAGGGGCACACAGCACTCTGATCAGGTGGTCAGCAGGGCCTTTTGGAGACCTGGGGTTGAGCCGAAAGTAAGACTGCCTGGTGGAGAGTGATGGGGAGGGCCTGGCTGCGCGGCCGGCACTCCACACACACCAGGGGCATGAGAGGCCCAGGGCCAGGCCAGGGGGACAGTCAGAGAATGGGTCTCTAACAAATGTATTTGTCACTGAGCTAGCTGCCGTCAGTCTCCATAACTGTGTCTGTTGTTGGAAGATAAACCCCAGTCTTGCTTGGACAGCTTGATTCTGAAGTTGGGAGTTGAAATGACAGGTTGTCTTTACTGGATCTGCATATGGACCATCTGGTTGGCTGGCCATGCAGAACTCCCACCCCCCTCCAGCCCTCGTTGCTTGTAGAACCCTATCCCACTTCCTCGGGATGCTGTGGGTTTTACACTGGGAGGGAGCTTACATACTAGGAAACTCCGGGATGCTGTGGGTTTTACGTTGGGAGGGAGCTTACATACTAGGAAACCTTGGGATGCTGTGGGTTTTATACTGGGAGGGAGCTTACACACTAGGAAACCTCCGGATGCTGTGGGTTTTATGCGGGGAGGGAGCTTACATACTTTAGGAAAGTGTGTATATTTTAATCTCTCAAACATCTTTAGGAAGATAATAGACTCAAACTTATCAATCCTTTACAATTTTCTTTTAATTTCTACATCTACTGTCCCTAGATGTAAGTTATTTCTAAGAGCCTTCTAAAAAGAACACCATGACTATATTTCAGATATACCAAGAGAATTCGCTAGGCTGCTTTCACCTAGTCAAATCCCCACACTTACGTGCTGCAGAGCTGCAGAGCATGAATTAAGATATGAAAGCTCAAAACCAAAACCGGAGAATCTGCCGTGTCCGTGGGAACCAGCCGTTCCTTTGATGTATCTTCAATAAGGAGGACCAGGTCTGCGTGAAGTATTGAGTACTTAGGTATGAATTCAGGAGCAAAGATGCTAAAAGTACTGCATGTCCTCACTGAAATTATTTTTCTTGTAGTTATTTCATCTAGCAATTTTTTTTTTTTTTTTGAGGCAGAGTCTCGCTCTATTGCCCAGGCTGGAGTGCGGTGGCACGATCTCAGCTCACTGCAACCTCTGCCTCCCGGGTTCAAGCGATTCTCCTGCCTCAGCCCCCCAAATAGCTGGGATTACAGGCATGTGCCCACCACTCCTGGCTATGTTTAATTTTATATTATCGAAATTCTGTCCAACAACAGGCAAGTTACATGAGAACAGTAATTAAAGCATCTATCATGAAAAATTTGGATATTCTTTTTTTCTGGTTGGCATTATATAGAGTTAATCTTCAAGATGATTACAAATTAAAAACAATTGGATGGAATGCTGGGCTAGGTATAAGAAGCTAAACTGATTTTTGTTATAAGCTGCTCTTTGCTCAAATGGATTGTGAAACCAAGCATAAACTAAATAATAAACAGATGTGAGTCACCAAATATAGAAAGCTCAGTCCTGACTGCAGTGGGGCACCAGTGAGATGACAGGGTGTTCACGGAAAGATGCAATTTACAGGTCAAAATGTAATCGTAACCTTTCACTGTGTAAATTGGAAATTAGCCTCAGGAGCGTTGGCATAATTTACAGCTTGTGGAGAAGAAGTTTTATTGGAGGAAGCAATGGTAGAGCTACACCCTCACTTCCCACTGGAGATGGTGATGCACAGGTGCCACCTCCCTCCCCTTCGATGGGTGGTAGTCCTGGCTGACCCCCACGTGCCTTTTTTGGTAATGTGGAGTGTATCGCTGATGCCCTGAATTACAGGACTGCGTCATCCCTAGCACAATTTTAGACTCTCGGTGTACTTAGTAACATGCAGGAAAGTCGGAGAGGGAGAGTTCTAATTCAAGCCCCGTGGGTGACACCCTACTGAACGTTTAACACAGGCATGGAATTCCAGAGTTGTAGCGTCCATAGAACGGCAGTGCCGTCCAACCTCTAACCCAACGTCAGAATTGAGACAGCGAGTGTTGACATCTGCCACCATTGCTGCACGGCACACCATCCCAAATGTGGGGCACAGAACCATTCCGACATTCTCCTGGCCGCACCCTCGGGGCACGGTCAGGCAGCTTCCATCAGTAGGAGAGGGTTCTGACCCGGATTCCACCCCAGGCAGGGGCAGTGGGGCCAAGTGGCTTCAGCCCTGGCCACATCAGCACTTCCTCAGTGAGTATGTCCTTTACTGATTTCTAACAAAGCATGAAAATTACAAGCAAAGAATTTCCAGACAGCAGTTTCTCACAGTATTTGGCACACATTAAGCATTGGATTTGCTCCTATTTGTGTAATTTATGTTCTTACTAAGATTCTTAAGCAAAACAGACCAAAGTCAAAATTTGCTAATTTCATTTATTTTCAGCAAAAGGAAGACACATCAATCATGTTTGAGAGTGGGAAGCTTCAGGTTTATAAAGGTCAAATTCTAGGTGCCTCCCAGAGCAGAATGTTCTCAACATGCAGCAAAGTTAAATATGGTACTTCAGACAGAGTCAGACCGTCCTGAAATATGGTAGAGACTCGGGGCCTTTGATTTAGTCTTGCTTTATGTTTTATGTCTTTTTTAAGTTTTTAAATTTTAAATTATTCTGGGTACGTAATAGTACATACTTATGGGGTACATGTGATATTTGATACAAGCATACAATATGCAGTGATCAAATCGGTAATTGGGATACCCGTCACCTCAAGCATTTATCGTTGCTTCGCGTTAGTAATCCTCCGTTTATCGTTGCTTCGCGTTAGTAATCCTCCGTTTATCGTTGCTTCGCGTTAGTAATCCTCCGTTTATCGTTGCTTCGCGTTAGTAATCCTCCGTTTATCGTTGCTTCGCGTTAGTAATCCTCCGTTTATCGTTGCTTCGTGTTAGTAATCCTCTGTTTATCGTTGCTTCGCGTTAGTAATATTGCAGTTCCATTCTTAGTTATTGTAAAATATACATAAATTATTGTCAGTGAAGGTCACCCTATCATGCTACTGAGCGCTGGATCTTATTCCTTCTATCCGACTGTATTTTTGTACCCATTCACCAGCCCCCTTTATCACCCCTATCCCCAATATCCTCAATGTCCCCGATATCCTTCCCGGACTCTGGTAACCATCATTCTACTCTCTGTCTCCAGGAGTTCAACCTTTTTTTCTTAGCTCCCACATAAGAATGAGAAGACCCAGTGTTTGTCTTTCTGTGCCCGGCTGATTTCACTTAGCATAATGTGCCCCTGTTCCATTCACATTGTTGTAGATGAAAGGGTCTCATTCTTTAGTGATGGCTGAATAATACTCCATTGTGTGTACACCACGTTTTCTTCATCCGTGCATCCAGTGGGGGACACAGGCTGATTCCATAACGTGGCCACTGTGAACAGTGCCGCAGTACACGTAGGGGTGCCGAGATCTCTTCAGTGTACTGATTTCCTTTCTTTGGGGGATATTCCCAGGCGTGGGATTGTGGATTATATGGTGGCTCTGTGTTTAGATTGGGGGTAACCTCCATGCTGCTCTCCAGAGGGCTGCACGAATTTACATTCCCGACAACAGTGCTCCCTTCTCCCACCTCCTCCCTCGCCAGCATTTGAATTGCTGTCTTTTGGATAGAAGCCGTTTTAACTGGGGTGAGGTGATACCTCATTGTAATTTTTATTTGCATGTCTGATGATTAAAGGATATTGAGCATGCTTTCCTATACCTGTTGGCCGTTTGTGTGTCTTCTTTTGAGAAATGTCTGTTCAGATCTTTTGCCCATATTTTAATCGAATTACTCATTTTTTTCCGATTAAGTCGTTTGAGAATATACAATGATCTGGTAGATTCTGCTTATTAATCTCTTCTCAGTGGGTAGTTTGCAAATATTTTCTCTCATTCTGTGGGTTTTCTCTTCACTTTGTTGATTGTTTTCTTTGCTGTGCAGTGGCTTTTTAGCCCAATGTGATCCTGTTTGTCCATTTTTGCTTTGGTTGCCTGTGCTTTTGAGGTCTTATTCAAGAAGTCTTTGCCCAGACCAAAGTGCCCTGGAGTGTGCCAGCCTATTAGGCACATTTTCAAATTTGATTAGTGGTTTTAGATACCAAGCAGATATTACCCATATAAGGGTGTCTTTTAATTTTTCAGTCCACCCACAGATACAGATGTCAAGCAGAAAAGGGTTGAGGTCTGTCTGACTCACTCTTGGGGTGTAGTTCTTCAGCCAGCGCTGTGGGCTGAGACCAGACCCTGCCCCACATCCCACTACCTGGAGGACCAACAGGTGCTGACCAGGTACCCAACAAATTGCACTGGCCCTTACATGCAGGGTTGATTAATAAGAGTAAAGGCTCTTTTCCCTTAAATATGGAAACGAGTTGTCTCACTTCAGAATGTTGCTTATAGAAAAATAGTAATTCTATACCATTAAGTCTTCTTAATTGCTGGTCTAATATGTAACATTTTGCTGTCCCTGAATTTATAAATAGTTAACTATATGGTCTTATTTGTTTAAATGAAATTTGTATTTCTAGATGATAAATTCGGGCTGAGGAGAAATTCCAACATTGTACATAGTCATTCCTCCTTCAGAAAGCAGGTTTTGAAGTGTGTTCAGCAGCTGGGGCTGTGGAGTAAACCAGTGGGGCTGGAGAGCCATGTGGGGAAGATGAAGGCCGTGGCCGAAGACAGACCCGGTCCCTGCTGGAAAAGGGAGCCCACAACCCCTGAGCCCCTCTCCCAGGTTCTGGGGAGGAGGGACCCCAGATGCCGGAGGACACAGGTCGTTTGTGTGACGCATTCTTTCCTCCCCAGTCTAGAGCAGGACTAGCTGGTACTCTCCCTGGAAATAGAAAATGGTGCCTCAGATCACTTCTGCCCTCTGGGATGCAGATGAAGAACTTGAGTTGAGAAAAGGTGTCTGACTCTCCCATCTCTTATGCCTTTTCTGTAGAAGTGCACGTCGGATTTTGTAACTGAAATGACTGCAAATGTAGGATAGTAGTTACAGTTTCTCTCTCAATACTGCTTTTCCAGAATCATTCTATTCCATATATCATAAGCTCACTTTACTTTGTAAACTTCTTAAAATATGAGAAATTTGTAAAAGGTAAATGCTGATAGATTGAGTACGCACCATTTGAAACTGTATAAATATGTGTGTGTGTTTATTATCCTAAAACAGTTGGCCTGTTTGTCTATTTAATTCCTTAACTAGAGCCTAAAAAATGTTTGGGAAGTCACCTGAGGTCACATGACAGGGAAGGAGCGGGGGCTTTTGCACTGCAGGCCTCTCAAAAGCATGCCTGTGGGGCGAGGTCAGTGGCAGTGGCACCTGGGCAGCCCTGAAAAGGAGGGACAGGTGCCTGTCACCTCCACGCAGCACCGGTGACACCATCGCGATCCCTGGCTTTGCTCCCGGCACTCCCCACTTGCACGCAGCATCTCCAGAGCCAGAAGAGACATGGCGTTAGGCTGTTTTCCATTATCTCTGCACACTCCATTCCTTCACATGGTGTTAGGGTGTCATCTCTGTACCCTCCGTCCCCTCACATGGTGTTAGGGTGTCATCTCTGTACCCTCCCTCCCCTCACATGGTGTTAGGGTGTCATCTCTGTACCCTCCCTCCCCTCACATGGTGTTAGGGTGTCATCTCTGTACCCTCCCTCCCGTCATATAGTGTTAGGGTGTCACCTCTGTACCCTCCCTCCCCTCACATGGTGTTAGGGTGTCACCTCTGTACCCTCCCTCCCCTCACATGGTGTTAGGGTGTCACCTCTGTACCCTCCCTCCCCTCACATGGTGTTAGGGTGTCATCTCTGTACCCTCCCTCCCCTCACATGGTGTTAGGGTGTCATCTCTGTACCCTCCCTCCCCTCACATGGTGTTAGGGTGTCATCTCTGTACCCTCCCTCCCCTCACATGGTGTTAGGGTGTCATCTCTGTACCCTCCCTCCCCTCACATGGTGTTAGGGTGTCATCTCTGTACCCTTCCTCCCCTCACATGGTGTTAGGGTGTCATCTCTGTACCCTCCCTCCCCTCACATGGTGTTAGGGTGTCATCTCTGTACCCTCCCTCCCCTCACATGGTGTTAGGGTGTCATCCCTGCACACTCCTTCCCCTCACATGGTGTTAGGGTGTCATCTCTATACCCTCCCTCCCCTCACATGGTGTTAGTGTGTCATCTCTGCACACTCTCTCCCTGCACATGGTGTTAAGTGTCATCTCTGTACCCTCCCTCCCTGAGCTCACATGGTGTTCGGTTTCATCTCTGCACACTCCGTCCCCACACAGTGCCCTGCTGTGTCAAGTTCAAAGCATGAAAAAGAAAGGAAGCAGCTCTTCACACCCAGACACTGGAAAATCATGCTAGAGGTATTCTGTGGTCAGACGTGTGGGGAATTGCTTAGAAAATCTGATTTTAAAGGTAGTTCCTGGTCTGCCCACGAGTGCATGTCTGGAGGGCTCCTGTGAGAAAGCTGAGGGTAGAGCCCTGGCATCCTCCTGGTGGCCTCCCTGTGCTGACTGTCCACTGTGCTGACTGTCCACTGTGTGCCCTCACACCTCATTTCTCGAATCCTTGCTGCAGCTCTGAGTGGTGCCTCGGCACGGCCATTCTGTAGACAAGGACCCTGGGGTTGCAGAGGTGCAGCCATTTGCCCAGGGTTCGGTCCTAACCTGAGCAGCTGGCCACAGAGCCAGAGCTCTTGAGAACTTTGCTACAGTCTCTCTAAGAGTGTGAACTCATCCTCACAGGAATGTTCAGAAGGCCCTAAGATTGATTTAATATCCTGTGCACTAGACAACATTTAAAATGTTCCTGAAGTGACTTGAGTTCTTAGAACCTAAGATTTTAAAACTGTTTGGCTGAGAGTGAGGTGGAGGTTAAAACTGAAGGCAAGGACGTGCTCATCGGAAGAGGTGGGTGAGAATGAGGTTGTGGTTTAAGAAGAGGACTCACCCAGGCTGTGAGGGGCTTCAGCACTGTGGGTGGCGGCAGGCCTGCAGAACAGAGAGGAGACCCTGAGGGAAGCAGCTGTGTTACTGGGCTGTGCTGCAGTGGTGTGGGACGTTGCAGAGAGCGTGCTCTCCATGGTTAGTGTGCTCCCCATGGTTAGCGTGTTCTCCGTGGTTAGCGTGCTCTCCGTGGTTAGTGTGCTCTCTCCATGGTTAGCGTGCTCTCCGTGGTTAGCGTGCTCTCCGTGGTTAGCGTGCTCTCCGTGGTTAGCGTGCTCTCCGTGGTTAACGTGCCCTCCGTGGTTAGCGTGCCCTCCCTGGTTAGTGTGCCCTCCCTGGTTAGCATGCTCTCCGTGTTTAGCGTGCTCTCCGTGGTTAGCGTGCTCTCCGTGGTTAGTGTGCTCTCTCCATGGTTAGCGTGCTCGCCGTGGTTAGCGTGCTCTCCGTGGTTAGCGTGCTCTCTGTGGTTAACGTGCTCTCCGTGGTTAGCGTGCTCTCCGTGGTTAGCGTGTTCTCCGTGGTTAGTGTGTTCTCCGTGGTTAGCGTGCTCTCCATGGTTAGCGTGCTCTCCATGGATAGTGTGCTCTCCGTGGTTAGCGTGCTCTCCGTGGGTAGCGTGCTCTCTCTGGTTAGCGTGCTCTCCGTGGTTAGCGTGCTCTCCGTGGTTAGCGTGCTCTCTCTGGTTAGCGTGCTCTCCGTGGTTAGCGTGCTCTCCGTGGTTAGCGTGCTCTCCGTGGTTAGCGTGCTCTCTCTGGTTAGCGTGCTCTCCGTGGTTAGCGTGCTCTCTGTGGTTAGCGTGCTCTCTGTGGTTAGCGTGCTCTCCGTGGATAGCGTGCTCTCTGTGGTTAGCGTGCTCTCCGTGGTTAGTGTGCTCTCTGTGGTTAGTGTGTTCTCCGTGGTTAGCATGTTCCCCATGGTTAGTGTGCCTTTAGCTGCATAATAGGATTGGCATACCCTATTTATCTGATTAATGTCTGGTAGGGAGGTTGCTTTTAAAGACAGACTTTTATCAGAAAATAATACTTTTTGTCATAAAATACTATTCACAAATTATTAACTGTAAAAATTGCTCTTCCACTTGTGATTGTTAAATTTTAATAAGTCAATAAATAATTATCAATAAGAATACATTCTATTTCTGAGTACCTGCCATATGCCAGAGAATCACTCATGTTATTTTGGCCTCAAAGCAATTTGGAAGGCCATTTTTCCACATGACAGAAGAGGAGCGTGGCCCCAGCAGAGTGAAGACCTGGCCACAGGAGTTCCGACTTTCACACTTGGGCTTAGAACCCAGGCCTGCTTTCTCCTTGTCTATCTTGTCTCCTTTAAGTTTGCAAATATTACATGTAGACACATTAATAGAGTTAATTAGTCACCAATTTGTCTCTTATTTTAGAAAAATAATTACCATAAACATGAGATTCAAACTATTTCCCCTTTCATGGTGTCCATGGAACTGGGGAGGGAGAAACCTTGAAAAGTCGTATAACTTGCTCCCTGTCCCCAGACTGATGGGGTGAGCTGCGTTCTCAATTTTAAAACCATCTGGCTCTAGGGAGCAATTAACACAAATTGTAAAGAAAGTCTTTATGATCCATAATGGTCTTTATTTTAAAGAATAATACCAAGTGACTTTTGTGATATTGCTTAGGATTCCTCTAGAACAATGTTATTCAAACGTATATACTTAGCCGTGAAAACAAAAAGTTCTGAACACCTAAGTTCTTCTGCAGCTGTCTCATGTTGGCAAGCTTTCTGAGCACTGCCGTGCTGGCTCGCCTGCGTGCGGCTTTCCTGAGGCAGCGGTGGCCTCAGTTGTTGCTGGTCTCCCGTAGGTCGCTCTGGTGCAGTGGACAGAGAGTGTGGGCCTCACGCTGGTCAGCAGGGACCTCACCTCCATGCAGCTGAAGACCCCCAGTGGCCAGGTCCTCAGCTTCTGCATTCTGCAGCTGTTTCCCTTCACCTCCGAGAGCAAGCGGATGGGCGTCATCGTCAGGGTGAGGCTGCGGGGAGGGTGCCACGCGATGGCTTCAGACATTTTGTTTTCACACCTTTTAAACACAGATTTTCCCAAAAGAAAGTTAAACATTTACTCAGGTGCTTTATGCTGTTACAGTTTTGTTTGTTTTTTTTTTTTAATGAAATCTAAGCTAATAATCTATATCTGGGAACCTACTGTGTCTCTAGTGAGATAAAATAATTCTCCTAAGTCAACCTAGCCAGAATCAATAATGTGGGATTTATTAATTTTTGAAATCAACAACTAAAGCTGTTTTGATTTCAACAAAAATAACATGCCAAAGAGTTTGACTTTTGTACATTGATTTATGACCATAAAGTTGCCAAAACGTACCTTAATTTTTTTAGCAAACACCAAAATCATATCTTGGAAGTTGACTAAACAATGAAGCATTAAATCCAACTGTAAAAGTTTAAGAGAATGAATGCAACTCAAATCATATTCATTAACACACTCAGACCTTCAGCCTAGCATCTCAGGATGCACAATTATGTTCTCAGTCCTGATTGCACTATTGCTGAAGAGTGGGCCTAGCCCTCCGCGTAGAAACACGTGTGAGGAGCTTAACACACAGGAACACATTCATAGGAATTGCTTTTTCCATTGTATGTTTTATTAGACTAGCAGTTATTTGCCCCGAGCAATGCAGCCTAAATGTGCCTCTGTTTATTTTTGTTCTTTGATAGGATGAATCCACGGCAGAAATCACATTCTACATGAAGGGCGCTGACGTGGCCATGTCTCCTATCGTGCAGTATAATGACTGGCTGGAAGAGGAGGTATGTGAGTGACTCTAGCGTGGTTCACAGTGTTTCTATGGAAGAGGAGGTATGTGAGTGACTCTCAGCCTGGTTCACAGTGTTTCTATGAACTTTATTGATAGATGACAGGAAAAGGATATCCTTTCCCCAGCTTGCAGACACTGGTATCATTGGATGAATTGAGCTGTCAAAATGTCAAACCAGATGCTGATGGGAACCACATAGGTTGTCAAACACAGTATCATTTTATACTAAATTATTTTAAGTGCTTGCAGTTCTCAATTTCATAAAGGAGAAAGGGTAGGAGTCCTATCTATTTATAAATAGTTTACCCTTTTTTTTTTTTTTGAGACAGACACACTGTCACCCAGGCTGGAGTGCAGTAGCGCAATCTTGGCTCTCTGCAACCTGCACTTCCCAGGTTCAAGCGATTCTCCTGCCTCAGCCTCCCAAGTAGCTGGGACTACAGGCACCCGCCACCATGCCTGACTAATTTTTTTGTATTTTTAGTAGAGACAGGGTTTCACCATGTTAGCCAGGATGGTCTCTATCTCCTGACCTCGTGATCCGCCCGTGTCGGCCTCCCAAAGTGCTGGCATTATATGCATGAGCCACCATGCCCAGCCAATAATTTACTTTCTGTGTAAATAACAATCATTTTTGTTTTGTGTGTGAGTGCGTGTCAATCTATACAAGTAGGTCCTTACAAAGAATATTTTGTTTATAATAGAAATAGAAGGCATTATCAATCATTCACTATTCTGAAATAATACTTTATATGTAATCAAAGTTATATTTTAATGTATCTCTTTTGTAACATAAATATTTGCAAGATTTTCTTTAGAATTTTAACCTAATGCTAATTTGTGCATAAGGTTCACCTAAAATTAGAACATAAGATACAAATAATAAGCAATCCCATATTTCATTAAATTCTCCTGAAGTAAATAGGATTTGTAGGTAGCCTCATGAGATGATTTTATCGTTAAGCTTATGTATAAATCAGTAGTTGGATTTCCAAGTAAAATGGAGACTGTTGTAATTGTAGTAAACATGGCCCTTTTTCCTGTGTGCGTGTTGCTGTTGGAATTCAGAGTCTCTCCTCCCACCCTGGGACCTCAGAGATGGTCTGTCCGTGCAGCCTCCACACCCCAGTGTTCGCAACGGTAGTGGCAATATGAATCAATATCTCCTTCGGGGTGGTTTGATTTAATCAGGGACGTGAATAAATTAAACTCCCTGAAGACCTAGTAAAATGCCATAAAAATTACTTTTGGTCATAATGATGTGCAATTAATTGTAAAATACTTCTTTAATTTATTTAGCTTTATGAGGCCAAATCAATAAATGTTTTGCAACAGACAGATGATGTCAGAATGTTTTTCACAAAGATAACTTTATTAAAAATTCTATGTACATTTATTTTTTCAACATTATATTTTCTTTCCTTGGATAAATTGTTGTCCCTTCACCAATGTCTTTGTTGTGGTACTACTATATTATGAAAGCCTTTCATTTTATTAAAAACGAAATGAGGCAGCAGATTCTTCGAGCTGGAGTTAAAAGTGTATTATTCTGCTTCCATCAGGCTCCTCCAGAACTGAATTCTTGGCTTGTCAAATGTTTAAAAAAAAAAAAACTTTTCAATGATCACATAACAGAAAGAACCAGTTTATGCAAACCTGAGATGTAAGAATATGTAAGTCTGTGAACAGACTTAAAATAGTGATGTTCCGGATAGCTGGAGGTGTTGAGGTGATTGGCTTCCTTCCCTCTAAACACAAACCTGAGTTGGGCCCTGGACATTGTATTGTAAAGGAAACAAGTACAGGTGACCCTTGAACAACACGAGGGCCAGGGGCTCCAAACCCCACACAGATGAAAATCAGCCTATCACTTCTGACTCCCCAACACGTAACTGCTGATAGCCTCCTGTTGAACGAAGCCATACTAATAACATGGATAAATCGATTAACACATTGTGTATGTTACATGAATTATATTCTGCATTGTTACAAGAAAGTAACTTAGAGCAAAGAAAGTGTTATTAAGAAAATCATGGGCTGGGTACGGTGGCTTACGCCTGTAATGCCAGCACTTTGGGAGGCCAAGGCGGGCAGATCACGAGGTCAGGAGATTGAGACCCTCCTGGCTAACACGGTGAAACCCCATCTCTACTAAAAATACAAAAAATTAGCCGGGTGTGGTGGCGGGCGCCTGTAGTCCCAGCTACTTGGGAGGCTGAGGCAGGAGAATGGCGTGAACCCGGGAGGCAGAGCTTGCAGTGAGCCAAGATCGCGACACTGCACTCCAGCCTGGGCGACAGAGCGAGACTCCGTCTCAAAAAATAAAAATAAAAAAATTATAAGGAAGAGAAAATGTTATCTACTCATCAGTAAGTGGGAGTGGGCCATCGTGAAGACCTTCTGACTTTCTTCCTCATGGTCTTCATGTTGAGGAGGCTGAGGAGGAGGAGGGGTTGGTCTTGCTCTCTCAGGAGGGCAGAGGCAGAACAGGTGGAGGAGGTGGAAGCGGAGGCAGGAGGGGCAAGCTCACTCCGCATAAACTTTACTGAAAATAATCTGCGTAAAAGTGGACCCACGCTGTTCAAACCCATGTTGTTTAAGGGCCATCTGTAGTTAAAATTGGGAACGACAGGAGGTATAATGAATGACAGCCTTGCCTTTGTAATTCACAGTAATTGTCACTTCTTTTGTCTCCTGTAACACATGACCCTATAGAGGTCACTATTCCAATTCCTAAACAGGAGACGGGAAGAGACACAGCTGTTGGATGCATAAAGAAGGGTGCTAGACCCACGCCTCTCCTCCAGCCCTTCCTGCCATCCCTGCAGCCTCCAGTCCAACGTCAAATACAATCAACTGGATGAATTAAAAAGAAATTGCAAATAATATGAAGAGTTCAATAATGTTTATTTGCCTACAGATTAACCTTGATCAGCAGATACAGTACACTGGCTTCATTAGAGTGGGGCCTCCCACATGGAGGGCTGCCTGATGCCCAGGAGAGATGATGGGTGGTGACAGGGTCTCTGCGCGTGCCTGGGGGGCCGTGATGTGTTTCCAAATGTGCGGCTGTGCCCGGGTGGTTTCTCAGCACTTTTCCTGGGCAGTGCTGAGAAAGGTCAGATGCCCAAAGTCCCAGCTGTCTGGGCTGCAACTGCCATCTCTGGCTTTCTGTTGCTGTCTGAGGAGCTGGCCTCTCCACTGCATGTCCACCCCAAGGGCTGGCGGAGCCTTCCTTAGGGACACTGTCATGTTCTTCTCCCTGCCATGCAGATTCTCAGTGTTCAGCACAACATTGCACAAACCAGGTTTACTAGTATTTGATCTTCTTTTCCGTAAACAAGTGTAGCTAATTAACTTGTTTAGGATATCCTTGCTTAAGTGTCTGCATTATCAATGTTCACATTTTTAAAGTTTTAAATATACATTGAAAATAATGTTTTTGATTAGTTGTTCTCTAGCTGTAACGTAGAGCTTTATTCTCCTTGGAGGTTACCAAAATAGCCTCTAAAAGACCTCTCCCCTCACTGTGTGTCATGGTGGCAGGGCAGGTCTTGGAGGTTACCAAAATAGCCTCTAAAAGACCTCTCCTCTCGCCGTGTGTCATGGTGGCAGGGCAGGTTAGCAGCTGCACCACCTCTGCGGGCTCATTGCGGCCGTAGCTAAGTTGGGAGTGTCCACCTGAGCTACAGAAAGTTCCTGGGGCTTCAGGAAGATGTGATTACCACTGATTTCTCTGTATTGTCAACCCCAGTGTCAGAGACAGGAGCTTTGTAAACATGGTTAAAATTTGAAAGAGTTGCTCAAATTTGAAATTTGAGAGGGAGTCAACAACATCTGGATGGAGAGTCTTAAGCAGCGAATCTTTCGGGACCTTCCAGAGCACAGAGAAGCCCTCTCTACAGGGAGGGTCACTGTTAAAGCATCTTAAAGTATGTTAGCCCTAATAAGTTGAAACTGCTAGGCTGGGCGCGGTGGCTCACGCCTGTAATCCCAGCACTTTGAGAGGCTGAGGTGGGCAGATGATGAGGTCAGGAGAGCAAGACCATCCTGGCCAACATGGTGAAACCCCGTCTCTACTAAAAATACAAAAAAAATAGACAGGGTGGTGGCAGGCGCCTGTAGTCCTAGCTGCTGGGGAGGCTGAGGCAGGAGAATGGCATGAACCCGGGAGGCAGAGCTTGCAGTGAGCCGAGATCGTGCCACTGCACTCCAGCCTGGGTGACAGAGCAAGACTCTGTCTCAAAAAGAAAAAAAAAAGTTAGAAACTGCTAGATTCAAAAATTGATAGTTATACAGCTTAGTGTTCATTACTTTGGTTTTTTTAATGTACTTTTTATAGAACACACCACAGCTTTAAAGCTTAGGCACACCTCACCCAGCACTTAGTAATCAATTGTAGGGCCTCTCTGTATCCCTGGAAGAGAGCCCGGCTGTCCTGAGCCCCGTCCTGGTCCACACAGCAGAGGGGGGTGGGGTTGTCTCCTGACAGCCCCGACACCCCCTGGGGCTGTCCGGGAGCCCAGCACCCTCCACCCCTGCCTCTTGTCTGCATCCCCCAGACGTTGGCCCCTTGGGCAGGACCGTGTGTGCTCACAGCTAAGTCCTACACACGCCTGGCCCCCAGGAGACCCACCGGCGCCCTCCCTCCCACATCTGCCCAGACGCCCACCCCCCCCTTGTGCCGGATAGGAGACCCACCGGTGCCCTCCCTCCCACATCTGCCCAGTCGCCCACACCGCCTTGTTCCAGGTAGGAGACCCACCGGTGCCCTCCCTCCCACATCTGCCCAGTCGCCCACACTGCCTTGTTCCGGGTAGGAGAGCGGGGTGGGTTTGTTTCTTCACCTGCCTTGCAGGAACACGTGCCCTCACGCGTCTGTTCCTGTGGCCGCATGAGGCCTGTCCCTCTGGGTGTCCTTCACGTCACCACAACCACGTGAGGGAGGAACTGTTTTCACTTTGCACACAAGGAAATGGCACAGAAAGCGCAGAGTTCCAGAAGTGGCTTCTGCCGCTCTGCCAGATTCTCTCCGCTGGCTATGTGGAAATGCAGGATGTAGCTATTAACTATGAGCAGGCTCGTTCAAGCCTTTTAAAACCTGACCCTCGTTCATGTAAGCAATATGGCAGCGTCAACCTCGTGTGGACATCAGGGTCTACTTTTGTAAGTGCAGTTTGAACTTCCAGGACTGGGATGTGTGTCACTGGTATGAGCAGTTTAACTTTGAGAGTGTTACCTCCACACAGGTTTGCTCCTGCACCACCCCTCAGCCTTGTCCCAGAGAGCCTGTTTCTTCACCCATCACCAGCTAAAACTGTTGCACTTTTACCTCTAATGGGAAAGTAGTGTTTTTTATTTTGACACCTTCCCTGACTGAACACGGTTAGCACCGTTTCATGAGCTCATTGCAGGCATTTCCATGTCTTGCTTTAACACGCACATCAGGCCCCGTGACTCCTGCAGGGCTCCCCCAACTCTGGAAGGCGAATGCAGGGTGAGGCTTGTGAGCTTTGGGATCTGGCCGTGTCCCCACCAACCCCAGCTCTCACCGCGGCCCTGCACTCCTGCCCTCCCCTCCATCACTAACTGCGCTTACTGCTCATGATTGGCTGCCCTGCAAGGCCAGTTACATGCACGTTAAAAATAGAGCAAGAAGAACTTACGCAGATTCACGGAGTTAGTCCCAGAGCAACACTCTTATGAGCCCATTTCTATGAAGGAGGAAACAAGTACAGAAAAATGAGGTCGTTTGCCCAAAAACACAAAGTCTGTGGCAGAAACAGGTTTCCGGCCCAGCCACCTGGTTCTAAATCCATGGTATTACAACACGCCAGGGGGGTCCCCCTCTCCCCCAGTGTACACCAGGAGCCCTCCCTGGCACCAGGCGCTCCCCTCGCCCGTCCCCAGCACCGCCGTGTGCACCCTCCATGCCCTCCCTGGCACCAGGTGCTCCCCTCGCCCGTCCCCAGCACCGCCGTGTGCACCCACCATGCCCTCCCTGGCACCAGGCGCTCCCCTCGCCCGTCCCCAGCACCGCCGTGTGCACCCTCTGTGCCCTCCCTGGCACCAGGCGCTCCCCTCGCCTGTCCCCAGCACCGCCATGTGCACCCTCCGTGTGTTCTTGCTACATGCAGGCTGCCGTCCACACTCTGGAGTGGTGGTGTTTAAGGATTCAGGGTATGATTTTTTGAAAAGCCCGTGCTGTGGTAAAAAGAAGCTCTGCTAGGCACCAGGAGAGTCCAGGTGGAGTGTGCCCCAACTCCATCCAGTGTCTTTGCCTCTCGAGTGAAGGGGTCAGTAGGATTTGAGATACCAGACAGGTCGGGAGGTTAAAAGGATGCATTGTATGTAAAGGTGTCCCTCTGCTGAGTTGTCTCTGGCCTTGGTGATGAAGGTGGGCACAGGACATGAGGGCAGGGCACCAGCAATCAGAGTGTGGCACTGCCCTGGCCCCACACACGGCCACAGGGGCTCTGCAGGGCCCACCTGTGACTCGGCCTCTCCTTTTCCAGTGCGGAAACATGGCTCGCGAAGGACTGCGGACCCTCGTGGTTGCAAAGAAGGCGTTGACAGAGGAGCAGTACCAGGACTTTGAGGTGAGCCGACTCCCAGCCATCCCATCCTCCTACGACGTTTCCTTCCTTACGCTGAAATTAGTTCTTCCTGTCTTTGTATGAAATTAGAGCTGGGATCGCTATAGTCTAGGAGTGAAGGCAGCTTCGCTCAGCAGGAGCATGGGGTGATCCTGTCTGCATTTCTGTTTCCACCATTTCTCCAGCTTGCTGGGGAAGGAGGGTTACAGAAGCAAAGAAGTGCCAGTTTCCTTAGAATTGTGCTTGATAACTCCTCAATGATCACAGTCCAGCCGAGCTGAGTACACATAGAGTATGTGCACATAGGCGCCTCCCCCTCTGTCCCCAGAGCCCATGCTGTCCAGCTCTGTGGAGTACACACACGGAGCACGTACACGTGTGCACACAGGCGCCTCCCACTCTGTCCCCACAGCCCATGCAGTCCAGCTCTGTGGAGTACACACACAGCACGTACACGTGTGCACATAGTCACCTCCCCCTCTGTCCCCACAGCCCATGCAGTCCAGCTCTGTGGAGTCCACACACAGCACGTACACGTGTGCACACAGGCGCCTCCCCCTCTGTCCCCAGAGCCGATACACTCAAGCCAAGCTGAGCATGCACGACAGGTCCCTCAAGGTGGCCGCGGTAGTCGAGAGCCTGGAGAGGGAGATGGAACTGCTGTGCCTCACCGGCGTGGAGGACCAGCTGCAGGCAGACGTGCGGCCCACGCTGGAGATGCTGCGCAACGCCGGGATCAAGGTACTGCAGGCTCACCTCTGCTGGCGCGCGCTGCTTTTGCTGAAGCAAACAGTGCTTTTCCTTGGGCATGGTGATTTGTGAAACTCCTGTGGGGTCATGGATGTGAGAGAGCTCTGTAAGCAGAGCTGCCCACCAGCTCCCCTCCTTCCTTAGGGACATCTGCAGCTGGTGCACACACAAATCCCCACGCCACCCCTACTCCAGACCTTCCTCTCTACACCTCTTCCCTCTCTGGATACCCCAGCCTTTCTAAAGAGGAGTCCTGGTCCCAGCCCTGGCGATGTCAAACTGCCACATGCCATTTCCCAGGGATGGTTATGCACCCCCCACAGGACGCATGGAGCCAGTGCCCGTCACCCTGGCCACCGCCGGCCAGATGTCTGCAGCCATTCCTGGGTTGGCCGGCACTCGTGCCCTTGCCCCCAGCCTGTCACAACCCTGCACCTGGCAAGGCTGGGCCACTGTGTTCTCTGTGTAACCTGGCCTCCTCCTGCAGGGGTCTCTGTGCCTCCCCTGTGAGCACAGGGTACGTCCATTGTGACGGCACGTGTTCCATGAGGACGGGAGTGCATGAGAACCCAGACCTCATGGGCTTCGGCTTCATTCTCGGTTAAATTGTGCCACATTTGGAATCATCTCATGCTTCAGGGCATGTTAGAGTTGAGAATATAGAATACTCAGACGTGCACTACATCTGTTCATTTTATTGATGTTTTTGAAGAAATAATGCATCCACATTGTCACAAACTCAGCACAAAAGGACACCCAGTGGAAGCTGCTTCTCACTTGTGCCTGGCCCCTGGGCTCAGCAGCAAGAGCCTGCCCCAGAGACGCCTGGACGTACAGGGCAGGTGCAAAGCTGCTTGTCCTCCCTCTGGCTCTTTGTTCTCTCCCAGCACCTTCTCCGTAGCTGGAGGACACCCCCTCTACCTTGGCTGTGTGGCTTATGCCCCCATCCCCACCATGCTCCCAGCAGCAGTATCCCATCTCCCAGCAGGCAGTGCCCACCTTCCCTGAACTCCCCAAGGCAGTGCCCCGTCTCATCCAGCTGTGTGGTCCTTGGCAGTTTAAATATGGTGTCCGTGAAATTCGAGTGTTTATCTTGGATGGGAGAGGTTAGGCATCCTGACCATCCTTCTTGGTGGCTTCCCCCAGATGCTGTGTGGCGGGGCACACGCTCCCTGCCCACCGACCTGCTCTCTGGCTTTTTCACTTACTGATGTGTCCTCTTCCTGCACAGGGGAAATTGGCACTTATGGTGTAAGTTTTATTTTTCAGGAGCTTTCCTCACATGTTCTCATTGAAGCCGAAAGGTCAACTGCAAATTGGTTAAGATAATTTATTTCAGCACTGCCTCAAGGACCTGGGACTCAGAATGGGAAAAAGTGTAACTTGGTTTTCAGAGAAAAGCTGCATAGCTAGACTAGAGGGACAGAACTGAAGGACAGTGTCAGAAGTCAAAGCTGTGCCAACTTCAGTTAAAAAATACATCCCACAAGCCTTGATGAAGATGCTGTGCCATGGACAGAAAATAGGCATCTGTTTTCCTTGCTGTCTAGAGGTCTGCATGGTGAAGAGACTTGTAAGATTTAATGTCCTTCTGAGATCGCAGTAGGAAGTATGTCATGTTCGCAGTAGGAAGTGTGTCATGATCGCAGTAGGAAGTGTGCCATGATCGAATTAGGAAATGTGTCATGACTGAAGTAGGAAGTGTGTCATGGTCGCAGTAGGAAATACGTCATGAGGCTGTATCATATCCATCTGAGATCACAGTAGGAAGTGTGTCATGATCATAGTAGGAAGTATGTCATGATCACAGTAGGAAGTGTGTCATGATCGTAGTAGGAAGTATGTCATGATCACAGTAGGAAGTGTGTCATGATCGCAGTAGGAAGTGTGTCATGAGACTATCATATCTGTCTGAGATCGCAGTAGGAAGTGTGCATGATTGCAGTAGGAAGTATGTCATCGCAGTAGGAAGTATGTCATCGCAGTAGGAAGTATGTCATGATCACAGTAGGAAGTGTGTCATGATCACAGTAGGAAGTGTCATGATCGTAGTAGGAAGTGTGTCAGGAGGCTGTATCATATCTGAGATCGCAGTAGGAAGTGTCATGATCGCAGTAGGAAGTATATCATGATTGCAGTAGGAGGTGTGTCATGATCGCAATAGGAAGTGTGTCAGGAGGCTGTATCATATCTGACTGAGATCGTAGTAGGAAGTGTGTCATGATCGCAGTAGGAAGTGTATCATGATTGCAGTAGGAAGTGTGTCATGATCGCAGTAGGAAGTGTGTCATGAGGCTGTATCATATCCATCTGAGATCGCAGTAGGAAGTGCATGATTGCAGTAGAAAGTATGTCATGATCGCAGTAGGAAGTGCGTCATGAGGCTGTATCTGGTTTCAGAGTAATTGTTCATGTAGAAATTCAAAATTACAAGAGAACAATTCTGACTCAGAAAGTTTAGATTACTAAACTTAATTGTATTGTACAGCCAAAAAGTTGAATAACGAAGTGTGATTAATGAGAAGCAGATGAGCTGGGTGTGGTGCTTTGTGCCTGGGATCCCAGCTACTCAGGAGGCTGAGGCGGGAGGCTCAATCGAGCCCCAGAGTTCATGGCAAGACCCATCTGTAAATCGACACATGAATGAGCGAGCATATGACCCCTGCATTTCACTGTAACTTTTTAGTGAACTTCACCTCAGTCTACTTCCTACTTTATATGTGCTAGATTATTAGTATATTAAAGTAGTGAATATCCCTTGCATTAAAATTTGGATCTTTACATCAATTATTTGCTAAGTTATATGACTTTCTCGAGTTTTGCTCTTTATTCTTTACATTATGTAAAGTCTGACTTCAGATGTTCCTCTGAAACTCGAAGGTGATTTTCAGCGGGACCTCACTGCGTTTCCTGAATCCCACTCAGGTTGCCGCAGTGCTAGTTCTTCTTCAACTTTGTCATGATGATGTGTCATACTCTTAGGTCCCGTAAATGAATATAAGTCTGTAAAATAAATAAAAAGCACAAATCTTAGACACTGAGAAGAGCCACAGGTGGAGCGTGCTTAAGCAGATAATCAGTACACTGTAGAAGTTTTTTTTCTGCTTCCTGTTTCCAAAAATGCATATTTCAATATGATACATAAGAAATCTGAGAAATTCAGCTAATGAGAATATTACTGGAAGTTCTTTGCTGTTATATATATCAAATATCCTGTCATGTATTAAATATCCTGATATTTTACTCTATCGTCTAGGAATATATATACACATAAGATGTGCATGGGTATGCAATTTTTAAATGTAAAAGTGCTACTATTTGACATGTTTTATTTGACATAAACAACTTTTGGTTTGACTATGGGCCATTTACCCATTGAACCTCCGTTTCCAACTAAAAAACTAGCAAACTGCAGTGAAGGTCTTCATGAGCCTCCCAGCCTGGCAAACCCTGACTGTGTGCCGCCTTGGCAGTCCTGTGTGCTTGCTTTGTGTGGAATCCTTTGTGGTAGGCACCTTTGACACTCACAGCTATCCTTATTAGACTTAGCCTCTGAGTGCCGGGCCCAGGTGTTACTCACATGCCTCCATATCTCAGCTGCTGTATCTACACATCACTGTGCTCTCGCTTGTTCCACCTTAGCAAGTTCACATACTGTTTAATTGTGGTTGGATGTGTGTAGCGTGACCTCGTTGAAGTCTGTGTTGCCGACACACCATTTAATTGTGGTTGGATGTGTGTAGCGTGACCTTGTCGAAGTCTGCATTGCCGACACACCATTTAGTTGTGGTTGGATGTGTGTAGCGTGACCTCGTCGAAGTCTGTGTTGCCGACACACCATTTAGTTGTGGTTGGATGTGTGTAGCGTGACCTCGTCGAAGTCTGTGTTGCCGACACACCATTTAGTTGTGGTTGGATGTGTGTAGCGTGACCTCGTTGAAGCCTGTGTTGCCGACACACCATTTAGTTGTGGTTGGATGTGTGTAGCGTGACCTCGTTGAAGCCTGTGTTGCCGACACACCATTTAGTTGTGGTTGGATGTGTGTAGCGTGACCTCGTTGAAGCCTGTGTTGCCGACACACCATTTAGTTGTGGTTGTATGTGTGTAGCGTGACCTCGTTGAAGCCTGTGTTGCCGACACACCATTTAGTTGTGGTTGGATGTGTGTAGCGTGACCTGTTGAAGCCTGCGTTGCCAACACACCATTTAGTTGTGGTTGGATGTGTGTAGCGTGACCTTGTTGAAGCCTGCGTTGCCGACACACCATTTAGTTGTGGTTGGATGTGTGTAGCGTGACCTGTTGAAGCCTGCGTTGCCGACACACCATTTAGTTGTGGTTGGATGTGTGTAGCGTGACCTTGTTGAAGTTTGCGTTGCCGATTCTTGTGCAGCCATCACCACCACCCCTTCCAGAACTGTTCCATCCTCCTAAACGGAAACTGTCCATCTCCCCATTCCCCTTCCCCTAAACCCTGGCACCCACCATCTAGTTCTTTCTCTGTGGATTGGATGGCTCTAGGGACCTCATGGAAATGGGATCATACAGTATTTGTCCTTTTGTGACTGGCTTCTTTCACTCAGCGTAATGTCCTCAAGGTTGAACCACAATGCAGCCTGTATCAGAATTTCCATCCTTTTTAAGGCTGAATAATACTCCATTGTATGTATGGAACACATTTTGCTCATTCATTTATCTATTGACGGGCACCTGGGTTGCTTCCACCTTTTGGCTGTTGTGAATTATGTGAGACATCAGAAATGAACGTGTCCTTGTCTTGTTGAAATTCACCAGTTTAAATTGTTCCCTAGATATGGATGCTAACAGGCGATAAACTCGAGACAGCTACCTGCATTGCCAAAAGTTCACATCTCGTGTCTAGAACACAAGATATTCATATTTTCAGACAGGTAAGTATGTATCTTAATCACTTTGAATTTTTAAACATTTGTCTCACACAAACGAAGCCTATTGTTTTTGTCAGAATATATATTTATTAATCACTAAATATCTTTTTAAAAAGAACTACTGTAATTTTTTTAATTTATAACAGCACACCAGCATGGCACATGTATACGTATGTAACTAACCTGCACAATGTGCACATGTACCCTAAAACTTTAAGTATAATAATAAAAAATAAATAAATAATTAATTAATTAAAAAGCATGTTAAAATAGATATTTTTAGCCACATACATTAATCATGATCAAAGCTGCTTTTTGACGGAATGAACAAGCTCTAAGTTCAGAAGTATTTTTTGCTTATACTATTAGTATTATTTGCTATTTTAAAAGAGGCATACTGCAATTATTTTCAATTTGTAAAAATGTATATTGATTAAAAAAATTACATTTTTCTACAAGTTATACGTGTTACATGTTGTCCAGAAGCTGCTGTTGTGAAACAAGCTATAAATACAAAATAGAAATGTGTTTTTAATCACTGCCATTTTCAGAGCAAGTGCTGCCTTAACTAGTTCAAAGAAAATTAATAGAAATGATCTAAGTTTATGTGTTTACTGTATGTATTAGTTATGACTAAATTTAATTCAAACAAAAAATAAGAATTTCTTGGTCTTGATTTATGGTGAGTGAACAGACATTCTGTGTCTGCGTCTGTTCTAAATGAATCGCTTGCACCTACAGAAGGAGTTATTTGAATATAATTTATATGTAAATGTAGTTTGTTTTGAAGCATCAGAATCACAAATTAGGCCCTGAAGACTACTATTTGCAATTAAATTATTAATGCTTCTGATAAAACTTCAGATCAATTTTTGTTGACTTTTCAGTGTTATAGCACCACAAATTAAATTTTTCACAATAAAACCTACCTATTTAAAGATGAGTCTGAGATTGTTAATTTGAACCACATGAAGCTTTTAATTTATTTCAGTCCTATTAATAGGACTATTAATATATCATTTCTTTTATGCTCCATAAAATCTCCACAGAAGGAATATGAAAAACCACTTACATTGGTTTCTGAAATATTTTTGTTCTAAAACAAATGATATTTCAAGATTATGACTTACTTTTACTCTTTTAGGTTTTTTTAAAAATCCCTCAGACACTGGGTAAAAACTAAACTAATGGAGTAAGTTGAAACCCATGGCAGAGACAACACAAGCAATTAAGTATTTTGCATTATTTGACCTATTATGAAAAGAGATGTATTTACATAACACCTTGATTTGAGAGCGTCCTGTCTCTTACCCGATGTGTGGCGATGATGTGTGGCGATGAGGAGCTCGGCCTCCCTGGGCTCTGGTGCTCTGTTGGGTGCAAGCCTCGTTCTGCAGAGCCGTGTCCGTAACGCTGCGAGTCAGTGACTCTCAGCAGCGCTGCTCCCCACGCCAGCCTACCCTGGCCTGTTGCTCTGTTAAATAATCACCTCGTGGGAATTACAAGAAAATTCTTAATCATTATCGTTGTATGTTAAGGGAGTGTATGTATAAAAGGCAATTACCCTCCCAAACTATCCAGAAGGTAATTATTAACTCATAGGCACCCTTTACACAAATTTCATCAGAGTGGTGATTCCACTGCATTCCTCACTATACGTTTCCTGCTTGCAGTTGCCACAAATTTGAAAATGATTGGCGTTAACTGAGTGGATAGACACACCCAGCACTGCTGGAGGAATTGGAAAGGACCTTCTTCCGGGTCCAAATACTAAAGCTCCTTTGGTTTTAGATAATAACCCCAGAACATTCCACTGTGACTCTGCAAATAATGCCCTGTTTCTCTGTGCCTGTAACTTAGACAACATTTTAATTTGGGATTCTTTTTCTCCCTTAATGGAGGTAACCAGTCGGGGAGAGGCACATTTGGAGCTGAATGCATTTCGAAGGAAGCATGATTGTGCACTAGTCATATCTGGGGACTCTCTGGAGGTAAGGCTGGACCCTGAGTGAGTACATGTCTGTCTGTGTCTCTGAGGCAAGGCTGGTCCCTGGCTGAGTGTCTGTTTGTCTCTCAGGCAAGGCTGGACCCTGAGTGAGTACATGTCTGTCTGTCTGTCTGTCTGTGTCTCTGAGGCAAGGCTGGACCCTGGCCCAGTGTGTGTCTGTCTGTCCATTCCAGTGCATCAAGGCCTTCTTGAGTCAAGTGCTTTTGCCCATTCATGCTGTTTTTAGGCAGTTTTCCATTTCGTAGCAGCGGTATCTGCCGCTCTGGAAAGCAGCCCCAGCCTGAGGAGATGTCAGAGCTGGATCACAGCGATTGTTACTCCTCCTTGACACATTGAGAGCCTGAAAGCTGGGCTGGGTCGCAGTGATTGTTACTCCTCTGTTAGACATTGAGAGCCTGCAAGTGCTGCAGGAGACCTGGAGGAGGAGCGACAAGAGCCTGTCCAGCGCCTTGGTTCTGGCTCTCTGTCCTCTCCATGTTGCATCCGCTGGAGCAGGAATGTCCAAAGTAGCTTCATGCCTCGTTTTCTTCGCACGGTGGCCCCCGGCTGAGGGAACTGTGGCACCGGGGCTGGTGGGAGCCTCCCCCTGCACAGCTTTTGCACAGGCTCCTGGGCTTAATCGTCCTGGACCTCTGTTGTTGCTAGTGTCCTCAGAGCAAGCACTCCAAGAAATCTGGCAGAAGCTGCCCCAGAACGTCACCGGGTCACATGATGTTTTTCAAGAAAGTCACTAAGGCAGCTTGGATTCCAGGGGAGGGGGATCAGACCAGAAGGTCATGTCGTAGCTCAAATCATGGAGGATTCTCTCTGGTACTTCAAGTGGAAGAACTTCCCTAGGCAGGAGAAGGATGGTTCCATGTTACATAGAATTTCTTCCCATGATTTTTTATTTTCCCCTGTCCGTGAGTCCTGTGAAATGATTCACAGAAAACTGAAAAGATTGAGAACTGTGGCGTCTGTTGGCTTTGCTCCCATGGTTTTGCACTTTCTACATTACACAAATCTGGGACACTGTTGTCGACCATAAGGCAAAATAACACAGGCTTTGTTTTCCAGGTTTGTCTAAAGTACTACGAGCATGAATTTGTGGAGCTGGCCTGCCAGTGCCCTGCCGTGGTTTGCTGCCGCTGCTCACCCACCCAGAAGGCCCGCATTGTGACACTGCTGCAGCAGCACACAGGGAGACGCACCTGCGCCATCGGTGAGAGCCGCCCACCCTGCTCACAGGGAGGTCTCCAGAGAAACCCGTAGGCTGACATTGATGGGCAAAGTTTGTTCCATCTCTAAAACTAGATTGATTTCATCTCCATTCATGGAAGTTTCTGAAATAGCTTCTGATGGTAAAAATGAAAAACGTGATGATGGATAAGGTTTTATTTCATCTCACTTTTCTTGCTTCGCAGGTGATGGAGGAAATGATGTCAGCATGATTCAGGCAGCAGACTGTGGGATTGGGATTGAGGGAAAGGTAGGTTCGCCCTTTTATCAACACATTAGCACACAGTCAGCACACATCAACACGACTCAGCACATGCTGGGCCACTGTACACTCAGCACCTACTTGGTCAGTGCACGTCAGCATGTGCTTAGCGTACGCTCGGTCAGCAAACACTCAGCACATGCTTGGTCAACACACATCAGCACGTGCTCAGCGCACAGTCAGCACACACTCGGTACACGCTCGGTCGGCGCACGTCAGCACATGCTCAGCGCACAGCACACACTCGGCACACGGTCATCACACGTCAGCTTGTGCCCAGCGCACAGTCAGCACACACTCAGCACACGGTCAGCGCACATCAGCACGTGCTCAGCGCACAGTCAGCACACAGCACACACTCGGTCAGCGCACGTCAGCATGTGCTCAGCGCACAGTCAGCACACACGGCACATACGTGCTTAGTGCACATCAGCACATGCTCAGCACACACTTGGCACACTCGTTTAGCACACTACACATGCTCAGCACACGGTCAGTGCACGTCAGCACATGCTCAGCACACTTGGTACACTTGTTTAGCACTACTATGCTTGGCACACACTTGGTCAGCGCACGTCAGCACGTGCTCAGCGCACAGTCAGCACACATTCGGCACACATTTAGCACACTACATGCTTGGCACACACTCAGCGCACCTCAGCATGTGTTCAGTGCACAGTCAGCACACACTCGGCACACACTCGGTCAGCGCACGTCAGCACGTGCTCAGCGCACAGTCAGCACACATTCGGCACACATTTAGCACACTACATGCTTGGCACACACTCAGCGCACCTCAGCATGTGTTCAGTGCACAGTCAGCACACACTCGGCACACACTCGGTCAGCGCACGTCAGCACGTGCTCAGTGCATGCCTGGTCATTTTACACTCAGCACATACTCACCGCATGCTTGGTCGGCACAGTCAGCACATGCTCGGTGAATGCGCACTTGGTCAACACGTGTGGTCAGCACACAGTCAGCACAGCCTGAAGAGCCTGGTGTGTCCCGGGCACTGAACTGTACATTTGAATAAAGGAGGAATTGGTCGGAGTCCCCCGCTTTGACCTCACATTTCATAATGTCAATCCTGCCACGTGCATTACAGCCTAGCCCTCGGCGACTTGCTGTTGGCGGACTGGCGTACAGGGAGGTGTCACTCTTAGTCACCTGCCCTAGGGCTCAGCTCAGATGTTAGCAGATCCCTCGGCGAGCCTTTCCATGGCCTCCCTCCTGTTTTCCACGCACCATTCTCTGTGTGGTTGCCTGTGTCTCCTGGCCAACTGAGCTGTGGTTTGAGGTTCATCTTCCGTGCCAGCTTTATCTGTGTTACTCTCTCCTTCTCCACAGTCACTTAAATATTAATACAGACACACCCAGAAAGACCTGGAAAATTCACCTAGCTCAAGCAAGCGTGGCTTTTTCCTTGGCTACTTCATTTTGTAATGCCTTACAACAGCGTTGTGAAAGAGGGGATAGATTGTTTCTTCAAATATGAAAAAACAGAATTGTCTTGAAGCAGCCCAAGATTATAGGGGTGTCCTCCCACAGGGCTGGCCCATGTCAGATCATAGGGGTGTCTTCCGACAGGGCGGGCCCACACTCAGATCACAAGGGAGTCCTTCAACAGGGCTGGCCCGGACTCTGCAGCTCTGCTGACTCCTGTGACACCTATGGTCTGTCAGAGCCGAGCTCTCCTGAAGCACTTGTGAGAGCCTGGGCTGGTGCTGGGGGCTCTTCCTGCCCCTGTGTCTGAGACCATAGGACCTGTCCCCATCGACGGAGCTGAAGCTTTACAAGTTCTGCAGAGAGAATTTCGGTCTTTGTAACATTTAGGCTGAGTTCTAAAACTCACTTTTGGAGTCTGATTTCCAGCGTCCGCCATGTTTGAAAAGGCCCCGTGTGCTTTTCTCTCAGGAGGGTAAACAGGCCTCGCTGGCGGCCGACTTCTCCATCACGCAGTTCCGGCACATAGGCAGGCTGCTCATGGTGCACGGGCGGAACAGCTACAAGAGGTCGGCGGCACTCGGCCAGTTCGTCATGCACAGGGGCCTTATCATCTCCACCATGCAGGTACTAAGCCTTCTGTGCTGGCACCCATGGAGGGCAGGGTCCAGGAAGGGCAGGGTCCGGGAAGGGCAGGGTCCGGGAGTGGGGGTGCTGAGTGCTGCCGGAAGTACCTGGGCTGTGCTTAGGAGTTAGCGAGGCCCCTGAGAGGCTTGGGGCCACAGGTGCTCGTGGAACTGACAGTTGTCTTCGTCTGTGGGCTCTCTCTCCAGGCTGTGTTTTCCTCAGTCTTCTACTTCGCATCCGTCCCTTTGTATCAGGGCTTCCTCATGGTGGGGTAAGTTACACTCAGAACCTGCCAGCTCATCCAGGGGAGGACTTCTATTTTGAAAAAAAAAAAAAAAAAAAAACAAAAAACGTATATAGAAGATTCTTGATACAGTCATCATTTAGAATGAATAATACTGATGTAAAAACAACATTTTACTTGGGTGAACTTCAAGACAGCACCTGCACACTTGTTCCTCCTGGGATTTTCTTATTAGATTTTGTTTTCAAGTGGAAGCCATAGTTTGTGTCAGGAACTGTGTTGGATCTGAGATTTTTAAAGGGTCCCGTGGCAGAAGGCGGAGGGGCAGAGTGGCCACTGACAGGCCCTCCCGGCTCTCTGCAGGCTGCCCTCCCCTGGCTGGGGCTTCATCCTGTTGTGCGGCGTGGCCAGCAGCAAAGAGAGAACAGGAAGTGCAGGGACATGGTGTGGCATGCTTCGAAGCAAACACTGTTGGTCTCTCCTGGGCAGGAATGGAATCTCATTTTCAAAGATAGCAGCACCAGGGCTGGGCGCGGTGGCTCACGCCTGTAATCCCAGCACTTTGGGAGGCTGAAGTGGGCGTGGGTGGATCACCTGAGGTCAGGAGTTCGAGACCAGCCTGGCTAACATGGCGAAACCCTGTCTCTACTAAAAATACAAAAAAATTAGCCAGGCGTGGTGGTGTGTGCCTGTAATCCCAGCTACTCAGGAGACTGAGGCACGAGAATCACTTGAACCCGGGACGGGGAGGTTTCAGTGAGCTAAGATCGTGCCATTGCACTCCAGCTTGGGCAACAAAGTCAGACTCCATCTCAAAAAACAAAGATAACAGCAGCAGTGTCTTAGAAAAGGACACCAAAAGCACAGCAGGCATGCGACGTGCATTGAAAGCTGAGCTGATTTTGCTGCTGTATCTGCAAAACAGGAGCTTCCTGTGAAGAGGGAATAGGTGGGAATTTCTCTTTTCCTCCTCCTCTGTGGTTATGACTAGAAATGAAATCAGTGTGACTGTTGGTGTTGGCAGCAAACTAAAAGCAGCCTCTCATCTGCCACTGACCTCCCTGACCTCTGCAAAGCTCATGCCCACCTTAACCAGGTTCCACTCCACAAAGAGTCTCAGAAAATACTTGAATAGTAACAGCCACTGGCTTCGATGCTCTTGGCGTTGAACGTGCTTTCATCCTCACCTTGTCCCCACTTCATGTGTGAGAAAAGTGAGAGACCCAGAGAGCTCAGGAACTCACCCGTGGGAGGCCCAGCTCAGACCTGAGTTGTCAGGGGCTGGCGCCGGGTGCTGCTCCTCACCGTCACGCAGCCACTGAGCTTACCCCAGGTCCACAGAGAAACAGAGTCCTTTCTCCCTGCATAGCTGTTTCTAGTCCGCAGTCTAAACACCGTTTCACTCGACAGCTCCCTGAATCCCAGGAGTTCCTCACAATTTTAGCAAAATACAGGGAAATATCAGTCTGTGCGTGTGTTAGGTTTTTGTTAAACATGTGAGGTCCTCTTAAGTCACCTTTTTCCTGAGTTAGAATCACTGAGAGGCGCCCCCGTCATCCTGAGCTGTCCA
Organism: Homo sapiens; assembly: GCF_000001405.40. Taxonomy (NCBI): domain Eukaryota; kingdom Metazoa; phylum Chordata; class Mammalia; order Primates; family Hominidae; genus Homo; species Homo sapiens. The sequence goes on from NC_000018.10 coordinate 79,349,740, forward strand.
AGGAGCATGCACAGAGCTGGCACTTGGGTCTCTGCCTTCCTTCCGTCTCCAGTCTTCAGGTCCTCTCTGTCCTCTGGCCTCCACACATGATGTCCCCTTGGCCTAGACCACTGCCAGATGTCCCCATTGTCCTTGCTTCCCTGGGAGGCCCCGCACCCCCCCCCCCACCATGCACCTTCACACCCCCAGGCTGCGCAGTTGTATTACCAGTTAGCGTCCTATTCTCCTGCGTGCTCTACAAGGACAAGGCACAAGGTATATCGGGTCCTCGTACCTGCTGTGAGTTTGTCAGCGTGAACTTCAGTGCATGCGAATTTCAGAGGAGGGCCAGACTCTGGCGGATTCTAGGCCCCCCACCCCAAGCCTCAGGACAGCTGAGCTGTGGGGCTCACAGCTACCAAGACTCCTGGGGCACCTGCTTCGGACTCCACGTCCTTCGCCTGCACATGTTAGCACCGTTCCTCCCAAGATAGCAGCAGCCTGTCCTGTGGTCTTAAAAATCACTTTGAATAAAGTAGGTAAGAGCCTAGGGAAACCTTCGCAGGTGTCTTCAGGCTTCTCTCACCCCTAGCCCTTCATCTTCGCACAAGTGCCTCTGTTTTAGGCCCCTGCCTGCTGTAATCACTCAGGGAATAACCCCCATGATCGTAAGCATTGCAGACTCTCTTTTTGTGGCCCACAAGGAAAGCGCCGTCATCGGCCCTGGGCTCTCCTGGCCGCTGAGGCTCCCTCAGCCCCAGTATGAGGTAGCACAGGACAGCACTGTGCGTCCATGGTGTCAACTTGAACCTTATTTCATGACTCTACGTGACCAAAGAATGTCCCAGCAACCTACCAACTCATAGCCCATACAGTTGATGGAAATGGTGGTAGGATTTGTGCTAATATTCTCAGCTTTCCGTGAATTCCAGTAGTGTTTCCTATAGTACTTCAAACAAAGGTGAAAAATCCTAAAGGTACAATAAGTGCTAACGCTTTTTAAATAAGTTTTCCCATTGCCTACATATTTACAGTAATTATTACATTAGTTGCTTTTTTTTTTTTTTTGAGACAGAGTCTTGCTGTGTCGCCCAGGCTGGAGTGCAGTGGTGTGATCTCAGCTCGCTGCAACCTCTGCCTCCTAGGTTCAAGTGATTCTCCTCCCTCAGCCTCCCAAGTAGCTGGGATTGCAGGCATGTGCTACCACGCCCAGCTAATTTTTGTATATTTTTAGTAGAGACGGGGTTTTGCCATGTTGACCAGGGTGGTCTCGAACTCCTGACCTCAAATGATCCACCTGCCTCAGCCTCCCAAAGTGTTGGGATTACAGGCATGAGCCCCTTCGTCCAGCCTAGTTACTTTTAAATAGTACAGAATTTGCACAGTAATACTGATTGCATCTTGAGTTTGAACAGTGTGTTTCTTCCTTGGAAGTCATAGAAAAGCATAACCCTTCTCACCTTCTTTCATATTTTAAAAATCATGGATTTGAAACATGAAAAGGAAAATGTGGGGGACCATGGAGATTATTCTTTAAAGAACTACTGCTTGGGTTAGTGAGGCCTGTGCCTGCCTCACAGCCCGAGTGCTCTGCAGCGTCCCCAGCTCCTGTTCCTACAGCTCTTCTTTATAATGGGCTTCATGTAAAGTAACTCTGAGTGTCCGTCACAAAAGAAACGTCTGTGACTTTCTTAAGCACTCATACTCTGAATTGGGTTAGGTGGGAGCTTTGGAGGGGCGATGCCTTTAGTTAAGCTTCTTTGAAAATAAATAATGAGTTTGCCTTCACCTAGGAAATAAATACCAAGAATTGAACAAAAATCAACATGATGTTTTTACAAAATAACATCTAACTAGAACAAAATCATGTCTATGATAAACTGGCTCTAGAACCTAGAGGACAGTTGATAGAATTTAATTCCACAAATATGGTTTTCATCTGCATTCATTTCATCAGCTCTGGAGGGAACTGTTGGCCCAGGTGACTTTCCTGAAGCAAGAGGCCCCAAGAGCAGGAAGGACTAGGCATACTCAGTGCACAGCAGGGAAACCCAGGGAGGGACCAGGGACCATGGGGGCCGCAAAGGTGGTGATGGGGAAGCCTAGGGGGATGGGGGATGGGGCAGCAGGAGGGGCTGGGAGAGACAGGACAGCCTGGGGAGGTTCCTGTGACCCCCAAGCCCACTCTGCCCTTGCCCCCCAAGCAGGCCTGGGGAATGCCATGCCCTCCCCGAGAAAGAGAGCTCCTAGGCCAAGTCCTCATGGGGAACCTCTGTAGGGTGCAGCATTGTGCACTTTGGCAAGTTGGAGGCTCTGAGAGAGACTTCTGATCTCATGAGCCCACAACTCATGTTCCACGAAAATGCTTTGGGAAAAGCTAGTCTGAACTGGCCAGAGGTGTCTGTCTCCCCAGAGATTCTGGCAGCTGCCGGCGAGGACCTCACACACAGCGCCACATCATAGCAGCCATTCCTGGGTGTGGGTCTTCTTTTACCCTTGCTAGTGACTCAGATGGATAGCCTGTGAGTGCTCTCGTTAAAGTCAGATTGAACCTTAATTGAGCACCAAGAAGGTGCATGACATTCCGAGAGAGAGCTCTGGGCAGGAGGAGCACAGGCAGGTCCCTCGGGGAGCCGTGTCCAGACCTGCAGGAACGGGAGGCTCTGTGGGTTTATCAGAGAGGGTCTTGAGAACTTCTGCTTCCAGCCGTGATAAACAGATTTATCTTCCAAGCCTAATTAAATGCAAAACACAAGAAAACACGTGAAACAAATGTTTTCAGACATTGGATAAGAAGCTGGGGACAGGGATGCCTCAGAGAAGAGAAACAACTCTCCCACATCTAGAACGAACAGCCAGACGGCCTCAAAACCTCTGTTTCAACAGCCACATGGCCTCGAAACCTCTGTGTTTCAACAGCCAGAGGGCCTCGAAACCTCTGTGTTTCAAGAGTCCTTGTACCTGCTGTGAAGTTTGTCAGAGTAAACTTCAGTGTGTGCAAATCTCAGAGGAGGGCCAGGCTCTGGTGGGTTCTAGGGCCCCCCAACCTGTGCCCAGATTGGCACAGACTTCCTAAGCATGAACATCGTGATGCATGGAGAATAAACTGACATGATGGACTTCATAAAAATTAAGTTTTTGCTCTTCTAAACATAGTACTAATCAAGTAAAAAGGCAGACAAGAGTAAAATACTTTCAGTACATATCTTCAACTCAACGATCAGACAGACAACTCAGTTTTGTTTTTAAGATGAAAGATTTGAACATTCATCACAAAAGAAGACATAAGAATGGTCAGTAAGCACAAGAAAATGTATTTAACATCATTAGTTACCAGGAAAGATAAATTTAAGCCACAGAGAGAGTTAAGGCTCTGCTACCACGGAGGCCAGGCCGAAAGGCCAAGTGGCGTTTTGGCAGGCGGGCAGCAGGGTGGCACTGCTGGCGAGAGTGCAGATGGTCCAGCCACTCCAGAAAGCAGGCTGGCAGTTTTTATGAAATTAAAAATTTGCTGCCCCATGCCCCAGCAACCTCCCTCCTCAGTGTTCACCCAGGAAAAAGGAAAACACTCATGCTTCCACGCAAACCGACACAGGGACTCTCACCGCTTCAGCTGTGATCTCCACAGACTGGGAGCTTCCACGCAGACCAGCAGCAGGACTCTCACCGCTTCAGCTGTGATCTCCACAGACTGGGAAAACACCAACGGCCATCCACCAGGGGGTGGAAGAGCTGCATTGTGTCCATAGTGTGAGACGCTGGCCTGCAGCACAGAGAAAGCAGAGGACACGCTCGGCAAGGTGGGCGAGTCCTGACACCGCTGGCCCGAAGAGACCCACTCGCAGAGAGCGGAGACCACCCAGAGAGAATAGCCAGGTGTTAGCCTGCGGGGAACAGCCATTTATGTGAGACTCAACGGCAGCGAGGGAGGCAGGGGTCTCCCACCTGGCGCATCACAGGCCTCGTCCTTGGGGGTGACGGAGATGCTCCGTGTCATGGTCACACGGCGGTTCCATGACACTTGTCAAAATTCATCACATGCTGAAAGTTATACCTCAAGAAAGTAGGTTTATGAAAAGGAGGCAGCAATGGGGTTTTTGTTGTTAAAGGTTGAAGAGATAGGGAGGGGTTGTTCAAAGAAAGTTAACAAAAGTAATTAAAGATTTCGAGGGAAGTACAACAGTGTTGTACAAGTTTAACGTAATAAAGAAATTAAAGATTGAATTTCTGGATAGAGTTCTCTAAGCATGTAGATATTTAGTGCCCAGCAGTAACTCATCAAGAAAACAGAATGATGTGAAATAGACTAAAAGTACCTTAGAAGAAAATGTTTCATATAGAACCTACAATAGTTTTAAAAATAGAACGGTCTGCATTTAGTGACCGTGGAATCTCAGTCATATTAAAACAGAATATAACCTTTAGGTATCCGCATGTTTCAAGGCTAAAATATAACGTGGTGTCATGGGTGTTTCTGGTTCTCTGCCACGGGGTAACTTTCCCAACTTGAGATAACTATGAGAGTGTGTTCTCATAGGTGACAATGTCATTTAACAACAACAAAAAAAACCCCAGCCAAGTGCAGTGGCTCATGCCTGTAATCCCAGCACTTTGGGAGGCCGAGTTGGGAAGATTTCTTGAGACTAGGAGTGTGAGACCAGCCTGGGAAACATGGTGAGACCCTATCTCTACAGGAGAACATTAGCTGGGCATGGTGGTACACACCCGCGGTCCTAGCTACTCAGGAGGCTGAGGTGAGAGGATCAGCTGAGCCCAGGAGGTCAAGGCTGCAGTGAGTCATGATTGCACCATTGTACTCCAGCCTGGGCCACAGAGTGAGACCGTGTCTCAAAAAAAAAAAAAAAAAAAAAAAAAAAACCCAGCCCCACTTCCGGCCCAGCTCCACTTCCAGGACGGTGGGAGGTGAGGTAGATGGGTTCCTCCCTGCTCCTTCTGCTAAGTTCAGCTGGAAACAGAAGGCTCTGAGTGGAGAGCGAGGTGAACAGAGGGGGCAAGGGGCGAGGCGGCAGGAGCTCCCCGGGTTTTCCAGCAGCTGGAGCTGAAGGAGCCGGCAGCCTGGAAACGCCCATGGGTGCAGAAATTTAAAATTTGAAAGTCCCAGCGAGGTCCCAGCCTCTCCAACCGTGGGTCCACGAAAGGGGCACCAGGAAGACAGATGGCTTTCAGATGATCGTCACTCTACTCCAGCCAGACGCCAGGGAAGGGCTGTGCCCACCTCCCCCTCCCCAAAAAGGCAAGTGGAGAGCTGAAAGTGCCACTTCACGAGATGCAGCGATGCACCCGGCATCTGCAGGGTGATGGAATGGGAGGAGGCAGGACTGCATCCCCAGTGAAGGGGTAATGAGCCCCTCAGTGTCGGCAGAGGCCGCATGGGGAGCCTTAACCCCTGCCCCTGCACAGCAGCAAAAACAGCGCCCTCCTTTCCCCACCAGAGCAGGGTCAGCACCCTTCAGAAAATTCAGTCTTTACCCGGAATGTCAGGGGTTTCCATCAGAGTCCCTTGCCATACCAAGAACCAGGAAGATTTCAAGGTGAATGGAAAAAAGACAGTCAATAGAAGCCAGCCCTGAGATGGCAGAGATGCTAGAATTCTCTGACAAAGACTGGGAAACAGTCATTACCAACATACTGGGAGCAAATGGCAAAATAGAACAGCCCAGCAGACAAGATACAGAGCAGAACCAAATGGAAATCTTAGAGATGAGAAATAACCCAGACAAAAAAAAATGCCGTGACTGGGCTCAGCAGCAAAATAGAAGGGACAGAGGGAGGACGCAGTGAACTGGAAGACAGAAAAACAGAAAGTCCTCAATCTGAACAAGAGAGAAAACTGACTGAAAAAAAATGGATCAGAGCCTCAGGGACAGCAAGATGGTAATTCTACCGTTTGTGCCGTGGGAGCCCCGGCCGCTGTACCGTTTGTGCCGTGGGAGTTCCAGGGGAGAAGAGACAGGGCAGGGCTAGGAACTTACTTGAAGGAATAAAGGTGAAAACCTCCCAGATTTGGCAAAAGACATAAATGTATAGATTCAAGAAGGTAAGCAAACCCTGAACAGGACAGTCAAATTCACACCAAGATAATCATAATCAAACTGATGAAAACCAGAGACAAACCCATTGAAAGCAGCCAGTGAGGAGACGGGGTACGTTGGGGATGACTGGAAACCCTGCAGGCAGAGGGACTCAAGTGCCGGAGAAAGGCCTCATGGGCACGGCACACTGCAGCCAGTGACGGCCGCTTCCGGAAAGGAAAGGGGGTGTTGGCAAGACTCGTGTCCAGCAGTGCTTAAAGATTCTCCAAGCTCAGCCATGAAGGGGCAGTCCAGTTAGGAAAAGGACAGAAGGCGCAGAGACGGCCACCCTGTGTGTGAGGGGACGCACAGACCACAAGCAAGCCGGTGAAATGATGAGCGCATCGTCAGCCACAGAGACCAGGTTAGACCACAGGATGCTCCGCCTCACGCCTGCCAGAATTGTGAGGAAGAGTCACAGAAACTGGATAGCTCTTACATTGCTGTAGGAGTGTAAATCCTACCATCTGGAAGATGTCCTAGCACTCATGCTCCTGAGCGTTTATACCCTCTCACTCGGCACTCGTTTCCAAACCTAGCACTCACGCTCCTGGGCGTTTATACCATCTCACTCGGCACTCCTGTCCAAAATAAATGGAAACTTCACCAAAAAACCTGTGCAGTGAATATTTACAGCAGTTTTATTTGTGATCAAAAACTAGGACCAACCCAGATGTAACTTCAGTGGTTAAGCACACTGTGGTTCATTTGCCTGCCACAAAATAGTAGTCAGCAATAGAAAGAAATAAGCTACTGACACAGCAGCAACCTAGATGAATCTCCAGAGAATTGCGCTGTGTAAAAGACGCCAGTCCCCGAAGTTAACCTGCTGTACAGTTCCATTTGCATAGCATTCCATTTGCATAGCATTCTTGAAATGACCAGATTAGAGATGGGGAACGGATTCATGGTGGCCAGGGATTAGGGAGGAGGCAGCAGAGGGAAGTGGTTGCAGCTGCAGAGCAGCCGCAGGAGGGACCCTGTGTGAGGGGTGCTCTGGGTCTGGAGGTGTCTGTGTGAGGGATGCTCTGGGTCTGGAGGTGTCCGTGTGAGGGACCCTGTGTGAGGGATGCTCTGGGTCTGGAGGTGTCTGTGTGAGGGGTGTCCTGGGTCTGGAGGTGTCCGTGTGAGGGACCCTGTGTGAGGGATGCTCTGGGTCTGGAGGTGTCTGTGTGAGGGGTGCCCTGGGTCTGGAGGTGTCTGTGTGAGGGACCCTGTGTGAGGGGTGCTCTGGGTCTGGAGGTGTCTGTGTGAGGGGTGTCCTGGGTCTGGAGGTGTCCGTGTGAGGGACCCTGTGTGAGGGATGCTCTGGGTCTGGAGGTGTCTGTGTGAGGGACCCTGTGTGAGGGGTGCTCTGGGTCTGGAGGTGTCTGTGTGAGGGGTGCCCTGGGTCTGGAGGTGTCCGTGTGAGGGACCCTGTGTGAGGGGTGCTCTGGGTCTGGAGGTGTCTGTGTGAGGGGTGTCCTGGGTCTGGAGGTGTCCGTGTGAGGGACCCTGTGTGAGGGGTGCTCTGGGTCTGGAGGTGTCTGTGTGAGGGGTGCCCTGGGTCTGGAGGTGTCCGTGTGAGGGACCCTGTGTGAGGGGTGTCCTGGGTCTGGAGGTGTCTGTGTGAGGGACCCTGTGTGAGGGATGCTCTGGGTCTGGAGGTGTCTGTGTGAGGGGTGCCCTGGGTCTGGAGGTGTCCGTGTGAGGGACCCTGTGTGAGGGGTGCCCTGGGTCTGGAGGTGTCTGTGTGAGGGGTGTCCTGGGTCTGGAGGTGTCCGTGTGAGGGACCCTGTGTGAGGGATGCTCTGGGTCTGGAGGTGTCTGTGTGAGGGGTGCCCTGGGTCTGGAGGTGTCTGTGTGAGGGACCCTGTGTGAGGGGTGCTCTGGGTCTGGAGGTGTCTGTGTGAGGGGTGTCCTGGGTCTGGAGGTGTCCGTGTGAGGGACCCTGTGTGAGGGATGCTCTGGGTCTGGAGGTGTCTGTGTGAGGGACCCTGTGTGAGGGGTGCTCTGGGTCTGGAGGTGTCTGTGTGAGGGGTGCCCTGGGTCTGGAGGTGTCCGTGTGAGGGACCCTGTGTGAGGGGTGCTCTGGGTCTGGAGGTGTCTGTGTGAGGGGTGTCCTGGGTCTGGAGGTGTCCGTGTGAGGGACCCTGTGTGAGGGATGCTCTGGGTCTGGAGGTGTCCGTGTGAGGGACCCTGTGTGAGGGATGCTCTGGGTCTGGAGGTGTCTGTGTGAGGGGTGCCCTGGGTCTGGAGGTGTCCGTGTGAGGGACCCTGTGTGAGGGGTGCCCTGGGTCTGGAGGTGTCTGTGTGAGGGGTGCCCTGGGTCTGGAGGTGTCCGTGTGAGGGACCCTATGTGAGGGATGCTCTGGGTCTGGAGGTGTCTGTGTGAGGGGTGCCCTGGGTCTGGAGGTGTCCGTGTGAGGGACCCTGTGTGAGGGGTGCTCTGGGTCTGGAGGTGTCTGTGTGAGGGGTGCCCTGGGTCTGGAGGTGTCCGTGTGAGGGACCCTGTGTGAGGGGTGCCCTGGGTCTGGAGGTGTCTGTGTGAGGGGTGCCCTGGGTCTGGAGGTGTCCGTGTGAGGGACCCTGTGTGAGGGGTGCCCTGGGTCTGGAGGTGTCTGTGTGAGGGGTGCTCTGGGTCTGGAGGTGTCCGTGTGAGGGACCCTGTGTGAGGGGTGCTCTGGGTCTGGAGATGTCTGTGTGAGGGGTGTCCTGGGTCTGGAGGTGTCCGTGTGAGGGACCCTGTGTGAGGGATGCTCTGGGTCTGGAGGTGTCTGTGTGAGGGACCCTGTGTGAGGGATGCTCTGGGTCTGGAGGTGTCTGTGTGAGGGGTGCCCTGGGTCTGGAGGTGTCCGTGTGAGGGACCCTGTGTGAGGGGTGCTCTGGGTCTGGAGGTGTCTGTGTGAGGGGTGCCCTGGGTCTGGAGGTGTCCGTGTGAGGGACCCTGTGTGAGGGATGCTCTGGGTCTGGAGGTGTCTGTGTGAGGGGTGTCCTGGGTCTGGAGGTGTCCGTGTGAGGGACCCTGTGTGAGGGGTGCTCTGGGTCTGGAGGTGTCTGTGTGAGGGGTGCCCTGGGTCTGGAGGTGTCTGTGTGAGGGACTCTGTGTGAGGGGTGCTGTGGGTCTGGAGGTGTCTGTGTGAGGGACCCTGTGTGAGGGGTGCTCTGGGTCTGGAGGTGTCCGTGTGGATGCTGGTGGTGAGGTTCACACTACAGTTATCTAAGATGTTACCATTGGGAGAACTGGGTAAAGATCACATAAGATCTCGGTGCTATTCCTGACAACTGCATGTGAGTCTACAATGATCTCAACATAGAAAGGTAAACATTTTTAAAAATCATTCTTCTACCCGTAAGCATTTGTGACTTATAGAACATGCTACTGTGCTCTGAGATAAATACTCAGTCTCCGCAATCATCTTACTTGGT